>NC_000007.14:42967514-43270545 GCF_000001405.40 Homo sapiens | reverse complement strand
ATTCAGCAGGAGTAACAATGTGTGACTTCTCAGGCTAAGTCATAAAGGCACTGCAGCTTCTACCTCAGTCTCCTGGCTCCCTTGTTTGTGGAGAGGCAGCTGCCATGCTTTGAGGATGCACATGCAGTCCTGTGGAGAGCCCGAGTTGCTAGCTGATACCTCCATCTGACAGTTTCCCTAGTTTGCCAGCCACACTAGTGAGACACATTGGAAGTGGGTCCTCCTGCCCTAGTCAACCCATCAGATGACAGCAGCCCCAGCTGACATCTGACTTACAACCTTCTAAGAGATCCGAAGTCTAAACCTGCCAGCCAAGCTGCTGCTGAATGACTGACCGGCAGAAACCACGAGAGACTATTAAATGATTGCTGTTTTGAGTCACTAAATTTTAGGGCTGATTTGTTATGGTTTATTATTAAGCAACAGATAACACACAGAATTTCAAAAGAATGTAAGTGAAAAAAATCCAACAATTATTGAGCACTTACTATATTCTAGTAACAGGGCTTACAACAATGCTAATGTGGACATTCCTATTTCAGAGATGAAGATATAGAGGCTGAGAAATATTAAGTTAAAGCACGGCTTCTCAACCTTGTTTTACATTTTGAGCCAGATAATTCTTTGTTATGGCGGTTGTCCCATGCATTGCAGGGTTTCTAGCTTCTACACATCAGATTTCAGTAGCAGTCACCCAATTGCAAAAACCAAAAAATGCCTCCAGACATTGCCAATTGTCTCCTCAGAGGTAACCCTACCCTCACTTCCCGCCCCCAGCTTTGTATTCTTGCATGCATTAGACTACTTGTGTGTTATCAGACAGCCTAGACTTTTGACAACAGTTAAAAAGGCTCTAGGAATGCCCCAGTTTTCTACTTCCTGGTTATTCTGTAGGCTCTGTGGTGGGGTATTCCCAGATGGATGGTCTTGCCTTTCAATTCGTTTATTTCCTCCAGCACTCCAATCATCCTCTCCAGCTTCCTTCACTCCTATATTGAAACTGTCTTCCTAACCCAAATATGCTTCAAGTGTGAATTTCACATGTGTCTTTCTGGTTCCGACAATAGAGTGTTATTCTATGTTAGTGAAATGCCATGGGCGTGCATTTGAGGGGCACCCAGGCCTTGTCTCATAGAAAACCTCCTGGAGGAATCAACTCATCCAGTGAAGTGTGTGTCAGGGAAAGGGATCGGGGGCAACTTCAAACTGCTGCAGACAAAAAGAGCAGAATATGTGAGGGTTCTGTGGCCAATAGGAGCATGGCACATGCCAGCTGTGCTGTATTCAGTACAACTAAAACAGAGAATATTTCCAGCATGCTTGTTGTAGGAGATGGCAAGGTGTATGAATGGCAGGCAAACTGAAGAAGTAAGTAGAAGCCTGACAAAGGAAAGCAGTAGATGGTTTCCAGAGATGTCAAGAGGTAGATGGTCAGAACTTTATTAAATATTTCAGTGGTGAGGGAGAGGATGAATTAAGAATGGCACTCTGAGCTCTGACATGAGAGAGTGGGTAGAGGGTGGCACTGTTTACTTAAAAAAATGAACATAAGCCTAGGCAACATACCAAGACCCCATCTCTACAAAAAATAGAAAATAGAAAAATCAGCAAGGGTTGGTGGCGCACACTGGTAGTCCCAGTAGCTACTCAGGAGGCTGAGGTGGGAGGATCACTTGAGCCCAGGAGGTTGAAGCTGCAGTGAGCCATGATCACACTACTGCACTCCAGCCTGGGTGACAGAGCAAGATCTTGTTAAAAAAACAAACAAACAAACAACAACAACAACAACAAAACACAGGTCAGGAGAAGATGACACATTTGGAGTTTGTCATGCCTGAGGCACATGAAGTGGAAAAGCCCAGTGGACAGTTAGAAATGTGGATCTGACTCTCAGGAGCCCCCAGGGATTCATCATCCTACAGAGGAGTGTTTCTCAGTGTTGGCACTGGTAACATTTTGGGGCAGATACAGCTTTGCTGTGAGGCTGTCCAGGGCACAGTGGGATGTGCAGCTGCATCCCCGGCCTCTGCCCACTAGGTCCAGTAGCATGTCCAAGTCATGACAATGAAACATGTCTCCAGACATTGCCAAATGTCCGCGGGGGACAAAATCACCCCCAGGTGAGAGCCTCTGGGTTAAAGGTTTCACAGGGAATAAGGCTGCTAGGCTGCAGATCTTTGATTCAAATCTTGGTGGCCTATCTCTAAACTACAGCCCTTCTCCACTGAGCCATGTGTAAGGATCCCTGCCACACACTGTTACAGAACACTGCGAGTCTCCTTCTAGGATTTATCTCATTGGCTTATGTAACTAATTCTGTAGCTGAGTTGGAAATGTCTGTTTCCCCGAGGAGAAAGTAACCACCCTGAGGGCAGAGACTCTGCACACACAGGATGCCTAGTAGAGTCTCTTGCACTTTAGAGAGACTCAATGAATATTTTAAAATAAATGCGTAAATTATAAGTTGTTGGTTTTGATTTACTAATAATTTAAAGGGATTCTAGCACCAATATGAAGTGGCAAGTGTTCTATATTTGTCTGTGATAACTATCAGGTGAATTTTGTACTGCTTGAAAGTTTATCAGTATTCATTTGTGAAATGGTGTGGTTCTGAAAACTTCATTAAAAATTATCTGGCAAGTTTTATAGTTATGTTCATAACTTCAGTGTTTTGAAATTTTCTACTTCTTAAGTATGGTAATTTTCTAAGGAAATTAACTCATCAAGTCTTTCAAATATATTATTAAAATTCTGAACATAAAAATTTCTATTAATATTTCTCTTTGAACTATACATAATTTTATATTCCTTTTCTGATTCTAATCATGAATATTTGTTTTCTCTTAATTAGCTATGCCAGAGTGTTTGGTCCCCCAAGTAAATATTTTTAGATTTATTTATCAATGCCACTGTTTCACTATATTTTGTTTATAGTTTATTAATTTCTTCTTATATTTTAGTTATTTAATTTTTCTTTCCCTAGGTTTCTTTGGCTGAGGGTTTTCTAATTTTTTTTTACTTGAACACAGTTATTTTCTTTTCTTTCATCTTAAATAATAAAAACATACAGAACTGTGAATTTTTCCCTGTAAATAATTTTAGTCACATCTGCTAAGTTTTAATGTATAATTATTATATTGACATTATTTCCTAAATAGTCAAATTATGGCTTCAATTTCCCCTTTGGCCAATAGTACTTTTCAATCTGAAAATGTTTGAAATTTTAAAAATCATTAATGTCTAATTGTATTGTGATCGGAAAATGTGCCTTCAATAATTTCTCCTTTTTGAAATTTATTGAGGATGTTCTCATGCCCCAGTAGTATATTGCTAATTGTATAGATGCTTTATAGATCCTTGCAATGATGACATAGTCTATTTCATGGCAAAATGGTCAGTACAAGTTTTAATTGTAAATATTATTTGATTTTATGTAATATTATTTATCTTTTTTATGTGCAAAATAATGAATTAAAACTCCCAACACAATTACATACATTTCTGCTAACTTCTAGCAGTTTTTGCTTTACCTATTTTGATTCTATACTATTAGGAGTGTAGAGGATCATGGTCCTTTGTCACTGTAGATTATAACTTCATCAATACAGAATAATCAACTTTGTCCCATTAAACACTTCTCCTCCTCAAATCTCACTAGATTTCATATTAAGCTGACATTTATTTATTTTACTTTTATGTCTTTACTTTTAATCATTCCTTTTGCGTGTCTCTTTTAAATAGAATATAGATGAATTTTGTAGTTTGGTCCAGTTTGAGAATTTTTCTGTTGTTAGGTGATATTTATTTACATTTATTCTTGAAGGAGGTGTGCGGTATAATAAAAATATATATTTTATTTGGTCTTTATTTGTTCCTAGTTCCTGGCATAGAAGTTCTTAAAACATTTCCTGAGGCCGGGCACGGTGGCTCACGCCTGTAATCCCAGCACTTTGGGAGGCCGAGGCGGGTGGATCATGAGGTCGGGAGTTCAAGACCAGCCTGGCCAAGATGGTGAAACTCCGTCTCTATTAAAAATACAAAAAATTAGCTGGGCGTGGTGGCAGATGCCTGTAAGCCCAGCTACTCAGGAGGCTGAGGCAGAGAATTGCTTGAACCCGGGAGGCGGAGGACGCAGTGAGCCAAGATCGCACCACTGCACTCCAGCCTGAGTGACAGAGTGAGACTCTGTCTCAAAAAATGAAAACAAAACAAAACAAACAAAAAAACACTTCCTGAGTGAGAGAAGTGTCTTTTGTTACTCATAATCAGCCCCTTCACCCCTACCAGAGTTTATGGTAATGAGGTAGCTCTTGGTAGGTCCCTAGACAGCTTCAGGATGGGGGGCTGTCAACAGAGGAAACAACCATGTGACAAGAGGGTGGAAATTTTTAGCCCGCCCCTTGACCTTGGGAGAATGGGAAGGGGTAGAGACTGATCCAACAATCAATGGCCAGTGATTTAATCAATCATGCCTACATAATGCAGCCTCCATAAAAAACCCTAAATGATGTGGCCCAGGGGTGCTCCCGAGCTGGTGAATACACCTGGGTGCTGGGAGGGTGGTGCACCCCACCCTCCAGAATCCACACCCCCCCTCAAGTTTCCTCTTCATCTGGCTGTTCATTTGTACCCTTGATGAGAAGCTGTCATAGTAAGTATAGTTCTTCCCTGTGTTTTATAAGTCATTCTAGCAGATCATTGAACCTGAGGGGGGAGTTTTGGGAACCTTCAAATTTGTAGTTGCTTGGGCAAAAGCATGGGAATCCTGGGAACCCTGTTTTCGGCTGATGCCTGAAGTGGGAGCAGCCTTGTGAGAATGTGCCTTTAACCTGTAGGATTTGGGCTAACTCCAGGAGTGAGTGCCAGAATTGATTTGAATTGTTGGATACCCAGTTGGTCTCAGGGAACTGGAGAATTAGTGTGGAAGACCAGATGTTTGGTGTCAGGAGTGGTGTCAGAAAAAAGACAACAAAAGGTGTTTTAAACTTATTAGCATGAACCTTATGAAATTGCCATTTTTGTAGGTCAAGATAGCAAAGTATGAACAATTTTATACATTTCAACATAAACTTATGTTATCTGATATTATAGCTTCTCTTTTTATGCTTCTGTAATAAAATCTGTGCTCTTCTTTAGGCTGTCTGCTCTCAGCTACCCAGCACAAGGCAGGATGACACTTCCTGGCCCGCTGTGGTTAGGAGGGCCATGGGACCAATTCTGGCCAATGAGTTGTAAGCAGAGTAGGTGTAGCTTTCATGCTGAGGTGTTTAAATGGCTGTGCAGAACCCCAGAATTCTCCTTACCTCTGAGATGGAAACTGGCAACCTCAGAGATGGTGGCTGTCACCAGGACCAAGAGCGGCTAGAATGAGCAGAGCTACCCTCCCGACCCATAGACTAGGACAATGAGCAAAACATGGTCACCTGTTTAAGCCACTAAAATATGAGGGTTGTTTGTTTCCATGATAGAAGCTAGTGCATCCTGACCTACTTTCTGTCCATTTTGTTTTCCTAATTTCTTGACTATATGAAAATATACTTTTGCATCCATATTATCAAGTTTTCACGGTAAATAAGAAAAAATGGAGGAGCAAATTCAGTATTCCAAGTCATCTAGACTAATTATCCTCAGATATTTTAGAAGGGGAAGCAGACTGCAAGAACTATTTCTCGACAATAGCAATTTTTTTTTTTTTTTTTTTTTAAACCGAGTCTCACTCTGTCGCCCGGGCTGGAGTGCAGTGGTGCGATCTCGGCTCACTGCAAGCTCCGCCTCCTGGGTTCACGCCATTCTCCTGCCTCAGCCACCGGAGTAACTGAGACTACAGGTGCCCGCCACCACACCTGGCTAATTTTTTGTATTTTTAGTAGAGACGGGGTTCACTGTGTTAGCCAGGATGGTCTTGGTCTCCTGACCTTGTGATCTGCCCGCCTTGGCCTCCCAAAGTGCTGAGATTACAGGCGTGAGCCACCGCGCCTGGCTGACAATAGTAATTATTTTTTACAAAAGACAGATGCTCTATTGAAGAAAAACAAACATAAAAGCAAAATGTAGAGATTTATGGCTAAAGTCAGTGTGGTATACATAGAAAATGGAATACTATTCAATCTTTAAAAGGAGTAAAATTCCGTTATTTGCAATAACCTGGATGAACGTGGAGGATGTTCAGGTTATATGTTAAGCAACATAGCCAGGCACAGAAAGACATATGCTGCATGATCTCACTTATATGTGGAATCTAAAAAAGTCAAATTCACAGAAGCAGAGAGTAGAATGGTAGTTACCAGAGGCTGGGGGAAGGGGGAGGGATGGGGAGATGTTGGTCAAAAGGTATAATGTTTCCGTCAGTTAGAATAAGTTTTAGAGATCTATTGCGAAGTATGGTGACTGTAGTTAATAATAAGGTGTTGCATATTTCAAAACTGCAAAAACAGTAGATTTTAAATGTTCTCACCACAAAAAATAACTATGTAAGGATGGATATATTAATTAGCTTGTCTGAATCATTCCACAATATAAACGTATATAAAAACATAACATTTCATCCCGCAAATATATATTTGTTGGGATAATCCCACAGTTATTATTTGTCAAGTAAAATTTTTAAAAATTAGAGATTTGTGCATTTTTATCATTACTTTGTGATTTGTGAATGGTAAATAATAAAATTAAGAGGTAAGGAGTGGAGAAACATGAACTTAAATAAAAACAATAATAATGCTAGAAAGAATACAACAAATCCTGCAGCCTCTTCTTCTTTCTCTTTCTTTGGTCCCCTCTCTCTCCCTCCCTCCCTTCCTTTTGTCTCCTTCCCACCTTCCTCCCTCCCTTCTTCTCTGTTTCCTAGTATTTCTCCTTATGTTTTCCTTCCTATTAACAGAGCTCAGGGCCAGGAGCAGTGGCTTATGCCTGTAATCCCAGCACTTTGGGAGGCTGAGGCGGGCGGATCACAAGGTCAGGAGTTCAAGACCAGCCTGGCCAATATGGTGAAACCCTGTCTCTACTGAAAATATAAAAATTAGCCGGCCATAGTGGCACACGCCTGTAGTCCCAGCTACTCGGGAGGCTGAGGCATGAGAATTGCTTGAAACTGGGAGGCGGAGGTTGTAGTGAGCCAAGATGGCACCATTGCACTCCAGCCTGAGTGACAGAGTGAGACTCCATCTCAAACAACAACAACAACAACAAACAGAGCTCAGATTATTTTAGCAATTCCATGGCTTGTTCTGCAGTGCTATGCTGACAGGAATATTTGTAATTTTCTTTAATTCTTTTGTGTTTAATAAGTTAATGAAAACCCCCATCTCTATGTCCTTAAGAGGCAAAAATCTTTGAAGTTTTGAAGCTTTTAGATGCTTCAATAAAATTCCTGTTTCCTCTCTGAGAAAAATAACAATTTTTCTCTCTTTAGAATGTGGAAATTGAACTGTATTCTTTTCATCGCACAGGTAAGTAATTGCGGAAAATGCAGATAAGAAGAAATTATGCAAAATCCTGCTAGCCATCATAACCACTCTTGTCATTTTGATATCAATTCTTTTAAATATAACTATTACATACAAATGTGTAGCCTTCTGTTTTCAACAGACATGTGATGTGACTGTTCATAAATGGGTGGAAGCGACCTCCTTGTACTCAGATCAAGCCATATATGTGTCATGTAAGAGTCTGAGGATGTGATTGAATGGCAGGAGGGCCTGGGGACTGGGAAGTAGGGAGAAGGTGGAAGTGCAAATGGACAAGGATAGTGGCCCAGGGCTGTATACTTTACTTATAGAACATCTCCGGTCTATTTATAGTAGCTATTCAGAGGAAGCAAAGGAGGAAATGGCATTTTAAATGGTAAAGTTATTATTTTTAATAGTTTGTTTCCCCCTAGGAATGCATGTTAACCTCATTACTGCATTGAAGACTCTTTGGAGGAGAAAACTACTTTTCATAGCTTAGTTTTTGTGAGGTAACTGCTAAGTAAGTAATTATAGATTCATTTGAAGGCATCATAACACCAGGGAAAGAACATAGTTTTAAAATCATGAAGACTGGGTCTGAATCTCATCTCTGCCTCCATAGCTATAGGGTCCTGGGAAAGCCCAGGACTTATCCCTGCAGCCTCAGTTTCATCATATGTGAAATAATATCATCAATACCTTGTAAGCTGCTGTGAATGTTAAATTAGATGAAATCTATAAAGTGGCTGATATACAGATATCATTCAATGAATTATAGCCATTGTTTTCTTTTTTCTTGTAGCCTCAATATTTATTGATTTCTTTAGGTTATACACACACACACACACACGCACACATACATATATATATATTTTTTGAGACAGTGTCTCATTCTGTCACCCAGGGTGGAGTGTAGTGGCGCAATCTCAGCTCACTGCAACCTCCATCTCCTGGGTTCAAGCAATTCTCATGCCTCAGCCTCCCAAGTAGCTGGGATTACAGGTGTGTTCCACCATGCTTGGCTAATTTTTGTGTTTTTAGTAGAGACGGGGTTTCACCATACTGTCCAGGCTGGTCTTGAACTCCTGGTCTCAAGTGATTCTCCTGCCTTGGCTTCACACAGAGCTGGGATTACAGGCATAAACCACTGCACTGGACCAGGTTTGTAATTTTTTACTGACTAATTTGGTTAAGCAAGAAATAAGTAACACTGAAAAATTAAAAAAAATAAAAAATAAAAAATAAAAAACAAAACAAAGCAAAAACCTGCCAGTTACTCTTTTGTTATGAGACAGAAGCACTCATTGATGGGCCCCTTACTGTCACAATAAAGATATGATTGATATGGCCAAAATTCAGCAACCACTGAAATCTGAATTTTCGCTTTGTCAGTAGCCACTTGGTAAATAACATCACTGTCACAGAACAAAACGCTTTCCAGTTTGTCCCCTGCTGGTGTGCTTATCCCGTGTGTTTAACTGAAGGTACCATGTAATTGGGGTGGAGTCCGTGCCACATGTTCCTGGAGTTCAGAGCTGCCCGGTCCTGTACCAGGGGCAGCCAGGTCACTCTGCACCAGCTGCATTTAACCCCCAAGGGTTTAAACTGCCTTGCACTTGGGGCAGAGCTTCCAAGGGCCACTAGGGGGCAGCAAACATGTGAGAAAGAGCAAATAGAAGAGAACAAATCCGACGAGGAAGACATGGAAGTCATACTCCTCAGGAAAAAGGTTCTGCCCTCTTCAAAGAACATGCTTGGGATGCTACTCACAGCACAGCAACAGAACTGGAGCTCTAGACATAAGGCTCCTGTTTAAGGGGAAAAAAAGGCAATTTCTTTACATCAAGACAAACTACTTTTCCTATGCCAATAATTTTCAAATATTCATCACTAGCCATAACTTCTCTTATCAGTTCCAGGTCCCTATGGCCACTTGAATGCCTCAGTCTCCTGCGACTCATCCTCATTATACTTCCTTGTAAGCAACCTAGTGCAGAGCCCAAGAACTTGTTCCCTGGAGCCACACTGTCTGGGTTCCAATCCTACTTCAGCATTTACCAATTAATGCTTTGGGCAAGTTAATTAATTTCTTAATTTCCTCATCTGTAAAACTGGGGCAAAAATTGTACCAACCTCTCACTCTTGTAAAAGAGGTTAATGTTTGCAAACTTTCTTAGAATAGTGCTTGGCACACAATAGGCACTATGTGAATGCTTGTTGAATAAAAATAAATAATTCTTGCTCCTTTTCACAGTTTCCTTCATCAGTAAATGGCACCTTCATCCACCCAACTAGATGAAACCTACAAGTCAGTCTTGATACCCCTGTGTCCCTCATCTCCCACATCCAAGCAATGACTAAGTCCTATGACTTCTATCTACTAAATCACTAAATCAACCTTACATCTGTCCACCTCTCTCCATCTTCACAGATACCATCAACTAGTCCAAGCCACCATCATTTCTCACCTGAGCCACTCCTATGGCCTCCTGGTATCTCCTCAGCTACTCTGGTGCCTCTCTACTTTATCCAGAATTTTTCAAACACAAATTTGCTGCTTCATGACAGCAGAAGTGATCTGCACAGCTTAAAACACTTGAAAATCTTATTTTTCTTAGAATGAAAACAATAATCCATATTGTGTCCTATAATGGCTAGTGTGGCTCATCTCTTTTCCTTGCTCCCTGTGTTGCACCTATCTTGCCACTTTTCGGTCTTTCCACGTGAAGTGTTTTCTTTTGCAATGGGGGCTTTGCATATACCAGGAACATCTTCCCTTCTCAGTGCCTACTTAACATCTCACGCTTCTGATCTTAGTTCAGATAGTTCTTTCTTCAGAAAGCCTGTCTTGATCCCTTAACCAGATTGTACCCTCTATTATCTGTCCTCAGAGCATGGTGTATACATCCTCCACAAATTCTTTCTCAACTGGGGATGCCTTTCCATTGCCTTTAGGCATTCATTGTTCTGATAAGAAGTCAGCCATAATTTTTTGTCATTATTCCTCTATATGCAACATATCATTTTTTCCTGTGGTTGCTTTTATATTTTCTTTATCTTTGGTTTTCAGAAGTTTGACTATGATGTGCCTGGGTGTGGTTTTATTTGTGTCTCTACTACTTAGAATTCACTGAGATTCTTGAATCTATAGATTGATATTTTCTCATTGTATCCCATATATTTCAGCTGTTATTTCTTTAAATATGTTTTCTGGCCCATTCTCTCTCTCATTATTCTAGGATTGCAACTACTCACATTTTAGGCCATTTAATAGGTCACTGATTGATGATGGGTAAAGTGTTTTTAAATATTTTTTTTCCCTGTGCTTTAGTTTGAATAATTTCTATTAACCATTCTTTAAGTTCACTAATCTTTTCTTTCAGTTTCTGTTCTGCTGTTAAGCCTATTCAATCCATTATTTACATCAGATGTTTATTTTTACTCTAGAATTTCATTTGTTTCTTTTTTATGGCTCCCATTTCTCTGTTGTAATCCCCCAACTATTTATTCATTCTGGCCATCTTTTTCTGAACATCCTTGAATATATTTACAGTAGATGTTTTAAAGTCTTTCTCTGCTAGTTCCAGTATCTGATCCATCTGTGGGCCTGCTTCTGTTGATAGTATTTTTTCTATTTATTTATCATATTATCTTGCTTCTTTCCATGTTTTATAACTCTAAAAATTATATATTGAACGGTTTTTTTTTTTGGACATGGAGTCTCACTCTGTTGCCCAGGCTGGAGCGCAGCACTGCGATCTCAGCTCACTGCAACCTCCACCTCCTGAGTTCAAGTGATTCTCCTGCCTCAGCCTCCTGAGTAGCTGGGACTACAGGCATGCACCACCACACCTGGCTAATGTTTGTATTTTTAGTAGAGACAGGGTTTCGCCATGTCGGCCAGGCTGGTCTCGAAGTCCTAACCTTAGGTGATCCCCCCTCCTCTGCCTCCCAAGGTGCTGGAATTACAGGTTGAGCTGCTGCTCCTGGCCAAAGTGGACATTTTTTGTAGAAGAATAGTGCAGACTGAAGCATACTATTGTTTGTTTTGTTTTCCTTGAGAGTGCTGACTTTTTCCCATATCTGGGGGCTAAGGTAAAAGAGATCATTCATATTTCACTAAGAGTTGAATTGGTAAAAACAAAAACAAAACAAAACAAAACAAAAAAAACAAACTGGGGTGCACTTCCCACTGCTAGATGTAGGGATTTTCTATCCAAGCTTTCACCCTACAGAAGCCATTCCCTACCATCAGCAATGTAACTGTTGCCCAACTCAAGACATTTGCCTCTGTTAGCTCCAACAAATAAAAATATGTCTCTTTTTGCCAACCAAAAACGACAGGGCCAACAACAACTCTATAAGCACAGGCAATTTAACAAGTACGTTTTCAGTTAGTGCCATTTTTAATTCTAATTATCTTCTGTTAGGTAAAGTGGAGGATTTCTAGCTTTGCTGGGCCAATACATTAAAAAACATTCCAAGTCTGTCCTGGTTGTCTATATTCCCATTCAAGTACACTGGCTTAATCCAGTTTTGGAGACATTCTTGACCAGGATCTACCTGTAAATGAAATATATAATTAGTTCCATAATCTGGTATCCATACGCCTCTCAGTCGCTTTATTGGCACGCTACACTAGAAAAACATGGGGCTTGGGGTTAAACTAATGTGGGTTTGAATGCTAGCTCCACTACTTTTTAATGGGTAATTCTTTTTTTTTATTTTTTTATTTTTTTTATTTTTTATTTTTTTGAGATGGAGTCTCACTCTTTTGCCCAGGCTGAAGTGCAGTGGTACAATCTCGGCTCACTGCAACCTCCGCCTCCCAGGTTCAAGCGATTCTCATGCCTTAGCCTCCCGAGTAGCTGGGACTACAGGCCATGTGCCACCACACCCGGCTAATTTTTTTGTATTTTTAGTAGAGACAGGGTTTCACCATGTTGGCCAGGCTGGTCTCAAACTCATGACCTCAGGTGATCCACCTGCCTTGGCCTCCCACAGTGCTGAGATTACAGGCGTGAGCCACCACGCCTGGCCTTTACTGTGTAATTCTAACATCGCATTAAACTTTCTGATTTTCAATTTTATTATCTATAAAATAGAGAAGACAATATCAGATTCATAGGATTGGGAAGACTAATGAGCATTTAATAATTAATGAGCACTTAATGAAAACCTGCCAAGTGCCAGGAATGTGAAGAGTGCTTCACCCATGTTATCCCACTGAATACCACTATTCTTCTTCTTATTTCTAATTGCATATGAATAAATTAAGACATAGAGAGGCAAAATAACTTGCCTCAAGTCATCTAAGTCAGCAGTGGTAAAACATGGATACAAACCTAAAAACTCTGAGCTGAGAGTCTATACTCTTTAGCCCTTGTGCTAAAATTCCTGGTACTCTGTTGAGGGTCACCTCAACACACTGCTTTTACTAGTAATAATTAATAGTGTTAACATTAACCACACAAATAAAATAAATCCCCCATCAAGTCTGCTTGGTCTAGAGGATGGTGCTTGGTTTTGGTTTTTCACCTCCTCTCCACTGGAGGTTTGCTGCTACCCCTCCATCAGAGTGGGAATCTGACCCACCCAAACCCCATGCCTCTTGCTTCGGGCCCTAATCTGCCTTACTAATATCAGCCTTCTTACCTTGAAGGCAGAACCCTGTTTTACTGCCTACGTTAGTGATTCCCAGAGTGTACCCAACTAATCATGAGTTACTAGGTGATAGGTTAGAAAAATGTGATATAAATGCTGTGTTTCAAAATCCCCTTCTTGCCACATATTAGACTCAGAGAGGTCCTGCAGCAAATACATCAGATCAATTCTGTTTAACTTGGTGTTTCCCAAATTTACTTGACCACAGAACTCTTTCATGACCAACTACTAATAGCTCACTTTGGAATATTAATTAACATATACACTGTATTTGTGTGAACATCTCTTTGTGTCTTGTGCATTCGGGTGGCCCCACAGCCCTTAGTACAATAATCAGTTAAGGCTCACAGAATGAATGAATGAATGATGAAAAGGATGAGTGAGTATCTAATAACAATCATTGTGACACTAACTGTTAATTTGGGAACGGAGAGAGAGTGGGCATTTTTCTTTTTTGTTTCCTGATTTCTGTATCAATATTCTAAAATGCTTAGCTCTCAAGTTAAAATTAAGTCTTACTTGGCATAAATAGAGTTGAATAAGTGATTGTCAATACATGGTTTATATACCTTACTTTCTTTCTTTTTTGTGAGGGAGGTTGTTGGGGGAGGGGAAGCCAGATGCAGAGAAGGGGGATGAAGAATAGCAGGTTCTGTTCTAGGAAATATTGCTTTTAGTGAAGTAGCTTTTACTTATCTTATCACTCCCTTGGCACACATTAAGCTAATGTACTACTTATTAATTATTCCAGTATTTCACCATGATATTATTAATCAGAAATTACTTTGATGTTCATCTTTTCTTTTCTTTTTTTTTTTTTTTTTGAGATGAAGTTTCCCTCTTTTTGCCCAGGCTAGAGTGCAGTGGCGCAATCTTGGCTCACTGCAACCTCTGCCTCCCAGGTTCAAGCGATTCTCCTGCTTCAGCCTCCCGAGTAGCTGGGATTACAGGCGCCTGCCACCACGGCTGGCTAATTTTGTATTTTTAGTAGCGACAGGGTTTCACCATGTTGGCCAGGCTGGTCTTGAACTCCTGACCTCAGGTGATCCATCTGCCTTGGCCTCCCAAAGTGCTGGGATTACAGGTGTGAACCACCGTACCCAGCCGATGTTCATCTTTACTATGTTTTTACTTGGCTTGAACTATAATGCTCCCTTTTCACAGTGCTCCATGAGATCTTCAATGACAAACACAGTTTCAAAACCCACATACTCACTTTTCACATTTACTATTTTGGATTGTATGATAAAGCAAACAGCCAATCATTATTCTTTGCCTTAAAGAATCTCAAAACATTTACGAGGGCCTACTATGGACCTAGAGCGTGAGTTACCTATCCAATAATAGAAGATGGTGTGTGAGATGGTGAGCAGCACACTTTAAAGATTAAAAGGACAGTTTTAGCCATGACAAACTTTAGCTTGTTTTATTTTTCATACCTCTTCATATTAAATAATTAGGTCAGATTTTCTTGGAAGCAGATGACATAACTTTTTATAATAAGGAAAAGAAATCCTTCCTTCTCACCTAATTAACTACAACTCACATTTTAGTTCCTTAACTTCAGTCCAAATAAAGTCCTCCCTCCTCCCTCATGCATGCTCATAGAGCTGTCTTCTTTCCCTTCAGAATATCCACATTTCCTGTGAGTGGAATGGCTTTTCTCCTTCACTAAACTGGAGTCCTGTTAATAAGCTGGGGCTGGCTTGGCTCATCATGTCATCTCCTGCACCTGGCACAGTGCATGGCCCAGAAGAGCCACGTCACAAATATTTATGAATAAATCTGTTGAAAAATACATATTTATTGAATAAATCTTGTTTTTTTTTTTTTTTTTAGACAGAGTTTCACTCTTGTCACCCAGGCTGGAGTGCAGTGGTGCGATCTTGGCTCACTGCAACCTCTGCCTCCTGGGTTCAAGTGATTCTTCTGCCTCAGCCTCCTGAGTAGCTGGGATTACAGGTGTGCAACCATATCCAGCTAATTTTTGTATTTTTGGTAGAGAGGGGGTTTCACCATGTTGGCCAGGCTGGTCTTGAACTCCTGACCTTAGGTGATCCACCCACCTCAGCCTCCAAAAGTGCTGGGATTACAGGCATGAGCCACCAGGCCCGGCCTGAATAAATCTTATTTTATGCAACGGTGACTGAAGTTATCAAAATAAGGTAATGTAGTACCTGGAACAGTACTTGACTCTCTCCAGCTATTTTTATTTCAAACTCTTTTGCTTGGAAGTAGAATTCCAGATGAGGTATTAGCATAGTTGGGTTAGCTCCTTGGATCACATTGGGCACACTTGTCAAGTTTTTGATGCCCTAATTCTTAAATAACATAGAGTTTGTGTTCTAACATCTAATTGTCTTAATTGACTAGGGCATTGTGTTTCCTCTTCTAAACTTGTAATTATGGATCACTGGACTGAGTGTAAAGTAGCTATTGCACAGCCCAGCAAGGAATGACAAAGCTATCCTTAGTCAACAATAGAAAAGGTGATGAGGGGAGCAAACCAAGATGGCAGCCCCTAGTGGGGGTGATTCAACATCCCTTCTTCTAGTGACATAAAAGAAGGTTAGGGTGTATAAATGACTCTAGCAAAGACAAGTTTAGATAGATACAGTTACAGTTGGTTCTGTGGTTTTCAAAAGTAGAGAGTAGCCATCTCTCTGGGCATTACGACCAGTGCTGGAAGCGAAGAGAGATGGTAATTAAACTGAGGTGCAGCTGAGGAAATTCCTGGCTCCTCATACACTTTCGTATATCATATCTAAGAAAGCTGGAAGGCTGAACTCTCTGCTGACAATGGTGGGGGAGGCAAGGGGGCTTTTGTTGAGGTTCCTGCTAGTATGGTGTCAGCAGATTGTATATTGACTTAATGTTTGATTTGTGTGTTTTCCAGTACATTCTCCTGAACTCCTTGACATAACTTTCCAGTAAAAGTGCTTGTCTAGTAAGTCAGATATTTCCAGGAGGGCTGGGAAAGTGGAACCATGCCACCTGGCATTATTTCATAAAATTAATTACCTGAACGAATTCATGAAAAATTGCAAATACAAGTGCTACAATATAGAGTTACTGGGCCATGCCATATTTCTTCTCTCTAACAATTACCTGTGTTATTTTCACTTAAGTGGGGCTTCATTATTTTACTCTCAGTGGTCATTGATTCTCCACTGGAAAAAAAAGATCTTCTGTGTTTGGTCTCCTGGGATTTGAAAAGACCTGACGATAAGACTAAATTGGAGCCTGACTCAGGAAACAAAGACGCTTCCCAGGCAATTGTTCATCTAATCTGGGGATATTCATTACCAGTCAATCAAGATTTGCCTGGAAAATTTCCCTTAATATGAGCTTTAGATAGAAAGACTAGCAGTCAGCACAGACTCAGAGTCCAGAGATCTAAACCTCACTCAAGGTTGCACAGTGGGCAGCTTTAAGCAAGCCCCTCACTTCTCTAAGCCTGTTTCCTCAGTTATAAAATGAATGTATTCATGTGATATCTCTGCATATCTGTCTTTTTTTTTTTCTGAGACGGAATTTCACTCTTGTTGTCCAGGCTGGAGTGCAATGGCATGATCTTGGCTCACTGCAACCTCTGCCTTCCAGGTTCAGGCGACTCTTCTGCCTCAGCTTCCCCAGTAGCTGGGATTACAGGCACCTGCCACAATGCCTGGCTAATTTTTTTGTATTTTTAGTAGAGATGGGGTTTCACCATATTGGCCAGGCTGGTCTTGAACTCCTGACCTCAGGTGATCCACCCTGCTCCTCGGCCTCCCAATGCACATCTCTTAACATTGGAGGGAATGTCAAAGTTGATGATATATTTAAAGCTCTTGGAAAACTGAAGGCACGGAACAAAACTAAGTCAGAGTTATTAAAAGGTGGAATCAAGCTTAGAACAGAGCTATCAGCAGCCATAATAAAATAATAGGGTTTATTCTGACAATCTATGTTTGTGGGCTTCTAAACAGATGTGTACATAAAGTAAGGCTTGTATTTGAGAAATAAAGGAGGCTAGATTTGAGTTTATTCAGTGAGTGTGTAAATGGAGCCTGCATCCTCGCCATCACCACCACCATGGTCATCACCGTCATCATCACTACCAACAAGTGAGCAACAACTATGTGTAGGCATGTGGCAGGACTCTTCCTTCCCTTCATGCTACCGTTCAGTTCTCTCAAAAACTCAGGAGGCTTCTCTGTTACTGTCCTCATTCAAGAAAGGAGGAATGAGAGGCTCCAAGAGGTTGCCAGTGGTTCCCGAAACGGGCTGTGCATCAAAATGACCAGGATTTTTTTTTTTTTTTAAAGTGCGGATGTTTGAGCCTTGACCAGCTACTGAACCAGGTAAATCCCAAGCAGCTGAAAATCCATGTCCAAGCTCCACAGATGATTTTACTGAGCAGACAGACTTGCAAATGACTGGGCTAAATAACTTCTCCAAGGTTACGCAGCTGGAAGCAAAGTTGAACTCTAACCAAGGTTGGCCACTGGACTCCCGTGTCAGCTCTTAACCACTTTTGTCTTGTTCGATTGGTGGTTAACAGTGTATTTAACAACAACTGTCTTTTATTGACTTTAATTAGTTTTTCCACATTCTACATCTACTGTTAAACTACACTGCAAGACTACTTTCCCCCAGTAACCATTTAGGTGTTTTATAATAAATGACTTAGCCCCCAAGGATCTTTTATAGTCTGGCCAACTGCTAGTTATATTTACCTATAGATGGAGAGTGTAACTATCCATGATGAAGGTTACAAAATGCGTGGGTATGACTATGGGAACTCATAACCAATGATCAAATGACATCTGTACATTGGTGAAGGGAGTTTTTAATGAGAGGCTGGGATCAATGGGCCCAGAGGTAGCTGTGAAAGCCTCTGCATGGCTTGGGCCATGGTATAAGCCAGGGTGTTCCCAACTTAAATGTCTGCATGAATTACCTGGAAATCTTATTAAAGTGCAGATATTGATTCAGCATTTCTGGAGTGGGCTCTGGAGTTTACTTTTTGGAGCTCCCAGGTGATGCTAAAGCTGCCAGTTCTTGGGTGTAAGTACACATGGCCCTAAGACAGCTATGAAGAGATCCACTCTCAGCAGAAGAACCACAAGCCCTGGGAGTGAGCATCAGACAACTCCTCACTGACACGGATACTGACTGGGGGCAGAAACCTGGGAAGGATGCTCAGAGGTGAGCTACTGAAAGACCCACGTAGCAGGGGAAGGCATTGCCCAGAGAAAAACCTATTATCTATCATGGAGTAAGGAAGGGTGATGAGTGTAAGTGAAACACTTATATGCTGAGTAGAGGGCTCGCAGGTGTATGGTTCTGATAGTGATGCACATTTGGAAATATTCTGTGTGTTAAGGGAGTGAATTCTAGACCAACATTGGTTGAATCAGCAGAAACAGGAGGAGGATACTGCTGGATGCTGAGATTCTTACAAGTCAAGCCAAGGACCCCGTGGAATGTACCCCCCCAGAGCACTGGGTCCAGCTTGGATGAATGACACTGCCTCTTGCGATTGCTGAATTTCTACACCTACCTGTCAGGTAATAGCATTCTACTCTGAACAGCCACATGGAAATAAATAAACAGTAACTGGAGCAAAATAACATGCGCTTCAGCTAATTCCATTTGGGGAAGAAAGAGTCTGAGAAGGACTTTGTGGGTGGAATTGTATAAGGGAGAAAAGAGGAAATAACCAGAGCATCGGCTGGGTTTTAATTAGGCAGGAGTGTAATGAACCCGTAACTCCAAAAGCATCTTAGCTATTTAGACCTGTGAATATAATAAGTAGAAAGAAACTAGATTTTGTGGCCAGGCATGGTGGCTCACGCCTGTAATCTCAGCACTTTGGGAGGCCAAGGTGGGCGGATCACCTGAGGTCAGGAGTTCGAGACCAGCCTGGCCAACATGGTGAAACCCCATCTCTATTAAAAATACAAAAATTAGCTGGGTGTGTTGGCAGGCACTGGTAATCCCAGCTACTCAGGAGGCTGAGGCTGAGGCTGGAGAATTGCTTGAACCTGGGAGGCGGAAGTTGCAGTGAGCCAAGGCCGCGCTATCGCACTCCAGTCTGGGTGATAGAGTGAGACTCCATCTCAAAAAAATAAAAGAAAAAAAGAAAGAAACTAGATTTTGTGCATCCACATTCAGTCCCCTGTCCCACTAGGCTAGGCAAAAGGAATCTGGGATTGCAGAAGGACAGGGCTCATTCTTCGACAGACAGCTTCTGTGACTTGGCCTGGGACTCTGATAGCTTGGCACCTTCACCACCCCTTGCAGCCCTCAAGGAGAGGCAAACCTCAATAAAATGACTGGGAGAGAAAGCCAGAGGAGGAAGCATCCACAGGGCCCATCCAGTAAGGGGGGTGGGGTCCCTGACACCAGAAGCATTGCTGCCCTGGGAGAAGTAACGAATGATTGTAGGGCCAGCAACAAAATAGGCTAAAACACAGCTGCCTTCAGAGGAGGTGAGCTAAGTAGGAGTTGTGAGGATCTGAAGGTCATATGCCCTCCGGCCTAACAGGGCCCTCCTCACTCAGCTCTGTGGCTAAGCAGAGGGTGGGCCCAGGACTGTAGGAGCTTTTGATTTTTTTCAAGAGAAGCTAAGATTCTGAATTTTTACATAAAATTGCCTGTTTTTATTTAAAAAATCATTAATAAAATCAAACCTAAAAAATCAAAAAGCACCGGCAGCCAAATAAAATAAACTTGCAAGGGAGCATGAGTTGGTGACCTCTGGGCTATTTTTTTACGCAAGTTCAGAGAGACAGCATGGGTTTTTAGATTGTACCCAGAGGCGGAAGTACAAGGCAGGGCAGGTACACACAGGACGTTCCTGGCGCTCTCTTCTCCACCTTCCTTCCCCTGTCCTCTCTTCTTAGCACTTCCTAGGGCTTTACATTGTGTTCTACACTTGTGTGGGTTCTTCATTTTCTGACACTCCTTCTCACAGCTAGAATAAAACCTCCAGGAGGCCAGAGACCTGTTTGCTAACAGCTGTATCTCTCATTTTTTGACTATATCTGGTACACAGTAGGCGCTCAATAAATAGTGGCCCAGTTGAAAAGGAATGACTGGTCCATGCTCCCATCTACAACATCCAAGCCAGGCTGAGTTGGTGTCACAGACCCCTCATTTCAGGGTCTGTCATCGAATTCAGAGTAGTTCATGAGGCTGCTGTGGACCAGAGTGACCCAGCATAATCCCTATCCAGAATTTTAAGACAAATACAATGCTACCAAATCCAGTTTTATTTTGTATTTCTGTGTGTGTGTGTATGTGTGTGTGCGCGTGTGTGTGTGTGTGTTTTGGTTAAAAAAAATCTGCAAGAGAGGAAGAAAAATACACATCCATCCGTGGCGTATATTCAGCTGTGATCATGAAAATACTGAGTTATTGTCTGAAATCGTGTAAAGCAAGAACCTGCATTAAGAAAGCATAGCTAAGCAAACAGGCCCGGGACCCATATCTGCTGACATACCGTGCTATCCTGAGACTGCCGCAGAACATTTGCAAAGCCGTGTTCTCTAAGAATTCTGCACAGTGCAAACAGGCATGAGGGGAAAAAATACTACTAGGGAACTTCTAGTTCTTGCTGAAAAGGAAAATTTTGAGCTCTAAATCTAGCACTACCAAGCAAGAGAGGCATCTGTGGCTGCATATAAAGCTGGTACTCCTTTGCTTGAACAAAATCCCTCAGTATACAGTACTTAAAATAAACAAAGCTCAAAACAGTCAGCTACACACGCATGTTTTTTGGCCACATGCTGCCTGAAGAAAATAGCTATGCAGTGTGCATGCCCTAGTTTAAACCAAGCCTGAATACCGCACAGTCTCATTCCTCTCCCGGTCTCCTTTTCTAGACAGAAATACATTTCCCTTTAATGTACAAGTGAGAAAAAAATATGTTTAAAAGACAGTCCAGGCCCTTGATAAAAGCACTTACTTTGAAAGAACAGGACAGACTACGTATTCAAAACAAGAGCGCCTTCTTAAAGTGCAGGCTCAGAAGTTGTTCAATGGCCAGGACCTTCATTTGTGCTGGCAGCTCTGGTCCTGCTGGGCATGGTTAAGGGCGAGGCTCGCAGCCCGCACGGCGTGGTCCTTCAGGGGTGCTGCGTCAGGCTGACGCTCCGGAACAGTTACTGGGACAGGCTGTGAGCGACTCACCAGGACAGTTTTATTTCTGTGCTGAGCTTGCTGCTTCCTGCTGGGAAAATGTTAGTGGCGGAGTCACACCCAGGTACCGGGCCGCAGCCAAGGCTCCGCAGATGACCCGAGTTCTGATGGAGGTGGGGACGGGCGGCGCCCGGCACCTAGGGGGCAGAGGGCGAGCAATCCCGGAAGAAGACTCACGCTAGGCGATTGGTCTCCTCACGGGAGCTCCTCGACCCTGCCAAGGGCATGACTCAGCTCACCCAGGGCAGTGCTGGACCACACTATTTATCCCCTAAGGTCCAGGAAAGCCGAGTTCAGGCAATGACTGGCGAAGAGCTAGAGGGGAGGCAGGGAGGCCCCTAAGTCACTGGGGTCTAGAGGTTGTGGCCTCACATGCACACAGATTCAGCCCCTTTCTCTTTGGTAGCTGTTGCAATAGAGTGGCCTAGGACTCCGACCCTGAAAACTATGAGGAGGGGGAGGGGAAACAGGAGGAGAACGGGGAGATGGGGGAAGAGGGACAGGAGAAGGAGGAGGAAAAGGAGGAGGAGGAGGAGGAGGAGGAGGAGGAAAAGGAGGAGGAGGAGGAGGAGGAGGGAGAGTAAAGCAGCCGGCCTTACAATGGAGGTTCCAAATCAATAAGTGTAGAGAATTAATGATGTCCTGATTTTCTGTTGGTGTCAGGATGACAAACTGCAGAGTTAGAAGAGAGGCTTCTCATGACTTTGTCAATTTATATCTGCACAACATTATAACCAAAAGCAAGCCGGAGATTAGTGGAAGTTTAGGGAAGCTGGCTGTGGTTCTACACCTCTGTCTCCTGATACGTTCTAGACCCAGGATGTGTCTAGATGAAGGATGTGGTGGGGCGGGGTATGGTGTAGGGAACCTCAGGATCGTTTTCAGTTTGGAAGATTTAAGCAAGAACATAAAAGTTCTGGAGCCACAGATTTTCTTTATTGTGTAGAGTATGGGGTGAAGGAGACTGATGTAACAATGCCCATTCTGTGTCAGGAGAGGGGTGTTGCTGTCAGGAGCCCTGGGGCTCCACCTCAGCCCTGCGATCTCTGGGTGATCTCTGATGACACACAACCTCTCTGGGCTCCTCTCTCTTTCTTCTTCTTTCTCTCCTCTCCTCACCTCTCCTCCTCTCCTTTGTCTTTCTCTTCCCTCCCTCTCTCCATTGTTTTCCCTCCCTCCCTCCCTTCCTTCCTTCCTCTCTCCCTCCCTCCCTTCTTGCTTGCTTTCTTCTTTCTCTCTTTCTTTCCTTCCTTCCTTCTTCCTTCCTTCTTTCCTTTCTCTTTTTCTTTCCTTCCCTCCTTTTTTCTCTCTCTTTTTTCCTCTTTCCCTTCCTCCCTCCTTCCTTCCTTCCTCTCTCCCTCCCTTTCTTGCTTGCTTTCTTCTTTCTTTCCTTCCTTCCTTCTTCCTTCCTTCTTACCTTTCTCTCTCTTTCTTTTCTTTCCTTCCCTCCTTCTTTTCTTTTTTTCTCTCTCTTTTTTCCTCTCTTTCCCTTCCTCCCTCCCTCCTTCCTTCCTTTCTTCCTTCCTTCTTCCCTCCCTCCCTCTCCCCTTCCTTCCTCCCTCCCTCCCTCCCTCTCCCCTTCCTTCCTCTCTCTCTCTCTTTCTTTCCTTCCATAGCATCTTGCTCTGTTGCCTAGGCTGGAGTGCAATGGCACGATTATAGCCCACTGCAGCCTCTAACTCCTGGGCTCAAGCAATTCTGCCTCAACCACCAGAGTAACTGTGACTGCAGGTGCACTGCCATGCCTGGCTAAAATTTTATTTTTATTAGAGATGGGGTCTCACCATGTTGCCCAGGCTTATATAGACTGGTCTCAAGCTATCCTCCCGCTATCCCCCTCCCAAAGTGCTGGATTACAGGCATGAGCCACTGTGCCTGGTCTGGGCTTCACTTTCGACATGAGAAGTTGTTATGATCCCTCAAATTTTAGTGCCCTATTCTTCCATGTCCTGCCATCTAGCACATGCCCTAAACAGAAGGAAATCAAATGAACCAAGTTTTCCTGCATATTTCTTCCATTGTCCTCCCTTCATTCCTCTACCTTAAGGCAGTAAATTCCACCAAAGGATCACACCTTGGCATTGTAGTCAAAACAGAGCTAAACTCTGAACAGCCCAGAGGAACTGATTTTCTAGTCTTTGGAGAGTATAGCAGACATGGAGCTGTGCTTCTCTTTTAAGAACAGATTCATTGCCTAGTTGTCAGGATGCTGTCAGCTGACAGCTTCCAGCCACCAACTCCTTCCACTCCACCTATGTATGGAGGGGTGCTCAGGCTCTCTTTAGGGTGCCTTGGCCTAACATTAAGCTAGTTGGGGATGCAGGGGTCTAGCCATTCCCACCCAACACTGGGTCTCTGAACAGGCAGTTTTTGCTCCTGAGAGTCCACTGGGCTGGCAGAGGCTCTGCCAGGCTGCAGCCCCCACACAATTCCACTTCCTCCCTTTCCCTGTCACAAACGTTAGTTCTCTCTTGCCCTCTCAGGGGACCTAACAGACACAGAGATGCCAGTCATTTGCAATGCATGTTTTGTTTTTTCTCCACAGAGGGCCTTTGATAGGCTTAGAAAGCCATCTTTGGGTGACAAGATACTTGTCTTTGTAGCATAAAGATCTTCAGCACAGATTTCTTTCTCATTCTCTTATTCACAGATGTGGAAAGGCTTAGTTCCCGTCAGGTCTAGCTAGTGTTTCTCAACCAGGAGTGCATACCAGAATTACCTAGAGACCTTTTCAGTGTGCAACTACACAGGCTTCACGTGCAGAGCTAGACTTGGTGGTTTGCGATGTACCCCTGGTTGAGAACCGGTGTTTATAGCATAAAATTCTTCCTTGTATGAGCCTCTCCCAGAGATAAGCATTCATCCTGCTAAGGATCATTCCAGAAGCTGAAAATACATTAAGTGGTCAATTAAATGATCCCTAGTTTATTTCCTTTCTTTTTTAGAGACAAGGTCTTGCTACGTCACGCAGGCTGGAATGCAGTGGTGCCATATTAGCTCACTGTAGCCTGGAACTCCTGGGCTCAAGCGATTCTCCCTGTTCAGCCTCCTCAGTAGCTGGGACTACAGGCACACACCATCATGCCCAGCTAATTTTTTTTTTTTTATTTTTCATAGAAATGGGATCTCCCTATGGCTCGGGCTGGTCTCATACTCGTGGCGTCAAGTGATCCTCCTGCCTTAGCCTCCAGAGCTTATTTCCAGATATTTTCATAAGTCCACCTAGTAGTGCTGCAGACTCATTTCAGAGCATGATGAATCTTCTTATAAAATATTAGGGGAAGGTGTAGGGAACTTTGAGATTATTTTTAATTTTGAAGATTTACATGAAAGCACAGAAGTTATGGGGCCATAGATTCCCTTTACTGAGTAAGGTGCGGGGTAAGGAGCTTTGCATTTAACTTCCAGGAAACCTGGAAATAAGGTTGCTGCATCCTGTCCTTTCAGGTTCCCTGTGTCATTGCAGGAGGCTGTACTGATGCTCATGTTTTGTTTCACAAGCTAAGTCCTTGACAGCATCAGCTGGGATCCCAGTCTTCTCTCTCATGTTACCCAGTGAGAACTCACTCACATAAATGTCAGGGGAGAATACTTGGCCTTCTGTTTCCTGGATCACTGAATAAAATCCCCTATGATGATCTGTGTGCGTATTTGGCTTTGCTGTTTGGTTCCAGGAGTTTTATTTCAAGGCAAAGCTTGTATCTGAAGATGCCATGAGCTGAGATTGTCTAGGACTGAGAAGCCCTAACTTCCCAAGGACACTAGTCCTGGAAAGAAGAAAGAGGCGGCATTCTTCCTGAATGTGAAATGCACTCAGAAGGAACTGCTTGGTATTTAAAAACTACTTCTCATTCTATCTTTAAAGCCAAAGAGAAAACACCGAAGTCCAAGGGGAATGCAAACAGACTGAGTGCTATGGAAACTTTCTCTTAGCAAAATTAACGCCTTCCCCAAGGGATGGCTGGAGGGTGGAGTAAGCTGAGTGAACTGGGGAAATCAAGGCTTTGCTGAGCTCTGAGTTGTGAAAATGGTACAGAGGAAGTGGCTCCTGAGCGCACACCAAGCTGGGATACTCAAGGAGATAAAGGGGAATTTAAGTGACTGTGCTGACACTGTTCCTGGATGTTTGGCAGCACAGGATTAAGTATTAATTTAATGCTTCCTTAATCCAACACATGCTATGCTCATTCTTTAAGTGCATTAGGCAGAACTTGTGAATTAAGAGAGCTGCCCTCTGCATGAGTAGGCAGCAGGGCCCTGTGGCAGAGGAGAAGCTGCCTCTGCATGTGAGCGTGGCCTCATCTTCCCGCCCGCTGACGCGTACCAAGGCACACACTGAACATCTCAGGGCGTCCCTCTCCTTCTTGCAGGGTTATTTCAAGGATTAGCTGAATATGCATGTGGATGTGCTTAATAAATTTGCAAAGTGCTATGCAAATGTGGGCTTTTATTTCCTTTTTAGAGAAAAGCCTCACATCAGGATTGGCTGAGTATTACCCGAGCAGCACAGGGCCCAGTGGATGGACTCCAGCTCAGACAGGCAGACCTCAGTGGGAATCAATGCTCCTCAGTTACCCACTGGGAGACTTCAGAGCAGCCACTCAACCCTCCATGACCCAGTTCCCTCGTACATCAAATGGGGACAATGATCATACCTACCTCTCAGGAGAGGAGCTCATGGGGAGCTCATTCGGCACAAACCATGATTCATGGTGCCCAGTAAATGTGAGCTGTGATGACTGTAAACCTGGGCTGTCACCAAAAGTAAAACCATGACACAGAGGAAGGAGGACCATTGGCAGGAAGTCTTGGGGAGCTGGTGGAAAGTACTTCCAGGGAAAGCAACCCTGCTGCAAGAGCCCATCCTAATGAGCCATCAGCCTCCCAGAGGATGGCCTGGCTCTGAGTCAGGAGGAGAAGCTGTTGCTCTTGTCTCAAGGCCTATTTCTGTCTGTCCATATCAACTGTACAGCAATTACCCATAGACAGCGGAGCTCTCAGCTGTAATTCTGGAAGTAGCATCATAGAATGTTTCCAGGTACAAATTCACTTGTAACAACTGTACGTTCACATCACACAAGGAGGACTCCACATGCAAAAACATCATCTCAAAATGGAGCACAGTCGAATTCTGGGGTGGATGCAGGTGGTGGGGAGGGAGGGTGATGGATCTCAAATGTCCAGCCACACTTGAGATAATTCCTGGGCTGGGCAACCGCAATGGCCCTAGGCTGAGGCACATTCCATTATGAGTGGAGTGGGTTTATAATGGAATGACATGGATGGTTTCTTATAATCAGAAAAGCACACTGACCTTCACACTACACAGGTGCAGCAGCATAATGACCCACCACGTGTACGCGCATCAATTCCTGGGGAAAAGTCCAACGAGGTTAACTTAGCGTGTATCCCAAGCAAACAAAATCAGCAACATTACCCACACAAACAACATTGTTTCCCCCACCCCCGCCAAGATACCTGGCCTGGGCAACCGACGTGCAAAAGGAAAAATCACACAAGGACCACACTCATTTTGATAAAGTGGATAAAAAGTTGCAAGCAACATTATTCTGTGCCATAAGTAATTTGATTTGATTTTAAATTTTAATTTAAGGAATGAGACTCATGAGCCTAGAATTTTTTTTTTTCTTTTTCAAGAAACAAGGATCTGGTGTGGGTGTTTGTGGGGAAAGAGAAGTTCTGCTCTCCCAGCCGTCTGAGAAGGCCAGCGAAAAGCATCCTCACATATGATCCACTCCTGAAGCTCCCTCAACCACAAAGGAAGGGGAATCTACAGTTAAACTGCTGAAAATTCACTGCCTGTTTCAGTGCCCTTACTCCCTCAGGCATTTACTCAGATGGGAAAGACTCAAGAAGTGCCATCCCCTTCCACTTGTTGTCCTGCGGAGTGACTGTCACCACAATAAACTTGGCATCACTGGTCTCACCATTGGCACTTTAGAGCTACCATGTCCAAAATTAGCATACAGGACTTGAGCAGAGATGCCAGGCATGGGACAGTTGCTGACGGCATCATCTGTCAGGGCCCTCTTAATCCAGGTATTGTTTTGGTTCATACGTCTTTATTCTGATTTTATAACCTCATCTTCCTTGGGAGTTACAGTCACCATGAAAATAATCAATGTGGCCTGATTCCAGAAAAAAGCAGTCTATGATGTCAGCATTCCCAAACCCCGATGAAACCTGAAGCTTTGCTGACAAATGAAGTCGTGTAAGAAACAAGTAGCAAGCTTGCATTCTGGGTGCAGAGATTATGTTCTCAACCCTGGTCCAAGCAGATCTGAATAGAAGACGGAGAGAATTCAACATCTACGTACTGAGATCCTGCTCTGTGTCCAACGCCCTGGTGGACGCTACTGGACTTCTCAGTGGTGACGCACACCGTGCAGCACCCTTGCTCCTTCCCGCTCCCTGCCACAGCCACTGGCTTCCTGGATGGTTCTCAGGCTGCCCCAGCTCTGCCCCATCTGCAGGCTCCCCTGCACTGCCTTCCTCCTTGGAGAAGGTCCAACTAGGAAAAGACGCAAGAAGGAACACACTAGGGCCATGTCCCTGCCTCTGGCCTTAGTTACCATGTGAACATCGCCAACTCTCCAATTTCTGTGATAGGTCAGAGCACTCATCTGATGTCCAGACCCAGTCCCCATCCACTGGAGCTTTGCGCAGCCACCCAAGCACCATGCAAGAAAAACTCAGGATCTTTATTCCTATGCCCAAGCTTCCCTTAAAAGTCTAGCCTTAGTCATGGTTCCTCTGCCGCTTAGAGCTCCCTGTCAGGAACTTGGACAGCTTTCTTTCTCCAGTCCTCTTTCTTCATCCTTTTTGTCCAACCAAGCACTGAGTTCGTCTGCTCCTACCTCCTAACGGTTCTAGAATTCATCTGCCTCTCACCATTTCTGCCTCCTCCAGCGTGGTCCAAACCTCCCTCTCCCACTCAACTCCCATGGAGCCTAACCGGCCTCCTCGTCTGCACCTTTGCTCTTAATACAGTCTCCATAATGGACAGAACACTTTATTGAAAAAGGAAACCTGATGTCGCCCTTCCTTGTTTTAGTGGCTTCACACTTCCTTTAGGCTAAAGCTCTAAATACCAGTTTGAGACTTACTTTATACAAACATGCAAAGTGGATCTGGTCCTCCCTCCTCCCTGACCTCACTGCTGCCTCCCTCCTCCTGACCTGTGACACTCTGGCCACTTGGGAATCCTACAGTCTCCAGAGGCACTTATTTACCCCTTCCTTGGAGATGTCAGTGTGCTGTCCCTGCTGCCTGACCTGAGCTGCCGTCAGCCCTTCTTCCTCCACACCCCCCACTCCTTGGCCTCCCCTGTGCTTCCCCTTCCCCCATGACAGAGGCCTGGGAATAGTACCCTGTAGTTATTATTTTTTGACAGTTTTAAAAATAATTCTAATGAACTGTTTATGTATATATTTGTTTAATGTCTATCTTGCAAAATTGACTCAGAATTCTCTGGGAGCTGGGGCTGCCATCCTCAGCACTTAGCACAGAGCCTGGTATAGGGTGTGCTCACTGTCCTAAGCCAAATATTGATCCAATTAATTAAACACACACACACACACACACACACACACACACACACACACACACATACATTAGGAGAGTAAAAAGAAGAGGAAAAAAGACCACTCAAATGGGCTGTTTAGACATTATCTATTTAGCACTTAGTACTGGGGATACCGGTGTATTTCACTTTACAGTTTACTGTAAATTATTTCTTTACAGTTTACTAATTGTTTAACTGCAAAGCTTGACTCTGGAAATAAAAAAAGAATGAGAGCAGAAGTGGAGACTTCATAAAGAAAGTGAATGGGGATCAAAAAGGATCCAGCTCCAGCTCCTGGAAGCTTACCCCACCCCACCAAAGAGAACCTGGATGGAACCCTCTTTCATCAGGAATAAACTGGAGCCCAAGGAAATGAAGGAATCAGATGGGGACCAAGTGACCTGTCCACACAAAAGCCATCTGATGAGTGCTTCTACTCCCTGCTCGCAGCCCACCTTCAGCTACACAGATCTGCACGGCCCCTTGCTTCTGCCATATGGGATCCAGCCTGACAGCAGCGAATGAGTGCACAGATTTCAAGTAGAGGAAATCCCCAGGAAATGGCAAGGGACAGTATTAGGAATCGACAAAGTACTACTTTAAAATAACCTTAGATTAGATGATTCTTCCTTCAAAGGCACAACTGGTTTACACACAGCTATACACAGCCAGTTCCTCTGTTGGACTCAAGTGGCCATGACCCTCAGGAAAATCCTCTAGGAGTGCTCGGCACAGGGCAGCAGGAAGTCACGTGGGGAGGGTCCCTCTGCAGACCCTTGTGGCACAGCAATAGGAGAGCAGGGCGGTGTTGGAGGCCCAGCCCTGCCTGAGGCCACTTCTTCATAGGTCCTGGCTGCCGCACCCTGCTTATGCCCTGCAAACCCCTGGCACCTCTCTAAAGCCCTGTGAATCAACCATCTGACACGGCCTGTCACTACTCATCAACGCTGACTGGCAGTGACACCACCTCTGAGGCCTGATGCTCTGCCACAGCTGCTAGGTCACCTGAGTAGAGTTAGGATTATTAAAAATCAAATGAACCAAGCAGGATGTTTCTCCTGGGCAAATATTTATCTGTCCCTACCCAAATGAACTAAGATTAAAAACCAAATATTAGAAAGCACGTTACCCTTCAGACCATACTGTGATTTATCATAGGCTAAAACAAATTGTTTCATTGTTTTGCTTCCCTCCTCTTTCATTCGGTCTGTCGTCTGATAAGTGGAGGATTTTTTGAGGAAGAGGTCAAGATCATTCATGGGTGGAATACATAAAAGCTAGCAATATAAAAGATGACATTTATTTATTTATTATTACTTTATTTGAGACGGAGTCTTGCTCTGTCGCCTAGGCTGGAGTGTAGTGGCCAGATCTCGGCTCACTGCAAGCTCCGCCTCCCGGGTTCACGCCATTCTCCTGCCTCAGCCTCCCGAGTAGCTAGGACTACAAGCGCCCACCACCATGCCTGGCTTTTTGTATTTTTAGTAGAGATGGGGTTTCACCGTGTCAGCCAGGATGGTCTCGATCTCCTGACCTCGTGATTCTCCCGCCTCGGCCTCCCAAAGTGCTGGGATTACAGGCGTGAGCCACCGTGCCTGGCAAAAGATGACATTTAAAAAAAACTTTTTTTCCTAATTATAGAAACAAAGTACATTTGCTTTTGAAAAGCCAAGCCATACGGACGACAAACAATATGATGAAAGGTCACTCAGAACCCCACCCTAGAAGAAAGCCAGAAGTCCTGGTTCGGGTAAGGTTCTCTTTTTTATGGGGTGGTTTGAGAGAGGCCCAGCCAGTGTGCCGCCTTCTGGGAGGGACATGTCCCTACAGGTCTGGGGCTGTAAGAGCGCATCACAGCTAAGAAGCCCTGGAGTGGCTGGTCCTCAAAGGGGGCTTGTGATATTTAAAAATAATTTACACTTATTTTAAGTGGGTGTATCTGACATCCCCAGAAATCTGGTCAGCTGGGGCAAGTGCCCCTCACAAAAGACTATCATTGTGACTGTCAATTATTTTAAGTTGTCCTAAGTATGGACAATTGGCATTTAGGATTTGTTGAGTTCCAGCAGGAGGTGCCAAGCTGTAGAGATATTTAAAGACATACAATTCCTATTTCAGTGACCCCAAACCCCTCAAGGAAATTTACGGCCCGCCTCTTCTATCTTTGCCCTCTAGGGCAAAGACCCTAGCACAGTGTGCGCCATCTAATAACTATTTGCCGACAGACCAACCAACCCGGTACATGAAGGAAGGGAAAGCCTGTGTGTGCATTCCCATATATGTGGTTAATTCCTGAAATGTCACACTAGACACCCTTGCAAAGACAAAGTAAGCTCAGTTGCACATATTTTGAAGGGGATTTTTAAAACTTGCTTCTTCTTAGAGACCAGAAAATTACATTTGCTAATTTAACAAAACTATTCTTTGTTGCAAGAGCCCAAGAGGTGGGATGAAGAGTTTCACTAGATCGTCTCCCTTTTGGCTGATGTCACAGCAAATATTCATCAGCCATCAGCCAGACTGGATAGCAGGCCAAAAACGTGGCCGTCTGGTCTCACGTTGGAAGTTCTGTTTTAAACTTTGTGACCTTGATTCCATCAGCATGAGTTGGGGTCTGACTGATTTTGTTTTGTCCCAATCTATTGTCTTTCAGTCCCTTGTTTTGATCCAACATCAATTTTCAGGAGATATAAAATTTACTGTTATATAACATTATGGTGTTATTGTCACTGAATTCATTTTCCTGGGAGGAGGTCTCTTTATGATCCAATACCTAATAGCATCATTTCCTGTCAGCAATGACTTACAATGCCTTCCAAATTCCCAGGCCCCTCCTCTATGACAGAAAAACCCTCTTACATTAGAGGGAAAAAAAAGGCTTTGACAAATAGTCCAGGCTTTACTTGAAGAGCATGAACTTAGTGGTATAGCCAGTGGGCTATTCCTTTTTAAAGATATTTATTTTACTCATATATTTTTCATTTTCATTCATTCATACATTTTTTCACTTCTCTAGCATATCCATACGGCGAAACAATGACACACAGGGAGAACATAAAGATGGCTTCACTTTAAACTTCCACGTTCCCTAACTTCCCATTTGACACTTTCTTCCCAAGCTGAGGGAGCCATCCTTGTTTGTAGATAGACTGGTCCAAAGATCCAGTTTGTCCCTAGAGGAACAGTTCTAACTCCATACCAGGCAACATAAATATGACCACCTGTGGGTGTGGCCACCTCCTCCCCAGGCCTTACTCCTCAGACTCCAATTTCTGAGCACCAGAGGGAAAAGTCACATGAGAAGTCAAGCTGGGTCCTGGAGCCAAGGTGGTAAGAACAGGGATGGGGACAGCTTCTGGACAGCACCCACTCTGGTGCCAGCATCATGGCCATGAGCTGGGACCCCTCCCCACCAGTGCCATCCCTCCCAATGCAGCGCTTTATTGCTGCTCAGCCCAGAGCTGTTTGCTTTCTTCCCTAACCTTCATGTTTCATCTGAGGCACATCTGTGGTGGGCAAACACACGTAATAGAACTCCATCCTTGAATAACTCCACAACAGAGCTGTCTTCTAAGAATAATAGCTAATCCTAGGGTGTTTTCATTAAAAACAGATTTCAGTGACAGACTATCAAAACATTTTCCTTTTACAAAAAGCAATATGATGGGGCAGAATTATGCAAAGGATACAGGCTTCACTCTGCCCTGAGCAACCAAGGGCCCTCTCCCATCGGCTTCAGTATCTCATTTAACTTTCCTGTCATGGATATGCAAGCAGACTAAGTCCTACTCAGCGCTTTTGCAGGCTCCAAGTGGGGGCGGCGGGGGGGAAAGACTGGTGAATTGCATTTCTGCCTCTATTTTCAAAATCTGTCACCAGTTATCCTTGAGGGGTGGTTTGCTTGTGTTCTTAGGGAGTTGGAGAGGTATTATCTAGCAAAGCAGGCTCAGAGTCACCCAACATGCATTGACTGTCTCCCACATAGCTGGCATTGTTTTGGGAGCTGCAGATACAATGGTAAATGCTCATCTTGCTTTACACATATTAACCCATTTGATCCTCACAATAATCTAGCGAGGCAGTTCCTATAACTGTCTACACTTTACAGAGGAGGAAACTGAGGCATGGAGAGTCACTGTAATATGCCCAATGTCATGCAAGTAGTAAGGAGCAGAAAAGCAGATTCAGAGCCAGGCACCTGGCTCCAGAGTGCCAATGCTCAGTGGTCCACTCTGCAAAGATTAGTGTGGTCCCTGCCCTTCAGGAGGGGAGACACACCGAACAGATGAGCTGAACACACAACAAGATGTTACAGCATTCCATTTAAGAGCCGAGGAGGGCTCCAGGCAGGTCTTCTCCAGTGATTTACATTTTATTTTGGTCAGAAATACCTTTAAGACACTGGCAGCAATGTCCCTTTTCCCCAGAACCTCTGAAGCCCCAGCTTCCATTAGGCAAACAGTCACACTTTACCTACCTACCTACCTACCTACCTACCTACCTACCTACCTACCTACCTACTTCCTTCCTTCCTTCCTTCTTTTTTTCTTTCTTCCCTCCCTCCCATCCCTGCTTCCTCCCTCCCTCCCTCCTTCTCCTCCCTAGTTTTCACTTTACCTTTATAGTCTCTTCTTTCTGAAATTAATCATTGGGTATAGTTAGTTTTTTTTTGGTTTCATTTACTATTGTGAAAGGAAAATAAATCTCGGGACCCCCAAATCACTAAGCCAAGGGAAAACTCAAGGTGGCAACTATGGCAGGCAAACCTGCTTCCCATTTTATTCCTAAATAAGGCAGCTACAAAGATTTTTAAAAAGCTACACAACTCCCTCATAATGTGCCCACAAGGAAATTTGTTGTGGGCCTCATGATCTTTACCCTAAAACAGTTCTGTTGAATTTCACCCTGGCAATGTAAACTGATAGCTAATCTTCACAGCTCACCTGAGACAAATGCATATTTGATTGCTTCCTCTGCCCTACTGTTTATGTAAAAATGCAGATTCACCGAGCCAGACTACATTGAGTATTCAGCGAAAGGCTGATCAAGGACTCAAAAGAATGCAATCTTCTGTCTCTTATCTACCTATGACCTGGAAGTTCCTGCTTCAAGTTTTCCCACCTTTTGGGACCAAACCAATGTACATCTTATACATATTGATTGACGTCTCATGTCTCCCTAAAATGTACAAAAGAAAGCTGTACCCCAACCACCTTGGGCCTCAGGACCTGACACCGTCAGGAGTGCAGCCTTAACCTTGCCAAAAGAAACTTTCTAAATTGACTGACACCTGTGTCAGACACTTTGAATTCACACTATTTCATTTGAGCTTTTCCCCCCCATGAATGGTTTCCCAAATCACTTAATAATTTTAGTAATTACTTAAATAATGATATAGATTAAGTAATCACTTAATATATCATAATATCTGAAATTTCTTATTAACTTGTGTCTATTTCAGGACTTTACTCCTATTGCTCTTTCCATTCATATGCCCACACATGAAGTTTTAGTGTTTGCATGTGTGTATATACACGGACTAGTGCATATAAACATATTTACTGTATATTTATTATATATATCACATTGGGTAGCACAGGTACCTCCTTCATTAATTTTAATTTCTCATTTCTATAAAAGAAACGGAGTCTCACTATGTCGCCCAGGCTGTTCTCAAACTCCTGGGCTCAAGTGATCCTCCCCTCTTGGCATCCCAAAGTGCTGGGATTACTGGTGTGAACCACCGTGCCCGGCACTTCATTAATTTTTGAAATAAGTTCTCTTAGCTGTGCTTGCATTTTTATCCATCTAGAATCCAGAGAGCTGGTTACTGTGGGCCCAGGGGAGTGTGCTGGGTGTGTAGGAGAATGCCACCCACACCCATGCCCACACTCAGGACTCCCCACCAAGATGCCAGTAGAGCCCAATACTGAGACCCACTGGCCATCCTCCAGAACATAAAGATTCACGTATCTTGTTAGTGGGATTAAATTAAACTAACAAATGACTATGGGAAAGTTTTGCACATTAAGTTATCCCATCCAGGAGCACCATGTCTCTGTATGGATTAAATTCCTGTTTTCATTTTTAAAATGAATCTTCATAGATTTCCTCATGTAGCTCACACAAAGTCCTGGCTGCTTGGTAGTCCATGTTTTCTTTTTCTTGAGTTCAAAATGTTTTCTGAAATTATCATAGGCTTGGGCCAAGGATGCCTCTCTTATTCCGCAGTTTTAAAGAATAATAGTCCCTTATTCCCTTCTGTTGTCTTTTATCAGTCTAGTATTTGTTCCCAAGTATTATCTTTAAACACTTTTCCTGGTCTGAAGTGCAGGCTGGGAGGACAGAGGTCCCCCATCAAGGAGGGCCAAACCTCCTCCTGCTGTGGCCACTCCTCAGAGCAGGGGGTACTCTCTGTGGATTTCACCCCAAGTAAGGTGATGGGTGTGGGGGCCGGGGAACTCCACTTCTTCCTGCAGGGTCCCCAGGGACAGAGCTCCGGGCTCCCTTGGATATGGCTCTGCCAGTTCCAGGGGAGGCTCTCCTGACCTGGCCAGCCCCAGGTGTGCTCTGGCTGGCTTCCAAGGGACTAGTGCCATCAAGACTTGGGTCTGGACCACGGGTCTGGCAGGGGATTGGCCGGATTTGCTGGTGATTCACTATTGTGAGGCAATGAGATAGGGAGGAGAGGCCTGCACAGGGACCCAGATAGTCATGAAAGGCGACCTTATTCAGCATTTATTTCATTTGCTGTGCACATATTTCCTTTCAGGGCCTCATGTGGAGGGGGCTTTTCATTCATGCATTCACTCAGCAAATGTTTGTGGTGGGCCAACTTCATACCAGGCACTGTGGATCAGGCAATACGTGAGTGAGCAACACAGCCTACAGGCCCTGGCTGTGGAGCTCGTGTTGAGGGAAAGAGAGCAACCAAAAACACAATAAATAAGTAAACTGCACATGTTAGAGATCATGCAACTTCAAGAAATAACAAATGAGAAATGAAATGTTAAGACGTGGGTAGGAGATGAAGGTTTCCCTGGGTCTCCAGGAAAAGCTTCAAAGATAAGGAGGTTTTGAATAAAGACCTGAAGGAAGAAAAGGAAGTGTCCATTCCTGCCCAAGGGAAGAATATTCCAGGCAAAAAAAAAGGCCTGAGGTGGGAGAGCATCTGCAGAGGCCAGTGTGGCCAGAACATGGGGAACAAAGGGGAGGACAGAAGGAAATAAAGCTGGGGATGTCACAAGGGGCCGGGTTGTGTTAGGCTTCTAGTTCACTGGAAGGACTCTGGTGTTCACACATTGCAAGGTGGGAAGTCACTGGTGAGCCCTGAGTGGGGAAGCGACATGATCTGGCTGGCAGCGAGCAGGGGCTCTCTGGCTGCTGCTTTAGGAACACACTGGAAGGATGAGGAGGGAGGAAGTTGGGAGACCTTGCAAGAATCTAGGCCAGACACGGTGGTGTGAACAGGGTGGGAGAGGTGTGGGTGGTGAGAATTTGGCAGAATTGTAGACAGAAGAGAGCTGTCACTGGCAGGGCGGTATTGCATGTAATTTGTAAAGTCTGTGGATAACCTTTTGCTTGTTTAGCAACCCGTATATTGCACGCTGCTCTTGCAGACTGTGGAGAGAAGCTGGCTGCTCCTCACCTGCTCATCTCGCTACCTGCGATGAAGCTTATTTCTGGATGATATGAAGTATCTTATCTTTCCCGTACCAGAAGCTGCAATCTATTTCCATGCCTCTCTCTCTCTGAATCTGCCTTTTTCTATTGAGGCTATCACAGCTTCTATTATGCCCATTGTGTTGCTATACCTACTTCCAGCTTTGCTGCATTTTTGGGAACTGGAGAGCTCCAATAAACACAGGAAGAGAGGAGCAAGTGGAGGCTTTGAGACTGACTGGTGCAGGCCTGGAGCTACTGAGGACAGGTGAAATGTGCAGGTAGGCAGAGGTCTGGGCTGATCTTCAGAGTCCAGTTGCACCTTTATCCTGGAAATCAGTTGTGGAGTCAGATATACCGATCCCTATTTCTAGCTTCCACAAAAGTATTATTTTGCACCATTTTGGAAGCTTTCATAAAACTATTTTTATGGAAGTTATTATTTGGGGGAAGGAGAGGCATCCAGGAAAATCTATCATCGGCCTGCTAAATGGACTGCACCACCACCTTTTCCAATTACATATTTTTCCACTGGATAATATTTTAAGATTCTACAGACACATGAGTGTCTAAGACATTGAAAAGCAAACAGCAGCATCTTTCAACATAAATATATTAAAGCCCATAGGCATGCACTGACTTGGATATATGCGACTGTCTGTGGTCAACTCTTGTCTTTACCATAATAGAATCTAAAAAGTCCTGGAGACTAAATAAATTATGTTAGTTGGTGATAGGATATGGAGGGCTAATGAGGCAAGAAAAATTATAATATCCAAATTGTGATTTTTTTTAGTAACTGTTGTTTCTACATTGAATATATATGAAAACATTAAGAGTTTCCAGATGTGATATTGAACATAGAAATAGAGGTTCTGGGAGATAGTAACAACCAGCTAGGGAGAAGGAGAGAAGTTAGATTTTGGATCCAGTCTCTATATGTCAGTCAAAGGAGAATATGTGCCTGCTGAGAACTATGAGCCAGAGGGGCACTCATCTCCACAACTCTGAAAACTGGGTCTCTACAACTAAACACAGTAATCAGAATATTAAAAAGCATGAGTGTCATGAAACAATGTTCCATGAATATTTTTGTGTTTTTGGTGTTAATGATTTCTGAGCAAAGGCACATGGGTTAAAGGACGATTATTGGCTATCCTAAAGATAGAGACTTCTGGAGAAATATAAAGTCTTCTCTCTTCTGGAGATGGTGAAAGCCTAGAGTCCTTTGCCTCCTCTCCCCAGAGAGGATTATTTTACATTCCAGAGCGGAGGTCTGGCTTTGGCCAATTAAATGTGATGTTCACTGTAAGCAAGAAGTTTTAAGAGGTATCATGAGTTTCACCATCCCTCTTGCTACTGCCCCTTTTCCCGCAAGAACATCATGTTCAGTTCTAGATTGGGCTATGCCTTCAGCCTACACTTCAGAAGCACATCTGAGCCCAAACCACAAGAGGAAGGAAAGCTGCAGCTGACCCACAGCCAAATGTGATGTGAGTGAGAAATAAGCTTTTGTTGTGGAAGCCACTGAGATTGTATGGGTATTTATTTCACAGCATAACCAGCAAAAGCAAGCTAATGCAGTTGCACAGCCAGCCTCCATTTCTACTCTTCTTCTGAATTAAATTCCACTGCTCGGGGCAAGATGGCATGTCCTGATTCTTTTATGCCACCAGCACTTGGCTTTTCCCTAAATTGACCTACTTTGAAGGAGGGTTCTTATAGTTCACCAGTGGAGGACGGGTTCTGGCACAAATAGAGACTTGTAAGGTTGCATTTAAGGATGTCTTTCTTCTTTCCTGTGGCCCATTCAAACTATCCCAATCAACCAGGTCCTCTACTTTTTCTTTTTGTATTTGCTGGTTTCTTTCTTTCATTGAAATTCCAAGCTCTTTCCTTACAATCAGTTTTCTCCAATTACTGTCAACTCTGGGATCAAATTCCTCCAAGAGGTTCCTTTTTTTTTTTTTTTTTTTTTGAGATGGAGTCTCGCTCTGTCGCCCAGGCTGGAGTGCAGTGGTGGGATCTCAGCTCACTGCAAGCTCCGCCTCCCGGGTTCACGCCATTCTCCTGCCTTAGCCTCCCAAGTAGCTGGGACTACAGGCGCCCGCCACCACGCCTGGCTAATTTTTTTTTTTGTATTTTTTAGTAGAGACAGGGTTTCACTGTGTTAGCCAGGATGGTCTCAATCTCCTGACCTCGTGATCCGCCCACCTTGGCCTCCCAAAGTGCTGGGATTACAGGCGTGAGCCACCGCGCCTGGCCCCAAGAGGTTCTTATGTCAGAATACATTTTGTGTGCCCTCCTCAATGCTGCCACCGGGACTTGGTTCCTGCTGACGACAGCTGAGGATCTATGTTACTGGTATAAGCCCACAGCTGAATTCCTATATCTTCACCCCAAGCATTGAAAACCAGGGGAAGTATGTCTCTGGCACCATCCAAGGTCTACATAGTCACCTTGAATCTACTATCTTGGGTCCTTTTCAATCTCTTTAGCTGGCAAGCAGTGAGTCTCCGTGAAGGCACTAAGTTCCCTAACTGGCATCCAATAGTTTGAGGAATTCTAAGGTGGAACATGATTTTAATGGTAGCACACTGAGCAAAGCAGATAACATGCCTTGGTGGAAATCAATTCAGTGAATCCACGTCATGTGAAAACACCAACAGGGATGCTTTCAGATTTGTAAATGCCCAGAAAAAAAGACTTACATTCAAGGGGCTGTGATGGGAGGGACATATGATTCCCAGCTGTGGAAAGGACAGAAGTGCAGAGGGAGGTAGAGAAGCCCCAGTTCAAGTCTCATTCTGCTACTTTCTGGCTGTGGGATCTTATGGAAGTTAGTTAGCCTCTCTAAATGTTAGTTTCTTACTTGTCAATGAGAATTAGAATTCTATCTACTTCATAGTGCTGTCAACAGATTTTGGAGGGAAAATAAATGCAGAGGACTAAAGAATAGCACCAGACACATAGCATCTATTCCCTACAGAACAGACAGAGGATTCAGTGTTGAAAAAGGCATGTCAAACTCAGGAGCTGGAGGGCCCTGATGATGTGCTAATGCTTGGAAGAGCTGCAACCAACAGTCCCTTTCTGCTTTAATTTATTTTTTTTAAATCTTGGCATACTTTCAGACTTACAGAGAAGTTGTATGAATATGACAATGAATTCCCTAATATATTTCACTCAGATTCTCCAAATGTTCACATTTTGCTGTTTGTTTTTCCTTTTTCTGTCTCTCTGTATGTGAGAGACATATAATTTATATACGTATACATATTTATACATACATATGTGTCATGTTTTTCTGAACCATTCAAGAGTAATCTGTTGACAGGATGCTCCCATACTCCTAAATACTATGATGCATATTTCCTAAAAACAGGACATTCTTTTATATACCTACAGTACAATTATAAAAATCAGGATATTAATCTCAACATGGTCCTATTATCTAATCTACAGACCTTATTCAGATCTCATCAATGTTCTCAATAATGTCCTTTGTGAAAAAGAAAAATCCAAGATGCAAGATCTTGTGTTATATTGAGTTCAGTTGTTTTCTTTGTATTCCATGACACTGGTTGTTTTTATTTATTTATTTTTGAGACAGAGTCTCTCTCTGTCACCCAGGCTGGAGTACAGTGGTGCGATCTTGGCTCATTGCAACCTCTGCCTCCAGGGTTCAAGTGATTCTCTGGCCTCAGCCTCCTGAGTAGCTAGGACTATAGGTACCCGCCACCATGCCCAGCTAATTTTTTGTATTTTTAGTAGAGATGGAGTTTCACCATGTTGGCCAGGCTGGTCTCAAACTCCTGACCTCAAGCAATCCTCCCGCCTCGGTCTCCCCAAGTGCTGGGATTACAGGCGTGAGCCACTGTGCCCAGCCCACTGATGGTTTTTAAGGGTATAGGCTAGTTACTTTGTACAATACTGCCCACTTTAAATTTGCCTGATGTTTCCTTGTGATAAGAGTCAGGCTCTGACTTCAGCAGGAGCCACAGAAGCCACGATGAACCCTCAATGCCCTGTAACAGGAGGTATTAGGCTGGTGCAAAAGTTACCGTGGTTTTTGCCATCAAAAGTATGGCAAAAAAGACCCACAATTACTTTTGCACCAACCCAATACAAGCTGCACTGATGATGGCAACTCTTGGTTAAGGTGCTGTCTGTCAGATTTCTCCACTGTAAAGTCACTATTTTATCCTTTGTAAATAATGAGTATCTTGTGGAGAGACACTCGGAAATTACATAAATATACTGTTACTTCTCAAAATTTCACCCATTTCCTTTACCATCCATTAACTAGTTTTTGCTTGAATCAGAGGCCGCTTTATTTATTTATAGCCCATTAATTTTTTTTTTAACTTTTATTTTAGGTTCAGGTGTGCCTGTGCAGATTTGTTGTACAGGCAAACTTGTGTCACAGGGGATTGTGGTACAGATTATTTCATCACCCAGGTACTAAACCTAGTACCCAACAGTTATCTTTTCTGCTCCCCTCCCCCTCCCACTCTCCACCCTCAAGTAGATCCCAGTGTCTGTTGTTCCCTTCTTATGTGTTCATGAGTTCTCATCATTTAGCTCCCACTTATAAGTGAGAACATGCTGTCTTTGGTTTTTTTCTGTTCCTGTGTTAGTTTGCTAATGATAATGGCAGAGGTCTCTTTTTAAACAGAGTTTTGAATTCTATCGTTTAAGAAATATTTTCCATGGCAATGGATCTTAGGAGACTCATCAAAGCCATTATGGTGTAAAGCATCCCTCCAAAAAAATGAACTCCTATTTGGTGTCAGCTGATTGCAAAGACTTCAACATAGGGAAGGAGGAGAGAGCTCAACACCGGAAACGTATCTAATTTACCAGAAAGCGAATACAAATTAAATGTCTCTTGACCTTAAGGTACAGCAGCTATCTCACATCTGGTTTAAACAGAGCATTAATTGTTCTTCCTTTTTATTACAAAAATAATTCATTCGTACTGTGGAAAATCTGAAAGCTATAAAAAGCAGAAAACAGAAGAAAAAAAGACACTCATGATGCAGAATCTACCACTGTTAACCAATTTGGTAGATTCCTCGTTGTCATTTGTTTTTCCTTTTCTTTTGTCTTAAGACATATTGTATACGCAATTTTATATTCCAATTTTAATAACTGGAATTCATTGAAAATTCTAACATAGTTTCATAAATTTTAATGGATGCCTTTTATAAGCATACTACCATTTAGTTTTTTGATACCATTTTGGACACGTAGATTGTTTATATTTTTGCTATTAAATAATCGTGGAGAAGCATCTTTGCACACACACAAAATGTGTACTGCATTTTGCTTCATTTGTGTAAGAAATATTATGGCCTGAATGAGCATAGCTGAGTGAAAGGCTATGAATACATAGCCAAGTGAACTTACAAAAGGGCCTAATTTATACCCAGCTGGTGATCCATGCAAGTGTTCTTCTCCCCCAAACTCAACAACATTGAGTGTTCCCATAGTTCTTTGCACCTCCTGACGGTACATTTTCAACCTTCTCTTAGCCAATTTATATTGCCCTGTTGTGAGCTGTCTGATCTTGTTCTTTAAAGCCTTATCTACTCAAGCTTGCTATTATTTTTTACTTAAGTATATGAGCTCTGTGAATTCTAAAATATCAAGCTGCTTTTTTTTTTTTGATTTTGTAGAGATGAGGTCTCTGTATGTTGCCCAGGCTGGTCTTGAACTCCTAGACTCAAGTGATTCCCCTGCCTTGGCCTCCCAAAGTGCTGGGATTACAGGCGTGAGCCACTGTGCCTGGCCTACAAGATTTTGTCTAACATACTTGTTGCAAATATTTTCCCTGGGCGTTATTTGCTTTTTAATTTTGTGTATCTGGCTGTTAATGGAAGATTTCCAATTTTATGTGTTAAAACTATTCTTTCTGGTTCCTCCTAACACTTTAATTTTGGAAAGCCCTGCTTACTCACCCTTCCCAGCCAGATAGAGGTAAACATTATTTCTACACCCATCTAGCATGTGATAGCACTATTTTGAAAACATCAGCTCTTAGATCCATTTGTAATTTATTTGGGTGCATGTGAATAACATACTTCTTCCTTACTGGTAACCTGCTTCCCCCTTATCATGTATCAGATTTTTCTGTGTGCCAGAATTTACTCTGAGTTGTGCAGTTTCATGGATGTATTGCTTTTTCTGTAGTCAGGATCACATTTTGTTCATTATGGTAGCTTTAAAATACAGTCGTATTAATCTTATTTCATTCCTCTTCTTTGCCCTCTTGAAATGTACCTCTTCTGGACTATTCATTATTTCAGAATATTTTAAAATAATGTTAATAATTTCAAGTAAGAAAAAATGTCAATTAACAGAAAAATAGAGGATATTTTATTAATAACATCATAAACTATATATGAATTAACATAAAATGTAACTTTACAATATTCAGTTTTCTCATGAAAGAACATGGCATATTGGTAGATTAAATTAAATCTTTTATGTTTCTTAGTAAAGTTTTGTACTTTTATTACATACTTTCTGCACTTAGTGATTAAAGTATGGATAGTTTATATTTTCATTATCATTGAAACCCAGACGCTTTTTAAATGACTTAAATTTTATATTTGAATACTGTTAGCTTTGTAAACTTATATTAATTCAAATAACTAGATATTTTCCTTACACTTTACAGGTATAAACTCACACCCCTAAAAAAAAATGACCATTTGTTCTCCTTAAAATAGCCATCCCTGGAGCTTTTGCTTCACATATTATTTCAGTAGCCTGAATTTCAAGATCAATGTTAAATAATCACTAAAAACAGTGGTCAATTTCATATTGTTTCTGTCAGTGACAGGAATGCATTTAACATAAAGCAGGACACTGGGCATTAAATAATGAAATAATTAATGTTAATAATGAGACATTAATGAGAGAGGCATTGACTTCCAGATTATATTGTCTAGATGAATATATTCTTTTAATATGTCATTTTGCTAAAAATAATGGCAACCATGGTCATCCAAATATGACAGGCAGTTTTCATGACGTTGTGACAGCCGTGAAAATGTAGTGCGTAGATTTTGGACGGCTGGAGATGGCCCCCATCCTGTGTTCTGGAGCCCCCACACGCAGGCCATCCTCTGCAGGCTGCCCTGACCAATGACTGAACACAGCAGGGATGCAGAGGGCGCCCATGTGCGGGAGACGCCAGGCTCTTCGGAGGGCAGCATTTTAGAAATGATGTTGCTGCCTGGGGGCTTCTGCTCCACCCTCCTCCCTTGCACTCTCTTTCAGGAGGGTCAGGCCTTTTCCCCTCACAGGCTCTTTCCTCACCCATCTCCTGCATGTCCAGTCCCACCCTGGCACCCGCTTCGTCAAGGATCTGGAACGACACAGACCCTAATGGTTTGGTCTGTGAATAGAAAAGCCAGGCTGCTTTACTGTCGTTTTCGACCTGTCAGTTGAGTGACAATGTTATTTTGAAATCTCTTACTTCCACGAGATGAAAAAAGTAAAGCATTTAGACAGTGAATTATTAGTAACAAGCGCTGGAGGGCACTTACATGTGGCAGAGCCCCTTTCCTGATACCATCTCGTGATCCTCAACATCATCACCCCACTGGGGAGGCAGGGTAGATATTCCTGACTTCATTTTAAGACAAACCAACCAATAATAGAAGTCTCAGGTTGTTTAAAGGATATGAGCAAAATTACGGAAATAAGAAGGACAGAGTCAAGGCTAGAGTTTGTAACATTTGAACTTTTATCAAAATTTTTTCCATTTTAACCCCGATGTTCCGAACCTAAATTCATATAAAGCATGATATTATTATTTGGTTTACAAAAGCACATATGGTATTTAGTGGCATTTTGAATTTTCATGTAGGCATCTAAAAATAATAAGATGCAAATCCAAATCAAAGGTCTATTCAACTGGCCAGGCATGGTGACACCTATAATCCCAGTACTTTGGGAGGCCAAAGCGGGAGGATTGCTTGAGTCCAGGAGATCGAGACCAGCCTGGGCAACATACTGTGACCTCGTCTCTACTAAAAATAAAAAAAAAGTTAGCTGAGTTGGTGGCATGTGCCTGTGGTCCCAGCTACTCAGGAGGCTGAGGCAGGATGATCAGTCGAAGCTGCAGACAGCTGCGATCATACTACTGCATTCCAGCCTCGGTGACACAGTGAGACCCTGTCCCAAAAAAAAAAAGATCTATTCAGTTAATAATCATGGCATCCTATGTAGATTCTATATTGATCTCATAGAAAATCAGCAGCATTTTCTATCATTATTCATGGTTTTTAATAATTTTTTGGTAGCATGAATAGTTTCATAATCATAATTTTAAAAGTTCCTCACATTATAGGAATAAAATTCTTATTTGGGATACTTACCTACATTAATATAGGCATCTCGGGTTTTCTGGTTTAATCTTTCTATAATATTTCCTTGATGTATATTCCAAAATTTATTTATCTGTTCTCCTACAGATGAGCATTTAGGTTGTTTCCAGTTTTTTTATTTTGCTATTTCAAGCAAATCGCTTTCTTACCTACAACTGGTTATACATATGAGTGGTTTCCCCAGGGTATGCACAAGCCCACGTCTCTTGGTGCAGTAAGTCAGCCCATCCTCCACTTTGCTAGGTGGGGCCTTCGTGCTCACCAAAGGGAAGGGAAGAGTTGATTCTCCCACCATCTGTGCAGTTCACCTATTTTTACACTCTTTCCAGTACTTGCTATCGCCAGCCTTCTTTGTTTTTAACTCGATGGTTGTAAAATAATTTAAGTCTCCAGTCATGGCTTCAACCATGAAAAACAGTCCAGCCACCATCTGATAGCTGGGTGAGTCCCTCGATCTGGCTCAGTCCATCTCCAGGATCTCCAGGCCCCTGACAAACCTCCAATGTGTCACCTGTCATCTTCCCCCACACCTTTGCTACAGGATTTACCTGCCACCAATCTAATCATGTCATTTCTTTGCTCAAAACACTCAATAGGCCCCGAGTTGCCTGCAGGATGAATACAAACTCACCAGCACAGCAAACAGCCTGAAAAGCTGGCCTTATCCCTGCCCTTTTTCCAGGCCTCTCCCAGCCACTCCCTCCACTACACCCACGTCCCTCCTGCTGTCCAGCAATCCCAGAGACACTTCCTACGTGGGTCCTTTTTCTTTCTTTGTTTGGTTTTCATTTGAGACAAGGCCTTACTCTATCATCCAGGCAGTGGTGCAATCACGGCTCACTGCAGCCTCAACCTCCTGGGCTCAGGTGATCCTCTCACTTCAGCTTACTGAGTAGCTGGGATGACAGGCGTGTGCCACCATGGCCGGCTTTTTATTTTCTGTAGAGCCAGGGTCTTGCCGTGTTGCCCAGGCTGGTCTGGAACTCCTGGGCTCGAGCAATTGCCCACCTCAGCATCTCAAAGTGCTGTGATTACAGGCGTGAGCCACTGCGCTTGGCCTTACCTGTGCCCCTTTTCACATGGCACAGTCTTTGTTAAAGGTGCATTCTTTTTCTTTGCTTGGGACTCCCATTCTGCACAAGTACAAATGCCACATCCCCGAACTCAGCTAGGTTGTGAGTGTCCCCCTGGGCTCCCAGGGCATCTGATTTTGAGCTACAAGTACACGGATCATTTTGTATTGTGCTTGTTTGTACATCAGTGCCTCCACTAGGCTATGAACTTAGAGATGCAGGGATAATGTCTTACTGATATTCCCCAACTCCTGGCATGGGCCTGGTAAGCACTGGGTGAGAAATGCATGATGTTTTACATTAAATGCAGTTCGATGTTCTTTGGAATAGCAAATACATCTATTCATTCATTTTATGTGCCTTTTCTAGATGACAGAAGACAGCAGTGACTAAAATAATCAAAGCTCTTTTTTCCACAGTCACAGAGCTTACATTCTAGAGTGAGAAGACAGGCAACGAATAAAACTAATGGAGTCCTGTAGTATAGTAGAAAGTGATGTGAACTCTGGGGACAATGATACATGAATGTGGGAGCGGGAAGAGGGGATGGGAGGCTGTTGAAAGGGTTGAATCTCAGAAGGGGCAATCAAAGGAGAGAGAAGGTGGCATTTTTGCAGATTTGAAGGAGGGAAGAAGTGAGACCTGGGGATTCACAGCCAGGGTAGGGGAGCTTTCAGGCAGAGAGAATGGCACAGGCAAAGGCCCTGAGGCAGGAGTGGCTGGAGTGGCCAGAGCGGAGACCCAGCAGCAAGGGCAGAGAGGCAGAGTGAGAGGTAAGGAGAGAGCACATTAGGTGGCACCTTGTAAGTCACAGCAAGGACTCTGATTCTACTCCCAAGGAATAGGAAACCACTGATGGGATTTGAACAGAGAAGTGACACAACTTGGCATATTTTTTTTTTTTTGAGACGGAGTTTTGCTCTTGTTGCCCAAGCTGGAGTGGAATGGTGCAATCTCAGCTCGCTTCAACTTCCACCTCCCAGGTTCAAGCGATTCTCCTGCCTCGGCCTCCCGAGTAGCTGGCATTACAGGTGTGCATCACCACGCCTGGCTAATTTTTTGTATTTTTAGTAGAAATGGGGTTTCACCATGTTAGCCAGGCTGGTCTGGAACTCCTGACCTCAGGTGATCTGCCCGCCTCAGCCTCCCAAAGTGTTGGGATTACAGGCGTGAGCCATGGCGCCTGGCCTTGACAAATGTTTTAATGGGCTGTGGATATACTGAAGATGACCAAGAGCAAGCACAAGAGACAGATTAGGAGCCTTTGCAATAGGTCTGGTGAGAAATAGTGGTGGTCTGAACCAGGATGGTGGTGAGAAGCTGTTGTTGGATTCTAGATATATCTTGATGATAAAAGCAAAGGATCTGCTGCTAAACTGAATGTGGAGCAGGATAGAAAGAGAAGGATGACTTCATTTTTTAACCTGAGTGAACTGGAAGAATAGATTGGCCACGAACTAAGATGAGGAAGTAGTCAGGGGAGGTTTGGAGAAGAAAAACAAGAGTTTGGTTTCGGACATTTTCTGTTTGAAATGCTTCTTAGACATCCAAGTGGTGATAGAAAAACAAGTCTGGCATTCAAGAAGGAGATGTGGGATGGAAATGAAAATGTATGTCACCAATGCACAGGTGAAATAGGTCATAAGATGGGATGGGATGACCAGGGCAGGGAGTGGAGACAGGAGAGAAGATCACAGCCCTGAGCCCTGAGACGGCCCAATGGTAAGAGCTCAGGGAAAGGAGGAGCCTGCAAAGGAAACAGGCATCCACATGGTGGGGGAAGGTCACCTGTGACCATGGGAAGATAGACTGAATGCTACAAATCTCACACATGTCAGGTTTCCAGACTAATTGAATAATTTGAAACTCCGGTGTTAGCAAGCTTCCCCCTACTGAATTTGGCTCTCTATGGAAGAAGAACAGTATCTTTAGACTCTAATTCAGCAGTAGCAGCTGAAGAAAATATGATCAAAAGATCTCACCCCAGAAAGATGCATTGTACATTTCTTGTGCTCTTCCTCAAGGCACTTCAATCCTCTTCAGAGTCAACATTTTGAAAACATCTGATCCTAGATTAGAAAGGCCCCAAATGCAATCCCTCTTATACAAAGTACCTTCTGGACATAGAACAGTCCATAATCTTTCAAAGATTGTTTGCATAATCTTTGAAAGATGTGCAAAATACAGAGATGGAACCAGATTTTATTGGAAGGAAAGCTGACTTGGTTCATGAGTATTCGGCTTCTTATTTTCAGAGCAAAAAAAACCCAGGTTCTCTGAATGGATCCAGGCTATTTCCTTGTGATTTGCAATGCTTACCTCAGTGGTTTTCCTGGAGAGCTTTACTAAGTACCGAAGCCTGGGTTCCAACCCCAGAAATTCTGACCTAATTGCTCTGAGATTCTCATGTGCCAAGACAGTTGAGGAACGCTGGCCTAGAGGAACTTTTAAACCTTAACGTCCATATGAATGGCCTGCAGATCTTGTTAAAATGCAGATTCTGATTCAGTAGGTCTGAGACTAAGCATTTTTATTGAGCTACCAGGTGAGGACACTCTGGTCTAAGGACTACATTTTGAGTAACGAGGATCTGCATCTCATAATCGTCTCTGCAACAGTCATTTGGCATTGCAACCTATGATGATAAAATGCAATCAGCTCAACAATTAAAAACTAACCCTGCTGGGTGCAGTGGCTCATGCCTGTAATCCCAGCACTTTGGGAGGCCAAAGCAGGCAGATTGCGAGATCGACACCATCCTGGCTAATACGGTGAAACCCTGTCTCTACTAAAAATACAAAAAATTAGCCGGGCGTGGTGGTGGGCACCTGTAGTCCCAGCTACTCGGGAGGCTGAGGCAGGAGAATGACATGAATCCAGGAGGCGGAGCTTGCAGTAAGCCGAGATAGCGCCACTGCACTCCAGCCTGGGCAACAGGCTGTCCCAAAAAAAAAAAAAAAAAAAAAAAAAAAAAAAAAAAAAAAAAACCTAATTCCTCTGACATTTAGTTTAGCAAATACTTACTGAGCACTTAGTGCACAAGGCTTAGCATTACAGGCTTTAAGAGATAAGGAGATTTAAAAATTTGTGGTTCTGACTAGGGTTAGGAAAGGTAAATAGGCTTCATTTCAATTATCTTCTCTGATTGATTGGTACATATTTCATCCTTGGCCTAAAGAGATCAAAATATAAAATGACCCTGGAAACACAGTGTCAGAAACCACAGGATCTCCCTAATCCTCTAGATGTGGTGCCAGGTACCATCACATTCTTCTAGTGTATGTGAAATGGGACCCCTGGCAACTGTTGACTCACAGCTGCCTACCTAAACTCTCTTAGCCCTAAAGCCCAGGTAATTAACCCTACTAACTGATAAGGGATCCAAGTAACAAAAGTAATATGTACTGTCCCCTTACCAAATAGTACTCAAGGTGCTTCCAGGTCACTAGAAGAAAGATTCTTTAAAACATTCATCAAGCCCACAGTGTCTTGCAGAGGTAGGCACTAAATGCTGAGCCCAAATGGTCCCTCTCCAGCAGTAGGAGTCATGATCATGAATATGCATTTCTAATGGCTTCCTTCTGTGACACCAGCCACACATGGTCTGCACAGGGAGGCCTGTGAATTTCTGGCCCAGCCCTGCCCATTTTTAAAGCCAAGGGGCACCATAATGGAAAGCTCACAAGAAACTGGTCTCCCTTCTCTCCTTTGTTCCAGGGCAGGCCATGGGGGTGGAAGGGATTGGTGGCTTTCCTAAACCTACTATCTGGTTGCCAGGCCCAGGCACCAACACGTCAACATTTTCTTTAATGTACCTGCTCAGCCAAAAATGATTAGGATTCCTGTGTCCTAGAGTTTGGCTGGACTTTGTTTCCAATTCCTGGGAGGTAGCCTCTAAATCCTTAGAATTTCTTGGATGATAGTAGTGCCTTTGTTATTCACGGCAGGCTCTAATAGTTTATGCTAGAGCTGGTGGGCTGCTAGTTAGCTTATGACTAAGAGATGACTTAGGATGAGGGCTGTGATTAGAGTGTTGTGTCTCTGAGTCACGTGACATCAGCCTGATCTCTGGAGAGGAGCTAGTGATTGAGGTCAGCCACATGGCCAATGATTCAGTCAACTGTGCCTTCATATGAAACTCCAATAACAACTCTGGACGTGAAGACTCAGGCGAGTGTCTCTACTGGCAATACTCTGTGCTGGGAGGGTAATGCATCCTGACCCCGCAGGGAGAGGACACAGGAAGCGTTGCATTCTAGGTGCTCCCAGACCTCACCCTATGCAGCTCTTCTTTTGGCAGGTTCTGATTTGTCTCCTTTTGCTATAATAAAACTGTAATAATAAGTATACCACTTTCCTGTGTTCTGAAAGTTATTCTAGTAAATTAGAAAACCTAAGGGGTACTGGGAACTCCTAAATTTGTAGCCAGCTAGTAGAAGTGTAGGTGGCCTGGGGCCCATGGCCTTGTGGCAGTGTGTGGGGGACCGTGTTGACTTGCGAAGTCTGGCCCAGCACCAGGTAGTTGGTGTCAGAACTCACTGCAGGAGCCTTCCTCAGTTTCCCCAGCAGCACCACACTGGAGGGCTGGCCCAGCTGACTGAGACTGTGTCCATTTCCTGCCCACAAAAGAACCTTTTGTGGTAGTAAGGGAGGATACCACCCCTCATATTGTCTTATGCCCAATTTCTGCCTCCAAAGAAAGAAGAAGTAAAAACTAAAAGGCAGAAATGAAATCCACAAGCAGACAGCCCTGTACCACACCCTGGGCTGGTAATTAAAGATCGACCCCTGACTTAATCAATTATGTTATCTATAGATTACAGACATTGTATAGAAAAGCACTGTGAAAATCCCTGTCCTGTTCTGTTCTGTTCTGTTCTGTTCTATTCTAATTATTGGTGCATGCAGCCCCCAGTCACATACCCACTGCTTGCTCAATCGATCATGACCCTCTCACACACACCCCCTTAGAGTTGTAAGCCCTTTAAAGGGACAGGAATTGCTCACTTGGAGAGCTCGGTTGTTGGAGACAGGAGTCTTGCCGAAGCTCCCAGCTGAATAAAGCCCTTCCTTCTTTAGCTCGGTATCGGAGGGGTTTTGTCTGCTGCTTGTCCTGTTACAGTAGAAATTATTAAGAAATTATTTTAGGCAGACAGAGAGGAAAAGGGGTCCTTGGAAAGTTTTCGTTTTTGAAGCGGCTCCAGAAACATTTCTTGTCCAGTAGGAAAGCCCTGGGTCTTAGAGCCTAGCTGGCAACCTTTGATATGCAAATGCAGGCCATTAGAAACTGGGTCCACCCAACATGGCGATTCCCACTGTTGTCCTCTTGCCCTTGCCCCTACATGTGCCTGGCAACATGGCCACTCCCACATATCCCCACATGTGTAGAACATCATGGCGCCCTGTATTTGCATACTAAAAGGCTAGAGTGGGAAGGCTAGTTTTTTTCGCAGGCTACATGAATGACATGGCTGGTCAAACCAATCCCCTGAGCCCTATGCAAATCAAACACCACCTCCTCCAGCCTGTTTATATACCTGGCTGGTGTTCCCCACAGGTGAGTTCCCTCTCTTGGCTCCCCGGCACTGCTCTCTCTGTCTCTGTACAGGGGAGCTTCTTCCTTCTTTCTTCTTCTTTCTTGTCTATTAAACCCTCTGCTCCTTAAAACCACTCCACGTGTGTCCGTGTCATTTTATCTAAATCACGTGAGACAAGAGCCCTCATGTTCCTCCACTCGTTGTATCACTTTCTCTATACACCTTCCAATCCTGGCTGGGGACTTGCTCCAAATTAATGAACCTCTTAAACCATGACATGCTCTTTTCCCTTGGGCTTTGTTCATCAAGAACTATCAATCCAGAAGATGAGGGTGGCTTTATCAGCCCATGAGTAAAACACCCTAGGTATAAATGTTGCCCAAAGCCAGCTTTGCTGTGCCTTCCAAGACACTGTGATCTATACTGCTGGTCACAGGCACACTGTGGCCAGGTTCATTCCCTCTGCCCTGCCATACCCCATTCCTTGCTTCCTTCCCTTCTCCACCAAAATGTGTTATCAGGACCCAATTGCTTCTAAGATAAAGATGTGCATCCAAGATGTGATATCCTAAACCACTGCTGTGTTCAGATCCATGATACGTCTTGTCCTCTTGTTTGGAAAAAAATACCCTGAGCTCTAAGAGGTTCAGATGAGCAGGTTCTCAAGGTGACCCAGTGCTGCTGCAGGAGAAAGCAGTGAGGCCTCCTGCCTCCTCTCACCTCCCCTTGGATCATATTGCTGCTCAGGAATAACAATTCAATCCGTGATCTAAATATATCTTACACTGAATGGCCCAGCATTGTGGTATTGATTTTTTAAGTTAAAAATACAAGATGAACTATCAGTTTTCACCTGCAAAATCCTGTTTCTAAAGCTTCAAAATCCTTTTTGACACAGACTTTGTTGGGCCATTTACACAGCTCTCCTCCAAAGGGGAATCTAAAACTCTTCCTAATACCTAGCTGGTGCTGTGCCCCCATTCCCTCTAGTGGACCCCACAGGCCTCCCTGGGAGGCTTTTCTTCGAGGAAATCCTGCACTCTCCAGCCCCAGAAGGATCGGGTGCTGGTGGCCAGGCTTGTGCTAGATAACACTGCTCTTGGGCCAGAGATGGACATGGCACCAAAAGGAGCTAATTAATTAGATGCTCAGTGACCAAAAATAGTTCCTTTCCTGATAATTCTAAAAGACATGAGTGGTGGGTGTTAAGTCTTTGAAGTCCTCCAAACCATACGCCAAGAGCTGTGTAAGGACATGGCCAAGAAATAGGATACAGTTCAGAAAGAGAAGAGGAGTGATGCCTAAGCCCCTCATCATTTTGCAAGTAAAGCTGTCTGTTGTATAATCTTATTACACTGATCCTTCTGTCCTCTTCCCCCTTTTACGGTCATTTGAAATTAGCTCAGGTAGGTTTCACTTCCTTGCAATCAGTGATTCTGGAGGGAGTGAGACATTCCCTGCTTTCGAGGGTACCCCAATTCATCTACAAATGAAAAGCAGCAACAGTATCTCTCATTAATTTGATATAGACATTCAACTATAATCCAACACCTACCCTAGTTACCAGAACTCATGCACTTGAAGTAGAGAGAAACATGTTTCTTATTTCTTATCTGTATTCCCAGAAAGGGACTTCATTTAGCTGGAACCCAAAGTGTATTTTATACATAGCTAACTGAGACTCAATTTTAATTTACAGTAGTGGGTTCAGGGTCAGAACTCAAGCATAAAGTGCCTATGCAGCAAAATATGAAGAGATGAGAAAGGTAAGTGAGTGTTTAAATTTATTCCAGTATTAAAAAATTTTATTAGATAAAGGGCTCGCTTTTTTCATGTACTCGGTAATAAGTTGCTGTCATTAAAATGTGTGCCTAGCCTAGGGATGGGACACAAACAGGAGAGTGTGATCAGAGAAGGAGCTATTAAAATGGTGTCCGAAAGCACTCTAATGCTGCCACTATGATCAGACTGTGAGCCACAGAACCCTTGACAGCTGGTCCCTCTGGTGCAAGGATGCTTTAAGATTACACTGCAGCTGGGAGTGGTGGCTCACGCCTGTAATCCCAGCACTTTAGGAGGCTGAGATGGGAGGATCACTTGAGGCCAGGGGTTCGAGGCCAGCCTGGGCAACATGGTGAAACCCCGTCTTTACTAAAAATACAAAAATTAGCCGAGCATGGTGGTGGGTGCCTGTAATCCCAACTACTTGGGAGGCTGAAGCAGGAGAATCACTTGAACCTGGAAGGCAGAGGTTGCAGTGAGCTGAGTTCACGTCACTGTACTCCAGCCTGGGGGAAAGAGCAAGACTCTCAGAAAAAAAAAAAAATTACACTGCATTTGCCACACTGCTAAAGGGAAGCAGGATGTGGGCTAGTGGAGACTTTTGTCCCTGGGGCTAACACGGCATCTGGGGAGCAGTACCAGGCAACATCTTCAGCTTACCATGATCCAGGAAAGAGAAAAACTCAGTGGTGCTGATGGCTAAGGTGGATGGACTGCCTTCTGCCACAGCAGAAACCTTTAAGGCATTAAAAACCTGCTTCGGCTGGCATGCGGTGGCACACACCTGTAATCCCAGCACTTTGGGAAGCTGAGGTGGGCGGATCATGAGGTCAGGAGTTTGAGATCAGCCTGGCCAATATGGTGAAAGCTCGTCTCTCCTAAAAATACAAAACTTAGCTGGGCATGGTGGTGCACACCTGTAGTCCCAGCTACTCAGGAGGCTGAGGCTGAAGAATCACTTGAACCCAGAAGGCGAAGGTTGCAGTGAGCCCAGGTTGCACCACTGCACTCCAGCCTGGGTGACAGAGCAAGACTCTGTCTCAAAAAAACAAAAACAAAAACAAACAAACAAACAAAAACCTGCTTCATCTCACCAGACTCAGCTTTCATCTTATAAAACAAAGACCATATAAAATGACAGACAGAATAGGAATTCTGTCTTCTACCTGACTCAGGGCCAGAGACTACTTCCATAAACTGTACAACATCTCTCCGTCATGGGGTCAGACAGTTTGAAGAAACTACAGTGGTCTCTGTCTGCCCCACTCCTCTGCCTGGTCTCTGAACACTGGCCCTATACGTCCTTGGAGACACAGCAGTGACCAGAACAAAGCTACAGAGAGAGGCACAGACATGGCAGAGGATGTTGACCTAACTCCTTCAGCATTTGACACATCAATTTAATAAAATATAACAGTATACAGGGACTCTGATTTAAATAATATCAGTTAAGTAGATGTCTTTCAAGATCTTTACAATCAAAGAATAGACTGTTTTCTAATATCCATGGACCATTTACCAAAAATTGATTATACAAGGGCCTCAAAGAAAACCTTGATAAATTATGAAATGCATAAAGAGTGGTGATAACATTTTCTGACTGCAAAGCAACTAGGATAGATATTGTATTAATAATACAACTTTGAAGTTTAAAAATACCTTAACCATTTGTTAACGATTTAACCTTTGGTTAAAAAGGAATTTTAAATTGCAATTACATACTGCTCAGAAATGAAAGACAATGAGAATGCCACAAAAGGAATACAAATAAAATTATGTGCAACAGTGGAATCCATAGCATTACGTAGGATTGCCGTCTAGCCAGCACTGGCTGGGTCAGCCATGCTGAACCATGTTAGGACAGGGCAACGCTTCTGTGAGGATTGGAAAACAGCACTGCTTTCAGCCTCTCTGGGGACAACCGACCCTTGCAAGGTGCAGCAGCTAAAGGGTTAATGCGGGCACAGCAAGGGCTCTCCAGGAGTCCCAAGGGCAGTGTGCATTCTGACTAGGCGGTGCCTATACAGTCACTGGTAATTAAATATTGTATAGTTTAGCTGCTATTGTTAGTAAACAAGAAGAATGTAAATCAAGAACCTGAAAATTCAATCCTTACATTTTTTAAAATCAGGATAAAAAGAACAAAGCAAACCCAAGGAGAGCAGGAAGAGTAAGTGAATAAATACCCAAAAGGGGTAGGCTACCTTGCACCTGCCTCTTCTGTCCCACTTTGCTCTTCCTGGCCAGGGTCCTGGGACGCTGACTGGGAGGAGGCATTCATGGGCCCCCTCACCCGCTGCCTCCCAGCTGGGTTCAGCCAATGTGGAACACACAGAAGACTGGAGGGAGGGAGAAGTGCAAGGTCAGAACATGCCCCCACATGGTTCCCTCACTGTGGGCTGTGAGCTGGCCCCTCTCTGGGGGTTCCTCCTCCTTCTGGGCTAGTGCCCGTGCCCACCTGCATCTGCTCATGCCTGCCCAGCCACCCTGCCGTCTCCTGTGCTCTGCCCATGCCTTGGTCAACAGTCCTTTTATGAAATGCTCCTTAAATTAGGCACCTTGAGTTTGCCATAATTTCCTGATTGGATCCTGACTGACATAGTAACGATCACCACCACCACCACCACAGAACAATAAAAACCAAACAAAACAGGGGCAGGGGAAAGTAGCGTTGCCATCTAAATTAAACAGCTATTTTTTGATAAGGATATATAGATGCATATACACAGACACACACATGAAACTCTAGTTTGTCTAGTTTTTTGTACCTATTACTCAGAAAAGTTATTTGAATATATATTTGAATGTATTATTTCCTAAGTTATTTATTATGATATTTATATTACTCTAGTTCTTTAGATGGCATTCTTTTATTCTTTAAAAGCTGTTTTCCCTATCAAGGACAGTTACAATCTCCTTTCACATTTCTAATATTGTTTATTTGCTTTATTTTCTCTAATTTTACATGTATGTACATCCATGTATAAAAACAAAAAAATGTATTTGAAAAAATGAAAAATAACTATAAAAATTAGAGAGAAATATATATGAAAAACTAGAAAAACTATAGAAATACATATGTGTATTTCAATTAGAAAAGAAAAACTAGAGGGAAAAAGCAAGTAAACAATACCAGTAATATAGAAGATTACAATCACCACCAGTAGGGAAAACAGCTTTTAAAGAATTAAAATAAAGGTCTCTAAAGGTCTTATATAATAAATTCCAAAATCCTGATGAAATGTTTAATTTCCTGAAAAAATACATACTGATTTGATCACATAGAAACTTTATACCTTTTGTTTTTCTCATTGCAATCATATTCCCATTCTAAGTCCCCAACAAAATTTCTTCCTAATGCTATAGCTATTTATGATGTAAAGTCTTTTATTAATTATATCATTCTTTTCTGTGATAAAAATATGTATAAAGATTTAAATTTAATTTTTAAAAAAATTATTGGCTGGGCGCAGTGGCTCACGCCTGTAATCCCAGCACTTTTGGAGGCTGAGGCGGGTGGATCACGAGGTCAGGAGATCGAGACCATCCTGGCTAACACGGTGAAACCCCACCTCTACTAAAAATACAAAAAATTAGCTGGGCATGGTGGCGGGCGCCTGTAGTCCCAGCTACTCAGGAGGCTGAGGCAGGAGAATGGTGTGAACCCGGAAGGTGGAGCTTGCAGTGAGCCGAGATCACGCCACTACACTCCAGCCTGGGCGACAGAGCGAGACTCCGTCTCAAAAAAAAAAAAAAAAAAAAAAAATTCTTATGATCACCAGCTCTAAGTGTTAAACCATTTCTTCCAGGTTGAGTAATCAATTAGTATTGTTAGAGTTATCATCAGTAGTATACAGATGATCCAAACAAAATAAGCACATGTCATTTATGATAAAGTCTCTTATCATGAAATCATCTTTAATGATTTACAAGTCAATAACTCAATCAAGTCAGTCCTGCTTCAGTTTGATGAACGTAAAAAACTTGAAAACACCTCACTTGGGGCAAGATTTGTTACCCAGTCCCAGAGTCATGCACTTTCTGGGAAGTATATAAAAAAGACTTATCATGCCTTATCAGGTGATGGAGAATTACACCTGCTATTCTTTCACCGAGAAATACATAGATTAACTCATGAAAAGGCAAGAAAATTGACATATTACTAATTTCATTACGCTTTTACTGATATAATATTGTAATAATATGATTTAATCTTAGCTCATGCTTTAAATATACTTCTGTCATAATCTTAGAGCTACAGATTTAGTTGTTCTATTTGTGGAAAATATCTACCATATAATATAAATGGCAAAGCCAGTCCTCTTTGTCAAACCAACTAGCCAAATAAGATCTTTTTCAGAAAAATGTCTGACTTCATTTTAAAATCCAGATAAATGTGTTAATGTACATTTTAAAGAATATTAGAAATATGACTGGAAATAAAGTAAAAGATGCAATTTGTAAGTTAGAGTACTTAGACATTCCAGTAAGATTAAAATAATGAAGATCTAATATATTTATCCATTTTAAAGTAAGTTCTATAAACAAGATAATAAATCATTCTCATTACTTAATTTGCTATAGTGCAATGTAATTTGCAGCTAAAATTACCAGTTACTTAAGAAGAGTGCAGCGTAATAGCCTTGGCCTCCCTTCTGTAATTGTGTGCATATGATTTGGTTTTGAGGAACAGTTAAATGAGTCTCATGTATAAATACCAGAAATAACTCCAATAGTCTTGTTAAACATAATTATAACATAATTTATATATTTTAAAAAGTGAAAAGAATATTTTGCTAAAAATTATCAGTCTAGCAGCTAGTATATAATTTTGTTTAGTAATAATAGCAGGAAAAAATTATTGAATGTTTTATAAGATGGCAAATGACTGTAAATAAAGAGTGTATGATCTGATTTGATAAACCAGATTTTGACTACCTTAATTAATAACACAACCCTAATCTGAGAGAGATTGGGTAAAAGTTTTATTCATGCATTTCATTTAATAGCCTTGAAAATGTTGATAGTTCAGGAAACATCACAACTGTGTTTACAAGAATCAATAGCAAAAATCTCTTTGAAGAGACTGCTCTCTTAGCTGAGGGATGAGTGCTGAGGACAGGTGTAAAGAAATGCTTACATTGAAATATGGGTAGGGGTTGTTTCCAATATTCAGTCTTTCTTACAGTGCTCTCTTTGCCTTGTTCTCCTGTAAGTCTCCCTTAAGAACTCCTTGCATAGTAGACAGGGAGAGGTAAAGTCATTAAAATGAAACTTGTCATTACTCCACATACCATACATCTGAAGAATTCCAAACATCACAAACATGCAGGACAAAGCATCCCCTTCTAACACCACCCTTTATTCTTAACTGAGGTGTACAAGGCAGAAACAGAAGGGAAGCTCAAAGGGTTTATGATGTCTTGATTTATTATTTTGAGAAAGGTTTTCCCTTTGTTCAATATCCTCAAAGTTTTATGCTCTGTGGGTAATGCACAGGCAAAATTTGAGGGAGGCAAGGGGGAACGCCCCCCTTTTGTGAAGGGTTATTATGAACACAGGTTTATTCTAGCAGGTCAATTTTAGAAAAGAATAGATAGAAGTTGAGGTTTTGAGGACAGGATTCCATAGAATCTCCATGCTTGAGTCCCCCTTGGAAAGTCTTTCACCCCTGGGAATCATGCCCTCTGGTGGGAGGACACTGTCCCATGAGACTGTGAGTTCCCTGAGGACAGAGATGATCAATCCTAACTCTCCCTGCATCCCTAGCGTCCACAGGGTGCCCGCATGGAGCATTCACACTTGGATACTTACAGAACCGTTTCATTCATTCACGGAGGAGAAAGGTGATGTGTCAGATGGAACTTAAACAATGGGAACTGCCTGAATAAGCCAAAAGCAGTTTTATTTACATAAAATGGTAAAGGTTGGATTTTTCATCCTGATATTTAGCCTACCTGCCTCCATACTGAGAGACAGGACTAGCTGGATTTCCTAAACCGACTAAGAATCCCTAAACCTAGCTGGGAAGGTGACCGCATCCACCTCTAAACACAGGGCTTGCAACTTAGCTCACACCCGACTAATGAGAGAGCTCACTAAAATGCTAATTAGGCAAAAATAGGAGGTAAAGAAATAGCCAATCATCTATCGCCTGAGAGCACTGCAGGAGGGACAATACAATGACCGGGATACAAACCCAGGCATTCCAGCCGGCATCGGCTACCCTCTTTGGGTCCCCTCCTTTTGTATGGGAGCTCTGTTTTCACTCTATTAAATCTTGCAAGTGCACACTCTTCTGGTCCGTGTTTGTCACGGCTGGACCTGAGCTTTCGCTCGCCGTCCACCATTGATATTTACCGCCATTGCAGACCCACTACTGACTTCCACCCCTCTGGATCTGGCAGGGTGTCTGCTGTGCTCCTGATCCAGTGAGGCGCCCATTGCTGCTCTGGATTGGGCTAAAGGCTTGCCATTGTTCCTGCTTGGCTAAGTGCCCGGGTTTGTCCTAATTGAGCTGAACACTAGTCACTGGGTTCCATGGTTCTCTTCCGTGACCCAAGGCTTCTAATAGAGCTATAACACTCACTGCATGGCCCCAGATTCCATTCCTTGGAATCCATGAGGCCAAGAACCCCAGGTTAGCGAACACGAGGCTTGCAGCCATCTTGGAAGTGGCCCAACACCATCTTGGGAGCTCTGGGAGCAAGGACGCCCTGTAACAATACCACACACACACACACACACACACACACTCACTTCTACTTGATCCTTCTTGAGTCTTCTATCAGTGGCCCAGGCATGCAAAAATCCTGTCTCAGGATGACCTGAGCCCCTCTTAATGATGTTCTACCAGAGCCACCCAGGGCCTCATACTCTGCAAGTTTTCCTATTCTCACCTCATCACAATGCACCTTTTCAATGACCTATCTCCACAATAAGTTCGTTTTGGGCAGTGACAACAGACACATCAACTTCTATGAAACCCCTCCAGTTAAGAGAGTCCTTGGTCAGCAAGGTCTCCCCATCCAGGCAGTGGGACAAGCTGCAGGGATCCTTCTGTGGGAAGGAAGGCCCTGCACTCACACCCCACATACGGCTGGGTCCGCTCAGGCCAGGAAACTGCCAGTCCCCGGCTGTTGACTTAAAACCATCAAGAGCAGTAGATTTTAAGTTTCTCTCAACTCTGTCCCACCTTCGCTTTGGAGAAGAGCCCAAAGTTCAGAGTGGTGGCTGTGTTCCTTTGGTTAAAGTTCCACTCTGACATATTGAGTACCTCACCTTAAGTAGAGATGCTGTGGGACTGGGCACGGCAGATGACCTCGGGGTGAACGCCAATGCCCGGCCCATCTTGTGATTTGCTCTATTAATGCTCCCTTCACTCTTCTGGAATGCCCGCCTCTCATTTTGCTTCAGCTCCTTCCTGCCAGCATTCAGATATGTCCACTCTTCTCCACATTCTTCTCACTCAAATAACCAATTTTCTTTTCTCCTTCCCAGCACTTGTGGAAAGACATTGATACTCCAGGCTTCGCATCTGTACGTCTCCATCAAATCTTACCCAGTTGTAGCCTGGCTGCAAAATCACTCTCCAACTGAAACTTTTTTCACAGAGGAAAAAAATGGGCAAGGAGGCTCTTTCTTGCAAATTCTAATCTCTTTGAGACAGGAGAGAGAGAGAAGCTCTCTTGTAAATTTGACAGTGCTTTACAGAGGAGACAGGAGCCGCGAGATACCCCTGAGAAATAAAATAATAGTCATTGGCCTGAAAAAGGCAGAGAACCGGATCCAGAGTGAGAGGCTCAGGAAGCAGAGTGATGCCTGGTGCCTGCAGAGTGTCACACACCCGCAGGCCCTGGCTGAGGACACTTGCCTGCGAGGCATCATCAGCTCTGGCTCTGATCAGCAGGAGCAACAGGGGACAGGGGAGCATGGGTCTTCAGGGGGCCAGCGTGCCGTATGTGGTCTTGCCTGGAAACCATTTACCACGATGGCGATCATGGGCAAGATTGTGAGGGGCTAGTGGGTCTGATGCCACTGTTAACGCTGGCTTCATAAAACAATTTGGGGCCTCACACCACAGGGCAAGCTGAGCTGGCATGAAAGGCTGCCCGCCTCCCACTCCTAACCCTGCCCTACCTGCCTCAAATACATAAAAATGCTAAATAAGAGGTAATGTTTTGTGCATATAGCCAAGTTCAATATCAAAAGAGGTGCCAGGAATGAAGCAAAATCTTCTAAAAGCCAGGGTGACTTGGCTAAAATGGAAGCCAGAGGCAGGCACAGGTATTTCAGAGCCAGATCCGGGCCTCAGCCTCCAAGAGTGTGTGGCTTCTGATGCTCTTGCAGGGAGATGAATCCAGACCTCCGGTTCCATGCTGGAAGCCAGACACCTTGGAGGGCTGGCTTGTTGCTTCGGTGGAAAGAAACAGCACTGACCACCAGCCCTGGGAAACGGTGGCTCCAAAGAGGTTAAGAGGGATCAGAATTGCCTAAGAGGAGCATGTCCTAGACCTAAACCACCAATGAGAATGAAGCCAGAACTCACACTGTGTGGGTAGTAAAAAGACACACATTTGCTTCCCCAGCTGAAAGCTGACACAAAAAATTACCCTAAACTGCTGAATCCTACAAGGCCCAGAAGAGATGAATGTGAGCTCTCCCCTGGAGATACTGCCAGGCCCAGACCCTGGGGACTCTCAGTGATAGAAAACTACCAGGAGAGGCAGCAGGTGAAAGACCGGGAGACTTTAACCCCAATAACTCAGGATAATAAAACAGCTGAAGAGAACACTTAAAATAAGAATGTCACCTTTCATTGTTTCGAGGTAAAGGAAGATGTGGGAGTCATAAGACAGTAACAGGACCCTGTGGGAAAAGACCAAGTTGATTTGCAAAAGAAGCAAAGGAATTCTACAATGAAATGTCTAGCCATTGAAATAGAGAAATCAATAGAAGGTTGAAAGAGCAGACTTCAGAGAATTAGTCTATTGGAAAAAAGATTTGAGAAAATCACTCAGATGTCACATGAAGAGGTAAAGATCTGGAAAATATGAGGGTTTCAATAATAGGGAAGAGAAATGAAAATGTCCATTATCTGTTAACAGGAGCTCCAGAAACAGAAAAAGAAAATGGGAGAGGAGCGATGTTTGAAGGGATGATGGTGAAGTTTCCAGATATAAAGAAAAATGGAATTTCTAATTGAGGTAACATCACAACTCCTAATCAGAATGAATTAAATAAATCTACACAAAGGTACAGCTTAACAAATCTGCAGACCATAAAAAGACAACTACTTTAATTACCAAGAGAAGAAAGATTATCTCAAAAGTAATGGCAGTGTTCATTTCTGCAACACACCTGCCAGAATTGGAACAGTAAGAGAAGATAAGCATGGCTCCTGCACGAGATGACAAGCCAAACTGTGAAGCATTCCATGTTTTTTAAAGTACAATAAGCCAGGAATAGAAAGTTAGGCACCATATGTTCTCATTCATACCTGGAAACTAAAAATGTTGATCTCATAGAGGTTAAAAGTAGAGCAGAGGATACTAGAAGCTGACAAGGGAACGGGGAGGGAAGGATAGGGAGAGGTATGTTGAAAGACATAAAATTTCAGCTAGACAAGAGGGATCAGTTCTAGGTTCTATAGCATGGTAAGATGACTACAATTAACAGTAATATATTATATAGTTTCAAATAGCTATTAAATAGAAGGAGGGTATTGAATATTTCCAAGACAAAGAAATGATGAATGTTTGAGATGGCAAATATGCTAATTACCTTGATTGCATCACTATCCATCACTTTGTACACCACGAATGTACAATATTATTTGTCAATTTAAAAATAGAATTTTAGGCGGCGTGCGGTGGCTCACATCTGTAATCCCAGCACTTTGGTGGCTGAGGTGGGCAGAGCACTTGAGGTCAAGAATTCGAGACCAGCCTGGCCAACATGGTGAAACCCCGTCTTTACTAAAAATACAAAAATTAGCCAGGCATGGTGGCATGCACCTGTAATCCCAGCTAGTCTGTAGGCTGAGGCAGGATAATTGCTTGAACCCAGGAGACGGAGGTTGCAGTGAGCTGAGATCGCACCACTGGACTCCAGCCTGGGCGACAGAGCAAGACTCTGCCTCAAAAATAAAAAAATAAAAATTTAAAAGGTAATGGCAATTAGGCAAAAGCACCTTCTTACAAAGCAGCAAAGGACTTCGGAAGATAATGCAATAATATATTCAAAATGCCAAGTGAAAATACAACGGCTATCCTAGAATTATATATTTAGCAAGTCTGTCAATCAATAATAAAGGTTAACTCAGCTATAACAAAGACCGAGAGAGTTTTTCATTCTAAATAGCTTAAAGATTATTTCAGCACAAAGAATACTGAATCTAGAAGTGAACTGGATTTAAGAAACCATCTGAAGAGATGAAACTGGCAAACATTTTGATTCACTTAAATATGAACCGAGTGTAAAAATAATGATAAATGACCAGACTTGGAAGTTTACAAAAAGAAGGAAATAAAAGCAGCACCCAGCACCCAGTATGGGAGGTGGGGGAGGGAAGCTGGGCATTGTAAGGCTTTTGTGGTGTTAGAGTACAATACAGAGATTAATGAGCTTCAGTGTTCATAAAGTTAATTACGCCTCTTAAAAAATGAAAGTTAACCACTAAAGAATTGAAGTAGAACACATTACTTCCAAGCTAGTGGGGGACTGAGGGGAGGAAAGAAAGCTATAAAACAAAATATGTTTGATCCAATAGAGAGCAGAAGAGACAAAAAATAAAAGACCAGAAAAAAGCACGGTAGACCTTTTTGGCCAACCCTTACCTTCGCATTCCATTTCCCTCTCCTCTCCCCTGTCTTCCTAACCCCTTGATTTACAGAAATGACAGAGCCTCCCGGAAGATCCTCTTGACTCCGTGGCAGATCAGCTGCCGCGTTCCTGGTGTCTGTTCCCAGGGCTCCCAGAACTCCACCATCAGAACCCTTAAAATGCTCCCTTGTGAGTGCACATGGTAGGAGCTCATCTAAAAGTATTAGTTCATGTGTTTCCTCTGTACATTAATTTGCTCTCCGGTTCCAAAAGATGGGTTTTCTCCCCTAGTCCAATGTAAAGAGGAGAAAGAAAGAGCCACAGCCTATAGCGCCAGACAATGTATACTTATGGAGAATTTCAGTGTCCAGGGGAGGAAGTGGCAGGGGAGAGAGGGTGTCCTGGATGGGGAGGGGTAACAAAGACCTTCTCCTTGGAGGGCTAAAGGACAGGCTGGAAGGAAGATGGGGCCCAGCTGTGCTCAGTGTAGGGGGCCCCCAGCCGCCTGCACTGTGGACCACAAATCATCCAACAGCCCTGGGCACTTATAACTCTCCCATCATCTTGCCCTGAAATGAGAGTAAGGGACCTGAAGATCTTGGGTAGGGGTAGGACAGAAGGGACCTTGTCCACTGACCATGATGAAACTGAGGAGAACCTATTAGAAATTTTTTGAACAGCTGAAGCAGCTGTGGTCACGAGACCACTGCACATGGCCAGGCATGCTGTGGAGTGTACAACCTGCGCGACATTCTTACTGCAGACACAATGAGCCTTGTTTTAACTGCCAATGTTGGGACAAAGACTCTCCTTGACCAGACTCTATTCAGAGTTCTCAAGCAGGCCTTGACCTTGGCCTAGAAGAACTACGACTTGCAGCACAAGTGATTTCATCCACCCCACTACAGGAAAAGTCTTGAATAAACACTAGCATAGTTCCCATCAGTTCCAGGCTGTGTTCCTAGGATGACAATTCCAGCCCCCTTAAAATGCCTGCCTGAGAAAACTCAATGCTGCCGAAAGAATTTATTGTTTGTTTGGGAGGCCAAGGCGGGCCGATCATGACGTCAGGAGTTTGAGACCAGCCTGGCCAACATAGTGAAACACCACCTCTACTAAAAATACAAACAGTTAGCTGGGCATGGTGGTGGGTGCCTGTAATTCCAGCTACTTGGGAGGCTGAGGCAAGAGAATCTCTTGAACCCAAGAGGTGAAGGTTGCAGTGAGCCAAGATCGCACCACTGCACTCCAGCCCGGGCAATAGTGCGAGACTCCATTTCCAAAAAAAAAAAATTACTGTTTGTTTCAGACAACATCTGATGATAGGCCTCTGAGCTCACTTTCTTAGGGCATTTACTTTAGAAAGCTTGCAATTATATATTCTTTCTGTGCCCGTTTGAGATAGAAACCTTCTACCACCCAGAAATGTCCCATCAAGTATGTGGGAGCCATCTCTTTGAAATGCAAACATTCAGTGAGATAGCTCTCTTGTCTCCCAGTTCCTGTGGGATGGTAAGATCCAAACTTTGCGGGGCCTTAATCCAGTTGGCAAAACTATGTCCTGTCCTAAAGATAGGAGACTTTTGTTTCTCCTCCAGGTAAGTGTCAATTAACAAACTCAGATGGCCTAAACCCAGAGACCACCCCCTTACCTTCCTTTAGTCCCTTTCCTTTAGCACATACCACCTTTGTCTCAGGGGAGCTGAGCTGAGGTTTCACTGAGGTCTCTTCCTTACTGCAGTAGTACTGACTAGAATCCGTCTTGTCTCCTTAACTAGTGTTCAGCTTTGTGTTTCTTTGACAATTCCAAGCTGGGCCAAAAGTTCCATGAGGGCATGGCCATGCCTGTCTTGTATAATTGGCCACCACCAGAGTCAAGGTGTTCAGTAGATATTTACATAATGAATAAATGAACATAAGATTTTTTTTCACTTGATTTGCACTCTGATAGTGAGTTGCATCCTTTAACTGCCATCTTGCAAAAAATACAGTGCTGGACAAACGAATGCACCAAGAAAATGACTTAGGGTTTCTTGAACAAAATCTACTGCCAACTAATCATGGAGTGATTTCACTGCCATGGGTTTATTTTGTTTATTCAACAAACTTTACATGAGTCATGCAAAATGGTCTTCAGTTTCAAGCTTTCTTTTGAAATTTCCTCAGGATAAGAATGAACTAACACAATGATGGAGCAACAAAATTAGCTGCTTTGACATCTACTGTTGAAGAAGGCAAAAATATTTATTTATTATGGTGCCAAGGTATAAGAGTTCTAACCATAATCTGCCAAGAACCTCAAGAATTATTGATGTCTTGAACTAGTCACAATCAGCATTCTTGCTAAGCAACAATTCATTTGTTATTACAAGTTCAAAATAAATTCTTTAGGTAAGACAAAAAGAGTCCATTTATAATTCAATTTGTGCTTTTTTCAGCAATATACATCTAAACATAGTGAATACAAGATATTACATAATAGCAAGAATTGTCAGCTATTAAATACATACAATTTAAGAAAGTGGGGTATACAACTGCAAAAGGATTGTAACATTAAAATACAATAATCCTTTTGATATGTTACTGATGACAATACACAATTACCCATTAAAAAGTGATGTGGCTTGGCTGGGAGCGGTGGCTACCACCAGTGACCAGCATTTTGGGAGGCTGAGGTGGGTGGATCATTTGAGGTCAGGAGTTCAAGACCACCCTGGCCAATATGGCGAAACCCTGTCTCTACTAAAAATACAAAAATTAGCCGGGTATGGTGGCAGGTGCCTATAATCTGTAATCCCAGCTATTCAGGAGGCTGAGGCAGGAGAATCACTTGAACTGGGGAGGCAGAAGATGCAATAAGCAAGATTGTGCCACTGCCCTCCAGCCTGGGCAACAAGCAAGAAAAAAACAAAAAGTAATGTGGCTTTATTCTTACAAGAAACAAAAAATATCCTTATCCTTTGTTCAGTAATCTCACTCCAGGAATTATCTTTAAAAAATAATCGAAGAAGGAAAAGAAATAATATATGGGATGTTCGCTGCCATATTATTTGCAATATTACACAAAAAAGGAAACTAAGAGAGGACTATCTCAATAAGTTAGGGAACATCAACTTCCTGTAGCATGTTGCAGCTATCACAACTGATGATGATAAAGATAATATAGCAAAATAAAACTATTTGAAATATAATAAGTATAAAAGGCAAGGAGAGGGCTGGGCATGGTGGCTCACCCTTGTAATCCCGGCACTTTGGGAAGTCGAGGCAGGCAGATCGCCTGAGTGTCACGCGCGTCCGTGTGAAGAGACCACCAAACAGGCTTTGTGTGGGCAACAAAGCTGTTCATTTCACCTGGGGGCAGGCGGGCTGAGTCCAAAAAGAGAATCAGCGAAGGGAGATAGGGGTGGGGCTGTTTTATAGGATTTGGGTAGGTAGTGGAAAATTACAGTCAAAGGGGGTTGTCCTCTGGCTAGCAGGGGTGGGGGTCACAAGGTGCTCCGTTGGGGAGCTTCTGAGCCAGGAGAAGGAATTTCACAAGGTAATGTCATCAGTCAAGGCAGGAATCAGCCATTTTCACTTCTTTCGTGATTCTTCACTTGCTTCAGGCCATCTGGATGTATACATGCAGGTCACAGGGGATATGATGGCTTAGCTTGGGCTCAGAGGCCTGACACTGAAGTCAGGAGTTCAGACCAGCCTGGCCAACATGGTGAAACCCCATCTCTACTAAAAACACAAAAATTAGCTGGGCGTGGTGGCAGGTGCCTGTAACCCCAGCTCCTCAGGAGGCTGAGGCACGATAATCGCTTGAACCCGGGAGGCAGTGGTTTCAGTGAGCCGAGATTGCACCACTGCACTCCAGCCTGGGGGATAGAGTGAGATTCTGTTTCAAAAAAAAAAAAAAGGCAAGGAGAAAAATTTTATGATTATAATCTTATAATAATTATGTATGCATATGAATGTAAAAAAGAATATGGAAAAGGAAAGATACTTTTCTTTTTGGTTCTGCAACTATTGTCATTATTGATGTCATGTTTTTAGTGCCCAAAAATATGCACACACAATTTTTTGATGAGAGAGAGATCCTACGGAGTACAGATCTTGACCAAAACAAATGAGAAAACTGTTGGGAGAGGACAGTGTGCATTGTGCAGACTCTAGTACAAGACTCTGTGTTCAAATTCTGGCTCTGCCACTGACTAGCTAGGTATCCTTCAGCAAGTTACTCAACCTCTGTAGCCCTTGGCTTTCACATCTACTTGTATTTCATAGGGTTACTCTGAGGGTTAAATGAGTAAGTGGAGCATCATAAGTATCTGGAGCATCATGAGTAGTTCAGTGTTGGCTAAGTATTATTTTTATTATCATCAAGGAACCTCTTTACACAGAAGTCTCCTTATTATGAATTTCTCTGAAGCTCTCACAGATAAAATGGACTTTGATTCTACCCCAGAGTCGTAAGTCATACTTCTCTCACATGAACCATTATTTTAGTCAGTCCTTTATCTATACTTGGACATTTAGGCATTTTTCTTTTTGCTTTTATGTCCTAATGTTAATGAAATCTTCAAGCATATATTTTTTTCGTTTAGTTGTAAGAATTCAGCATAGGTATTTCTCTCCACACAAGACCATTCTCTGGACGTAAGTCATTGCAGACAAATTCTCTGACCAAGATTCCCTAGTCTAGAGTCTAGGAGAATTGCTGATTTTCTTTGGTGACTTCATGCAGGAAAAAGACTTGGAAAGTGGAATTGTGAAGAAAATGTCAGCTTTACCACTTGGGTACCTTAAGTCACAAATCTACCACGGGGAATGTAAAGATGAATGAACACTGGCTGTTCCGTTACTGTTTTTCTTATCATAATTACCCTAAAAATATTATAGGTTTACAGAAAAGCCCCCTAGCATCCCATTGAGCGTGGATTCTCAATTTGACTTCTGGGCATCCTTCCTCCTTTTTGTGTTAACACAGCATGCTTCCCCATGAACATGCACAGAGGTAATTCTCTGTACATCCTGCCTCTACAGTCTCATGGACTTCCGCAGCCTCAGCTCTAGAAGAAAGACTCAGAAATCTGCATTTCCAGCTTCCAAACCCCCTTCTCTGGAGCTCTGTGATTGGGACTGCCTCTTCCATTGGAGTGTCCTCTAATTCACCACGCCCAGAGAGCAGGAGGGACTTGGGCAGGCCAGTCAAGGGACATTTTGATGAAAAGGAACACCAAGGACCAGTGTGTGATGGATTTGAGTCCAGCCTAGAGCAAGTCTGTTACTTTTTGTCCACGGTCTTCAAGCTGAATAACACACACACACCTCCCCTATCACAAATATCCTTCTCCCACGTTTCAAAATAACAGAGGTGTATTTCTTCCCCACTGTGAATCTTACATCGACTCTGGAAATAAAAACCTTCTGGAAAATGAAGAAAGGGTTAATGAGATCATGTCCTTGTGAAGCTTCCTTCCATCGAGCCGCTTTGGTAAGGTTTCCCATCTTGCTGGCTTTGTAGCTATTTTTGTTTAGGGTAAAGCATGGAAACAGAGTCAGAGGTGAGCATGTTGGGCCACATTGCTATGTTTGATAATAAGACTTACTATCCAACAGGGAGGCAGAAGTGGTAATAAGTTTTGAAGACCCTGTTTCTTCTATTACCCAGCTGAAGCCAAATTGCTCCTGCAAGAGCTGGCCATAAGAGCAGAGCAATGAGCCCGGGACAAAACATTGGCAGCAGAAGAGCTTTATTTCGTCAGACAAGAGAACATGGCAAAGCTCTGTGTCTCACCTGTGTATTTATCTTAGAAGGCAACCTCAGAAGTGGGATGGCTGTCTCAGCACACACATCAACACAAAGGGTTTGAATCTAAAAGATTGGAAGGTAGGGTTACCCAACAGAGAAGAAATCTGACTTGGCTGCCGGGTTTGCTGAAGAGGACTGGCTTTGCAGATTTTGTTAAAAGGTGATCATTTGACTAATTGAGTGACATGCATGAGCCAAAATTTTCCATTCTTAAGTTTTTGACGAAAGCATTTTAAAAGAAGATTTAAAAATACTGCATCATATTACAAAGGTGTACTAACGGACAATATTTCAATCTTACTTTTTCTAACAGTATTAATCAATTATAGAAGGTACCTCTAATAAAATAAGTATAACTAATGCCATTCAGGAAAGCCTTTTTTTGGTAGATGTTCCAGAAACTGAGACAATGACTCTAATTTGGGCCAATCAAATCCGTTTGAAAGTTAACTGGTTTCTAGTACTTTTAAAAAATAGAGGAGAACCTAATCAAATTGTCAGATAATAGGACCTTAAAAGTAATTTTCTGTGATTTTTGGCATGAGCCCTAAAAGGATTTATAAAAATTGAGCGACGCTTAGTGACTTCTTCCATTCCTATGTACTTATTCACAGATTATTACTATAACCATGCCCCTAAATACAAACAGAATTAAATCTTAAAATTGCCCTCAGTACTTACAACAGTGAAATTAAAAAACAACCACAACAACAAACCAAACGTGTATATATAGAATTTATGCCAAAACTGTCTCATTTTAACAGGAAATAGCACTCATTCGTGGGTACTGGAACACGAGAGAAATAAAAGCCCCTTCCTACTCAGTAAGAGATACATTTTGGATAAAATTCTATATTTTTTTCTACTAAAAATATATAACATGTGTAATCAATTGTGTATGAATCACAACTGTAAAATATATTAATCTAGATATTTCTCATATATAAAAACTCGATGCTTACAAAGAATTAAAAAAATCTAATTCCCACTATGTACTTATTTTTGTTGACAGGACATATGACATAGTGATGAGTAAGACTTCCTGCCAGAGGGTTATACTATATTAGGATAAAATGCAGCGGGGTTGGTGAAATAGAAATGTAAGTTCCAGGGGGAAAAGAATAATGTAAATATTCAACTGTTAATGAAAAGCTTTACATGTATTTTATAAATTGATCATGGAAACTCTCAAAGTCTATAATATTCAGATTCCATAGGATATATATTCTTGAACAGATAACTTTATTGTAAAATGTCAATACTGAAGTAAATACAGATAATATACTTTGCTACTGATTAGACTTATAAAACACACTTTTAAAATGTCAACATTAAAAGTGCAAAACTCGTGAGTTGAACGGAGAGCTAAAGACAGGCAGGCAAACTGTAATCATAAGAGACCAGGCGTGCAGAAGGGAAGCACAGAGGCTGTTCCCTGAGCGGGAGCTCTCAGCTTGCCTGGAGAAAACCGTGGAGAGAGAGAGTGTGCAATGAGGGTCTGGAGGGTTCTCCGTGTGGAGGCAGGATATTTGGACTCTCTTATATCGGATTTGTGGTCATACCAGGCTTTGGAACTGGGAAGGCAAATGGTTTAGCTTAGCGTTATTGAACAAATACAAGGTAGGAAGCATGCTGTGAGAGCCTTCAGAGGAACAATAGCCAGCTAGCTCTTGATGATGAGAACGCTGGAGAGGGTGCTTCCTACTTCACCAGTTCTCCTGGGAGAAGAACATGGCCAGCCCAAAGGGATCTCAGGAGGACTGCGGGTGTGCGAGGATGTGTGTGTGCACGTGAGTGTGGAGTGTGTGTGAGAGAGTGTGCAAATCTATAGTGTGTGAGAGTGTGGGGTGTGAGAGTGTGCAAATCTGTATTGTGGGGGGTGTATGTATGGTGTGTGTGGTGTGTGTGTGAGTGTGGGGGTGTGTGTGAGATAGAGTGTGGGGTGTGTGACTATGGTGTGTGAATGAGTGTGTATGACTGTGGGGTGTGTATGGTGTGTGTGGTATGTGAATGTGTGTAAGTGAAGGGTGTGTGAGAGTGTGGAGTGTGAGTGTGGTGTCTGTGGTGTGTGACTATGGTGTTTGAGTGTAGGAGAGAGTGTGGGGTGTGACTATGGTGGGTACGTGTTAGGGTGGGTGAGTGTGTGAATGTGAGTATGAGTGTAAGAGAGTATGGGTGTGTGACTGATGAGTGTGTGTAAGACGTGTGTGTGAGAGCGTGGGGTGTGTGACTATGATGAGTGTATGTAGGATGTGTGTGTAAGTGACAGTGTAGGGTGAGTGTGCGAATGTGTGTGGTGTGTGAGTGTGGGGTGTGTGTGAGTGGGTGTGTGAGAGACTGTGGGATGTGCGACTATGGTGGGTGTGTATAGGGTGAGCGTGTGAATGTGTGTGCTGTGTGTGTGAATGTGGGGTGTGCGTGAGTATGAGTGTGAGAGAGTGTGGGGTGTGTGACTATAGTGGGTATGTGTAGGGTGAGTGTGTGAATGTGAGTGTGTGGTGTGTAAGAGAGTGTGTGTGTGGGGTGTGTGACTATGGTGTGTGTATGTGTAGGTTGTTGGAGTGTGTGCGTTGAGGGTCGAGATGACCTAGGGGCAATGGCAGGAAAGATGTGGGTTGTCATTGCTCAGACTGAACGGGGCAGCCACAGCTGACAGGGAATCAGGGGCCCAGTGCCAGCTCCAGGGGCCTGTGAACCAACGCCTTCACTGGGAACCCTGTGCTGGGTTTAATGCTCTGCTGTCGCCATCTTGAAATCCTTAATAATTTTTGCACAAGCTGTCCCGCATTTTCCTTTGTCACTGGGGCCACGGTTATGTTGCCAGTCCTGGAAGCGGTCTGTGTTCGTCAGAGTCCCCCACCTGCCCAGCAAACTGACATCCCCCTCACCTCACCGCTCCTCTCCCAGTGGGCAGAGTCCTGCTGATCCTTGTCTTACCATGAGCCACACCTGTTCTTCATGCAGCAGTGACTGATACAGATTTAGGGGCTCAGTTTGGAGAAATCGCTCAGGGCTGGGGGAGCTGTAGAAGGTTATTTAGCAGAGGCAGTGATCGCTCTGTGCCAAGAGGTGGGTCCCACCCTCTCCTTGGGCCACTGTGCACGCTCCTGGGCATCTGTCCACCCAGGACGCATCGCTTTGCAGGGGGCTAATCAATGCCTCTCCACAGGCAGCAGGAAGGTGGTCTAGGGCAGCGGAGCCTTTCTCTGATTTGCATAAAGTCATTATCTGGAAAAGCTGTTTCTCTGTGTGAGTGTGTGGGGGTGGGATGGGGTATTCCGCTCCCTCTTCCACTTAATGAGTGAGTTCCTACCATGGTAAGACTGTGACCCCCACCCATACCCCCAAAAGAAGAGATTTTCCTTTTTTTTTCCTCATCTTTCCTAATTTTCTTGAGTGTACACAGAACAAAAACTATTTTTTTCTATAAATTCTCTTTTGGATTACATCACCTTAGAGAAAGGTGCACTGGGACCAGGGATGGGGGCTTTTGTGTTCCAATTAATAGGTCTTTTTTCTTTTCTTTAAGAATTTAATTTATTGGATAATATGAATGCATTTGAGAGATATGTGCCCGTCCTTTAGCTCACTGATCTCCTACAACAATCGGTGCTTTTATGAAATGAATATGATGCACACACTACCATGTATATACTTAAAAAAATGGCTCAAGGGCAGGGGGAAAATAAAACTCAATTTAAAACATAGTTTAATTTTTTCTCACTTTCTGATGCACATGAATGTAAAATATTACAAATTATTCTTCATATGTTTTAAAACCACCATAGATTTAAATTTAATAAATAAAGGTATGTAATGTAACTCCAAACTTACTTAAAAACTTGCTGAGCTGACTTTGTAGCTGGGCATATTGTGGAAAAAACTATCAAAACACACTCCTAGAGCCTCTCTCTGGAGCCCGGCCCATCTCCCGCTCAGGTCAGAAGTGTGCAGAGAGAGTGGCCCACTGCACTCATCCTGAGGGCATTAAATCAATGAGGCAAGAGATTCATGCATATGCAGTTACCCTCTGAGAGCCGGGACCTGTGGCAAACTACCCTGGACTCCAACGCTGAATGAGATCATCACAGAGGTGCTGGCTGTTTGTCATCAAAGCATGGTTCACTTATGCAAAACGGAACAATTGAATGCAATAAACCCTAGACACTGATTGAAATAGTTGTCTTAGAAACAATAAGACCTATTTGGGTTCAGATAAAATCAAGTAAAGATAGAGGCAGTGCCTACCTTTTTATATATTAAAATACCTGCAAAATACTAAATTCTTTAGAATACCAAAATATCAAAATCCCATACTGTGTCAAAATTAAGAAACAAACACATATCTCCTAACAGTATTGGAGAGGAAGGAGAACAGTCAGTCATAGGAGGGATTTCACCCACTATAGCACTGGAGGTAAGATAAGAATAATACAAAGTGGTTGCAGGAGATTGGAAAATTCCAGGCGGCAGTTTCACATGACTAGCAAAAAGACACCTGAAATAGCTGCAGAAGCTATGAGCTTATAAAATCCTGAAAAACCAGGGTGTGGACCAAGCTGGCTAAGACCGACTGGACCCAACGTGGTGCTGGATTTGGCCTGGGTTTCTCCTAGAACCTCATTATACGCTCATTAACATCCTCAATCACACACCCACCACCCCGTGACAGTTCTGGGAATACCTATATTTGGTGTAAAAATGGGTGGCACCACAGTTCTGAGAAATTTCTACCTTCTTCCAGGAATTTTCATGAGTATTCCACCCCTTGGTTAAAGAAATCCATAAAGGTAGCAGCCCAAATCCATGGGGCAAACTCTCTCTTTAATATGCCTGCACTTCCTTTTCTTGAGTATGTAATTTTGTTTTGCAAATAAATCTCCCAACTTTCATGATTTTTGGATTCATCCTCAAGTTCCTTCTCACAATGGTGTCAAAAGTCTGGACATCGGCTTGAGTCCAGGTCCTACTGGTATTTGGGGACCGACCCCAGCCCACCAGTATCAATGGTGCCAGCCTAAGAGATGGAAGTGATGATGCCCATGGGCTCTGCTTTCTGGGGCAGTAACATAAGAGGCGTGGCTACCAAGCAGGGAGGGCTACTGGTCGTTCAAGTTACCAGGCAGATCTGCCGCCCTGTGGCTGTGTGGGCAACTTCCTGAGGCAGCCAGCCTTGCCCAGGGCCTGGCCCCCAGGAGATGCCTTTGTGTGTGGATGGGAGTTGAGAGCTCCTTTAGGAAGCCTGACAAGGTGGCACAGGGCCTCCCAGACTGTGCGACCTCACACACAGTGCAGTGCACAGCTTTGCGAAGTTTATATTCCCCTTTTAAGACTGAAGCCCCAGTAATGAACACCATACCATTAACACTTCTTTCTTTTTTCTTGGGAAATAAATAGAATTAGCAATATGTGACAGTTATCTATTGCTATTAAGTCATTCTTAGGATCTGGGAATCCTTCTATGTGGAAAGTAAATCATACTTGTGGCAGTAGGTAAGGGGAACACAATGATTGCCAAAGTCTTGGGAAAAAAATCTCCCTCATTAAAAAACAGTCCTTCAGAGAAACCTTCACCTGACCTGCCTGAGATGAGGTAGCGGGCGCTCATGCCTGTAATCCCAGCACTTTGGGAGGCCAAGAAGGGCGGATTACCTGAGGTCAGGAGTTCGACACCAGACTGACCAACGTGGTGAAACCCTGTCTCTACTAAAAATACAAAAAGTAGCCAGGTGTGGGGGCAGGCGCCTGTAATCCCAGCTACTTGGGAGGCTGAGGCAGGAGAATTGCTTGAACCCAGGAGGCAGAGGGTGCAGTGAGCCGAGATCGTGCCATTGCACTCCAGCCTGGGCGACAGAGTGAGACTCCATCTCAAAAAAAAAAAAAAGGGTGGAGAGCATCTCCTTCCCCCTCTGTTGAAGCATTTTCCTGGTTGAATCCACAGAGCTTGGCCATCTTAAAGGATTTCAGAGAAAGGACAGGGCAGGGACTAGCCAAGAAAAGAAGGTCCTTGTCTCTGATTTCAGCAAGGTTTTGCGGAAAAGAAGGGTCCAGGGAGCACACACACAGGCTTATGGTTTTTCTTTCTTTTTTTGGGGTAGGAGTGGCTTTCTGGTAAAGACTGGAAAACCTGCTAGACAAATTCTAAAAGAGCTGTAACACTAGCTTTATGGTTCTTCATACACTGCATCTGAACTGATCAGAGAATGAACGAGCATCCCAGATTTTTAAGGAAGAGAAAATCTCACTTTAGTTCAGCATTTTAAAAAATGTCTACTAAGATTAAGTTTTAGTGATTAAATGCTGACTAAATACAGAAATTACCATGGTCTTATAAACCAAAAAAATAGAATTCCAAGCCACTCAACTGACTGAACAGACCCTCCTCTTGGCCAAGAGGACCCAAAGAAACCTGAAAAACCAGTTCAGGCCATATGGGACACGCCTCATGATACCCTCCTCCCTTTGGAGTTCAGGCACCACTGACCAGCATTAACATTAAAAGAGATCCCAAGATTGACAGAACAGACTCTTTGCAACAATAAGATGCCAAATTCCAAACATGTTTGCATAGCATCACATAACACATAGCCAGTGCTGAAGCGAATCAAAGCATTTTACTCCAAAATATCTTTTTTGACATATTTTGAAATGGCCCTGCAAAGCTGTCTCTTGTGGGGGGCATTCACAATCTGCAGAGAATCTCCTTCCCTTACTAGGTCTTTCTGTTAGAGTACATAGTTAGGCAGACACAAGCAAGGCAGGAGAGGCCACCCAGGAATGTCAACCTGTAGCCATCAGGCAAAAGGTCAGGCAGTTGTTAACTGTCTCTCTAAAATAATAATTGGTCACAGCCAGTGGCAGGGAAAGGCAGTCTCCCACTAGATAGAAAACACATCAAGTGGCCGGGTGTGGTGGCTCATGCTTATAATCCCAGCAATTTGGGAGGCTGAGTCGGGTGGATCACTTGAGGTCAGGAGTTCAAGACCAGCCTGGCCAAGATGGTGAAACCCCGTCTCTACTAAAAATATAAAAATTAGCTGGGCGTGGTGGTGGGCACCTTTAATCCCAGCTACTTAGGAGGCTGAGGCAGGAGAATTGTTTGAACCCCGGAGACAGAGGGTGCAGTGAGCCAAGATTGCACCATTGCACTCCAGCCTGGGCGACAGAGCAAGTTTCCATCTCAAAAAAAAAGAAAACACGTGAAGTAAGATAGGAAGATATAATACATATAATATTTTGGGAAAAGGGCATGAGATAGGAGTTCGGCAGGACTGGTTTCTCAAGATACAGGTCACGAAGATCCTGCTGATGAAACAGGACGCAGTAAAGGAGCCGGCCAAAACCTGCCAAAACCAAGATGGCTACAAATGCAAATTCTAGTAGTCCTCACTGCTCATTATTCACTAATTATAATGCATTAGCATGCTAAAAGACACTCTTACCAGCATCATGACAGTTTACAAATGCCATAGCAATGTCCAGAAGTTACCTTATATGGTGTGAAAGGGGGAGGGACCATCAGTTCCAGAATTCCCATTCCCTTTCCTGGAAAGGTCATGAATAATGCAACCATCATTTAGCATATAATCAAGAAATAGCCATAAAAACAGCCAGCCAGCAGCCCTTGGGGCTGCTCTGCCTATGGAGTAGCCACCCTTTTATGACTTTACTTTCTTAAAAAACTTGCTTTCACTTTACCCTGTGAGCCGGCTCTTGAAGTCCTTCCTGTGTAAAGCCAAGAGCCCAGGTGGCTTTCCAGGCTGAATCCCAATTTTGGGGTTCGCCCTGTGACAGTAAGGATATAGAAATGTATGTACAACCTTAACAGATGGGGAAAGATATCTATTAAAATAAGATCTAAAAAATAAAGTATACCAAAATGTTGACATTGATTGTCACCAGCTGGTAGCATTAAGGACAATTTTTTTCTTTATACTTTTCTATATTTTCCAATGTCTTAAAATAAGCACGCGTAAGTTATTAATATAATTAGGAGATTTAATTGAATTTATTTAAAAAGAATCTTCAATAGTGTACCACTTTTTTCTTTTTATGAAGTTTATCTTTACGTATTTAGTCATTTTTATTGATACATATTAGATATATGTATACTCAATGTACATGTCATATTAGGTTGGTGTGAAAGTAATAATAATTTGGCACATTCATATAATCAAATTAGGGTAACTGGAATATCCATCAACTTAAATATTTATCTTTTCTTTATGCCAGGAACATTCAAGTTATTCTCTACTAGCTATTTTGAAATGTATAACCAATTAATGTTAATGAGTCACCCTACTGATCTATTAATACTAGGTCTTGCCAGGCGTGGTGGCTCACGCCTGTAATCGCAGCACTTTGGGAAGCCAAGGCGGGTGGATCACCTGAGGTCAGGAGTTTGAGACCAGCCTGGCCAATATGGTGAAACCCCATCTCTACAAAAATACAAAAATTAGCCGGGTGTGGTGGCAGATGCCTGTAATCCCAGCTACTCAGGAGGCTGAGGCAGGAGAATCGCTTGAACCCAGGAGGCGGAGGTTGCAGTGAGCCAAGATCATGCCATTGCACTCCAGTCTAGGCGACAAGAGTGAGACTCCATCTCAAAAAAAAAAAAGAAAAAAACAACAACTAGGTCTTATTTCTTCTAAATGAGTAATGTGCCACTTTTTAAAGGAGCACCAATTATTGGCTAAGCCATCAAAAATGTATTTTGCACCTTGTGTTTTCCATCAGTCCTCCTATTCTACTGCATAATATGAGTTTGCTGTATTATTTGAGATTATTCAATTCTGCTGAAGAAGACAAGAAAAGCAAATTAAGTGGATGAAATACTTAAGCAATGTAAAAGCATACATAGTGAGTTAGCAAGTGGTTTGTATGCCACAGGAGAACCTTGTAGTCTGTGTTAAGTCCCGAGAATGAGTAAGCAAATGGCTTGCAAGACATGGGCAGAATTGATCATATATGCTAAATGCTGACAGTAAATTAGAAACCTGAAAGGCTAAAAATAGAAAATGGAATATATGATGGCAAAAATGTGTTACTTAGAGCTAGAAAAGGATGGATAGACCCAAGTTATAAGCACACACATGGTGACAGCTGGGCCACGCCTGACATTGACTATCCACTGGTGACACCTCGCATGTCCCCATTCTGGCTCTGCATGTGTTTTGTCCAAGAAGTGTAATTAGAAAGCATGGCAGTTTAGCAGCTAACTGGCAAGCTACAGCTATAGGCTGGCTACATCGCTGTAATAGAGCTAGTGTATGTCAATGGCCTCAGGTATCTTCTAGTCTGGGGGTACTCTTGCTCAAACTCAACTCTGGCCTCTTAATGACACCATCACTGGAGAAGGCTCCTATGGCAGACAGACAGGACACATGAACTTGACTAGCCCAGGATTTAGGTAGTGTGTGCCTTCCTCTTGCATATATATATATAACCCAAGAGTGTTAATCTACTCCGCAGTTTTCCACTGTTTGCATTTTATATTGATTTAGTAAACTGTGGGATTCAAGCATCTTAATTTGGTCTGTGAGCCTTTTTGTTTTGTGATTTCTGGGATAGCTTGCTTGGTGGGTACTTGCACCAAGGTCCTTCCCTACACAGCTTATGGAAGGGGGAAAATATTCTTGTCTTTCACAGAATGGTATTAATACTTGAGACAGACTCCAGTTTGGGATTTGATATGAAGTCATGCAGTGACCTATTAGCAGCCAGAAACAAGACTGGGTCTAAATCAGGGAGGAATAGTTTGCACAGAATAATCCCTTATGAACTTAGAGGCCTTGAATAAGGGAGGAGATGAGTTTGGAACATGGAGGGAGAGCATTCTGGGAAGAGGGTCTGTGTGCAGATGGGTTTTTTGGAAACCTTAAGACTGCCCCATTTGGGATGGTTAGAGCATTTCTCAATCTTTCCTTTAGCAGCAAGCTCTGGTCCTTGGAGAGAGCATAGAAAGATGAGGACTGAAATTATTCCACAAATACATCACCGGACAACTGAATACATTATGAGAAATAGTTCTCAATCCATGGCTCCACTGTATCAATGTATTTCATTGTCATTTTTCCTTTGAAAATCCCTCAAGCTTATCAGGATTTAGTTGTACAATGAAGAAATACATTATCCCTCCCCTTCCCTACTGTGACTATAAAACACATTTCTGGCCAGGCGCAGGGGCTCACGCCTGTAACCCCAGCACTTTGGGAGGCCAAGGTGGGCGGATCATGAGGTCAGGAGTTCAAGACCAGCCTGACCAACATGGTAAAACCCCATCTCTACTAAAAACACAAAAATTAGCCAGGCGTGGTGGTACACGCCTGTAATCCTAGCTACTCAGGAGGCTGAGGCAGGAGAATCACTTGAACCCAGGAGGTGGAGGTTGCAGTGGGCCGAGATCATGCCACTGCACTCCAGCCTGGGCGACAGAGCATGACTCCGTCTCAAAAAACAAACAAACAAAGCAAACAAACAACAACAACAACAACAAAAATTTCCACAGCTGTGACCAGGGGTGTGTGAAGGAAATGTCAGAAGTAAAGAGCATTTATTTGCCTTGAAAACACTCAGTAAGTTTTTCTCTCTCCCAATATTGGCTCCTGAAATATTGAATGTTACTAACCTTCCCCTTCTTAGAAAACAAAACAATACACAAAAAGCCCCGAGATTCAAAATATGTTGCAGGTCTGCTACTGTATTCTATATACCAGGCACTTTTGGAACTGGGCAGTGAGGTGACCCTGACTGACATTTTATGAGACGTATCTACTTAAAGTTTGGTTAATTGCCAAGAGTCTTGTTATCAACTTCCATTGGTAATTATGCATTTAATACAATATGGTAGAAACTCTTCTCCAGTGCAAAAAGTTTTCTTATGTAATGAATCACTTAAAAACAATAAAATGCCTCCAGAAACTTTTACTTTTAACCCCATGTATTTATTTTTCATAATAAGGTCAAGTTTTCTCTCTTTCTTTTTTTTAATGTGTTTTACTGAATGGTATTCACATTATCTTTATGAGAAGAAGCAGCTTCATGATATCCAGATTTAGGTTTTTTAAAGTGGAGTGAGCTCTTGAATAACTTAAAGTACTAGCAAAGCGACCTGCACACAATCTCTTTTTGTATTTTAATGATTTTCCAATAAGCTTTTGTAACAGTCTCATATTTTGCTATTCACTGTGTAATCTGTGGACCAGCAATGTCCCTATCGCCTGAGAGCTAATTAGAAATGCGAAGTCTCAGGCCCCACCCTCACCTACTGAATCAGAATCTGCCCCTTAACAAGCTCTCTGGGTGGTTTGTGTGCACATTAAAATTTGAGTAGTTATGATATGGCCTATTCAGTTCCTATTTCAGTAGCAATTTTAAAAGAGATTTGTTCTTTCTTTCTGTCCTTATATTTTATAATATTATGTACTATTTAACTAAATTATGTCATTGTAAAAGTAAGTATTACTGGCATAAACAAGCTTGGGCAAACACACAACTGCCTCTGTAAGCATTCAACTCAACCGTGAGAAAGGAAGCGAACGAGTGTAAGATTAGCCGAGTGCGCCTCACCCTGTGGGCATCACTCAGGATGTATTGCAGAGGGAAGACAGCTTCTAGGAATCCACGGATTGGCTTAAATGTAGGCTGTTTAAAAGAACCAGTCCTATAATTGTAATTGATATTCCCCGATGACTTTTCATGAATTGTTTCTAACCCCAATGACAAGATGGCAGGAGGGTGTTAGCAGAAGGCACTGTACTGTTGGCCAAGTATCCCCAGTTCTTCCCCCTCCAGCCACTTGCAGGATTGCTCTTTCTGGCCAGATATGGCACGGGGGCAGGAGTCTCATCTGGCCAATGAATTGTGACCCAAAGTAACATGTGTCATTTCCAGCCAGTACATTTAATTTTTATTGAACTCCTCAGAGCCCTCAATTTCCCTTTGGCCCAACAATCTCAGAGGTGTCAGCTATGAGCCAGCAAGGAAACACCTCCAACATTTTAGTTGCCTGTGATTCTGGGGTTTCTCACAGCAGAACCTAGTCAGTGCTGACCGAGACAGTATTCTCACTTAGAGGGTACAGCCCTAGGTTAGTGATTAAACTCAAGCACACCATCTGTCAGGAGTTAGCTTTAAAATGCCTTCGTGTAGATGGTGTGCTTGAGTTTAACCACTAACCTAGTGTTGGGTAAATAACACTGAATTTCCTTGATTTAAAATCCCCACACACCAATCATAGGAGCAGTTATTTAGCTCCTACAGGAGTCTTCAGTTCAGAATGTGGCTTTCCTTCAAAAACCTCAATCTAAATCTGTATCAGAGAAGATTGCTAGTTGATCTGTGGGATTTGGAAATAACTTTTCATTAACCAGAGTATTGTACAGGCATCTCCAACTTGGAATGAATGGGGCTGAAGAAACTGGTGAGCCACGAAAACAATCCCTTTGAAGAGACATCCTCAGTCTGGAACCACATTCTGCCCTGTGCCCAGAGAACATCCCTCACAAGGTAAGCCACTCCTGTCATCAGGACATTTGTTATGTTTGTGCTGGAATTAGTCCTTCCTACAAGGTATGTGCTACGGTGCCAAAAAGGCAGCAGTGGGGTCTTCACGGAGTCCACTGATGGGACATTCAGCCATTTAGTGCCTGCTTGGTAACAGATGGTTGCACATGTGAAAAAATTCAGTCTGGGACTGACTTGTGCTGTAGTATATCACTTTTTAGTGTAGTTTTGGGGTAGGAGATATAGAGCTCCCATCTACCTCTAAATGTTGGAGCTCACCTATAATTACCAAAAGAATCGGATAATTATCAGAACCTATTTGGTCGAATTGGGTGAGAAGGCACACTAATAGACAAGAAAGGCAAGCTTGAAGGAGTTGGAAAGAAATCCAACTATTTAAAGATTATCACGGTTAATATAGAAAAGAAAATTATAATATAAAGGAAAAGCCCAAATTCAATCACATAAAATCAAAATTTCACACAAACAACATAAGAATATTAGTAATAGAAGTCACAAAAACGATTTTAGAATGAGTAAAAGGTAATAGTATCTAAAAGAATAAAATATAGATAATATAATGAACTATTAAAAAGTAAAATAAAAACCCTAAAATTTGAAAGCACGAATCAAAATAACAAAAATGAGTTAAGTTACCCAAAATTATGGTATGTGGTGGTTCAAAATACGTCCACAGATTCTTTGACACTACCTTCAGCAGGTGGAGCCCAATTTCCTCCACTTGAAAGGCTGCACTTAGTGACTCACTTCTAGTGAAGAGAATAGAGTAGAAGTGATGTGCGACTTCTGGGACCAGGTCTTAAAAGACATCATGACTTCTGACTTGCTCTCTTCTGTGATCATTTGCTCTGGAAGAGGCATCTGCCATGTTGTGAGGGCAACTGAGCAGCCCTATGGAGAGGTCCAGGTAGCAAGGAAAACAACCATGTGGTGAGTCCTCATAGGAGCAGACCCTGCAGACCAGTCAAGCCCTCAGACATTGTAGTTTTGACTGACGTCTTGACTGCAACCTCATGAGAGACTGAGGCAGAGCCTTCCAGATAAGCCACTCTAGACACCTGCCCTCAGAAACTGTGAGAAAATCATCAATACATTCATGTCACTTAATATGTGCTGGGATATGTCCTGAGAAATGCATCGTTGTGTGAACATCCCAGAGTGTACTTAAACAAACCTAGATGGTTCAGCCTAAGACACACCTAGGCTGTATTATATAACCTATATGACCTATTGCTTCTAGGCTGAAAACCTGCACAGCATGTTACTGTTCTGAATACTGCAGGCAATTGTAATGCAATGGTAAGTATTTGTGCATCTAAGCATATCTAAATGTACAAAAGGCACAGTCAAATTATGGTATGATAATCCTTTTTTTTTTTTTTTTTTTTGAGACGGAGTCTCGCTCTGTCACCCAGGCTGGAGTGCGGTGGTGCAATCCCTGCTCACTGCAAGCTCTGCCTTCCAGGTTCATGCCATTCTCCTGCCTCAGCCTCCCGAGTAGCTGGGACTACAGGCGCCCTCCACCAAGCCTGGGTAAATTTTTTTGTATTTTTAGTAAAGACGGGGTTTCACCGTGTTAGCCAGGATGGTCTCAATCTCCTGACCTCGTGATCCATCCGCCTCGGCCTCCCAAAGTGCTGGGATTATAGCCGTGAGCCACTGCGCCCAGCCATGGTATCATAATCTTAATGGGACCACTAGCATACACAAGGTTCATCTTTCACTGAAACATTGTTATGTGGTGTAGGTGTGTACTAGTTACTTTAAGCTACTAACTTTTAGGTAATTTATAAAGCACAAACAGATAATGAGCACAAACTGCTAGAGCTATGTTTTATAAATTAGCAAATAAATCATGTAGGGGTTAGAAATGAATCAGAGAAGGTGTGTTCTAATGGAATCCTCCTGTTTAAGAGAGGTGACCTCTAAGCATGAAATTCCCAAAGAAGCTCTATGACGATTATCTTGCTCTTGATCTTTGAGCAAGTGAGCCCTGGAAACCACCTGTTATCCAGGACCTACTGAGTAGTATAGGCCCATCCTCTCCTGCAATACATCTAAGGGTTCTTCAACATACAACCTAACCCATATCCCATCCCAGCTTGCTGGAGCCAGCCGACACTGCCTTGTGAGAGAAGATTGTTAAATTTTCAGAAAGTTTGCATGCCAATTGTTAAATAAAACCATGAAATCATTATTACAAATTAAATTATATAACTTAAAATTAAATTATATTAAAGGAAAATGTAACAAATACTCAAAACTCATTCTATCCTAATGATTTTACTATATTATACAGTCATCTGTGCTTTTGAAGTTATTCTGTGTGTACTGAATTTATATGATGGAAATTCTACTATTAAATATAGAAAAAAACCAAGCCAAAATGCTTTCTCCTACTCTCATACAATAATCAGCAAAGAATACTTCTGTGACCCTTGGCCACCAAAATGTGTGCGGATTTTTCCCCACCAAGCAGTCTTTCAGGGGATTCTCTAGCAAACACTAGCTGGGTGTCCTCCGATTCAATTCTGACACTCTACCTGGAGATAGCATCAGATCTCACAGGTTGACGGCTCAGTCCCACAAGATTGGCCCCACTTCAGATGCCAGTTGCAAGAAGCAGGCTGTCACCTATAATTGAGACAGTTCCGACTATTTACCCCTCGAGTTTGATTAATTTGCTGGAGGAGCTTACAGAACTCAGTGAAACACTTTACTTACGTTTACCAGTTTATTGTAAAGGATATTGCAGATGATACAGGTGAACAGCTAGATGGAGGAGACACACAGAGCAAGCTCTGGGGCATGGGGAGTGGACTTTCCATGCCCTCTCTAGGTGTGCTACCCTTCAGGAATCTCCCCATGTGTTCAGCCATCAGGAAGCCAGCCCCTTCCCCCCCACCATCCCTGTCCTTTTGGGTTTTTAATGGAAACTTCACTACACGGGCATTGATAGGGTTTGCATCTGCATCCCCACACAAATTTCATGTTAAAGTGTAATCCCCAATGTTGGAGGTGGGGCCTGGCAGGGGGTGGGGGTGACTGGATCATGGGGGTGGTTCTAATGGTTCAACACCATGCTCCCTTGGTACTGTATAGTGAGTGAATTCTCCTGAGATCTCATTGTTTAAGGGTGTGTGGCACCTCCCCTCATCTGTTCCTCTTGCTCCAGCCATGTAAGACCTGCCTGCTTCCCCTTCACCTTCCGCTATCACTGTAAGTTTTCTGAGGCCTCCCCAAGCAGATGCCAGCATCGTGTTTCCTGAACAGCCTGCAGAACCATGAGCCAACTAAACCTCTTCTCTTTGTAAATTACCCAGTCTCAGATATTTCTTTACAGCAATGTGAGAACAGATGCATACAGGCATGATTGGTTAAATCATTGGCCATTGGTGATCAACTCAACCTTTAGCCCGTCTCTGCTCCCCAGAAGTTGAGGGGTAATGCTGAAAGTCCCAATCCTCTAATGTTCTTTCTTATGACCAGCCCCTATCCTGAAGCTATCTAGGGACGTCCAGCCACCAGCCATTTCTTTAGCATACAAAAAGCACTCTTATTATTCCAGAGATTCCAAGGATTTTAGAAACTCTACCTCAGGAAATTGGGATGAAGACCAAATACATATTTCATAGTATCACAGCTATATAATGGTCTGCTACTGGGCATCTCTGCCCAACTCAGTGTTCGGTAGCATCACACTGATAGCTTGAAATTGGACATGGTGAGAATATAATGTAAGAATTGGCAGGGCGGTGGCTCACGCCTGTAATCCCAGCACTTTGGGAAGCCGAGGCGGGCGGATCACGAGGTCAGGAGATCGAGATCATCCTGGCTAACACAGTGAAACCCAGTCTCTACTAAAAATACAAAAAATTAGCCAGGCATGGTGGTGGGCACCTGTAGTCCCAGCTACTCAGGAGGCTGAGGCAGGAGAATGGCGTGAACTCAGGAGGTGGAGCTTGCAGTGAGCCAAGATCTAGCCACTGCAATCCAGCCTGGGCAACAGAGCGAGACTTTGTCTCAAAAAAAAAAATAATAATAATAATAAAAGAATTGGCAAATGCTACAAATCACATCTTGATTTTTTTTTTAAATTGTGTAGTCTTAAAACAGTGATGAAGAAAATGTTAATAGCATAGATTAAACTTAAAAGTGTGCCTACACTTGTTATACTGTAAATAGCAAAAAACATTGATGATATATTCTTCCAGTATTCAGAAAAATTCTATCCTTAGCAAAATAGTTACTCACATTCCAGAAGAATAAGTGAAGTTCCAACATATGTCTTATTAGTTAAGATAAATGAAAGTATCAAACAACATTCAATTTGAATTATACTCGTTCATCAGTTGTAACCATAGATTGACTATGGATAGTCAGAAATTTGGCAAAAATCAAGGTAAACATTGTATGAAAATCAATTGACTTCACAGAATTTATATAAAGAAGATTTTATATTTTATTATTTTTAAACTGTGTGCTACACATCCTTTATATCAGCAATATTTTTAAATAAGTGTATGTGTATATATATTCTTCTTTTTTCAAAAATTGTCAGGTTTTAAATGTTTACCAGCATACCAATGACACTAACTCATGCTGACTATAGTAGATAAATTACTTTTCTTAATAATGAGTCTACATTGTGTATTGAGGGCGGAGGATGTTTGCATTATATTTACCTGCAGGCAGGAGCAGGAAAACTAGGAATAAGGGAGGAAAACCAGGTATCTATTCTCCAGCCTGGCTCCACCTACCAGGTCGACAGGGAAGTGAGACTTGTGGTAGAAGTGGAAGAGCTGTTCTCACAGGGGAAAGGTTTATGAGACTGATGTTACTGTAACTCAGTTATAACCTAAGTAGTGAGGTCAAGTGCAAATGGTAGATGTGTACCTACACAAAAGACTATATCTTATATGCCTTTTTCCCCACAACTCTGTACTTACCCTCACAGAGCACTGCGCTTAGGAGATGCTCAAAAATATTTGATAAAAACTTGCATTAAAATAAAGATATAGTGATAAAAATCAACATATAAAAGTCAGTAGTACTTCTATGTGCTAATAGTGAACTATCTGAAAAAGTAATCAAGAAAACAATACCATTTAAAATAGCTACCAAAAAAAAATCTATTTCTAGGAAAAATTTAACCAAGGAAGTGAAAGATCTCTACATTTAAAACCATAAAACTCTGATGAAAGAAATTGAAGAGGACACAAATACATGGAAAGATATCCCATGTTCATTGACTGGAAGAATTAATATTGTGAAAATGATCATACTACCAAAAGTGATCATACTACCAAAAGTGATCTACAGATTGAATACCCTCCCTATCAAAATACCAATGAATACCAATGTCATTTGTCACATAAATAGAAAAAAATCCTAAAATTTGTATGAAACCACAAAAGGCCTCAAATAGGCAAAGCAATCTTGAGAAAAAAGAACAAAGTTGGAGGCATCATACCACTTGGCTTCAAAATATACTGCAAAGCTATAGTAACCAAGACAGCATGGTACTGGCATAAAAACAGACATGTAGACCAATGGAACAAAATAGACAGCCCAGAAATAAATCCACACATCTACAGCCAACTGATTTTTCTGTGAAGGGACCAAAAACACACATTGGGGAAAGGACAATCTTTTCAGTAAATGGGGCTGGGAAAACTGGATGTCCACAGGCAGAAGAATGAAACTTAACACTTACCTCTCACCATATACCAAAATCAACTCAAAATGGATTAAAGACTTAAATATAAGACCAGAAACTATGAAACTTCTAGAAGAAAACATTGGGGAAATGTTTCATGACATTGGACTGGTTAAATACTTTCTTAAATAAGACATTGAAAGCACAGGCAACAAATGTAAAAATAGACAAGTGGAAATATATCAAATGAAAACACTTCCACACAGCAAATGAAATAATCAACAGAGTTAAGAGAGAACTTAAAGAATATGAGAGGCCTGGCGCGGTGGCTCACGCCTGTAATCCCAGCACTTTGGGAGGCCAAGGCAGGTAGATCACGAGGTCAGGAGATCGAGACCTTCCTGGCTAACATGGTGAAACCCCATTTCTACTAAAAATACAAAAAATTAGCCGGGCGTGGTGGGCACCTGTAGTCCCAGCTACTCGGGAGGCTGAGGCACGAGAATGGCATGAACCCAGGAGGTGGAGCTTGCAGTGAGTGGAGATCGCACCACTGCACTCCAGCCTGGGCGACAGAGTGAGACTCCATCTCAAAACAAAAACAAACAAACAAACAAAAAACAATATGAGAAAATATTAGGAAACTATACATCTGACAAAGAGTTAATATCCAGAATATATTAGGAACTCAAACAACTCAATAGCAAAGAACCCAAATAATTCAATTTTAAAATGAACAAAAGATCTGAATAGACATTTCTCAAAAGAATACAAATAGTCAACAAGTATGTAAAAAAATACTCAACATCACCAATCATCAGAGAAATGCAAATCAAAATGAGATACTGTCTCACTCCAGTTAGAATGGCTATTATCAAAAAGATAAAAGAAAACAAGTGCTGGTGGGGTGTGGAGAAAAAGAAACCCTTATGCAATGTTGGTGGAAGTGTAAATTTGTACAGCCATTATGGAAAACAGTGTTGAGGTTCCTCAAAAAATTTAAAATAGAACTACTATATGATCCAGCAATCCCACTGCTGAATATTTATCCAAAGGAAATGAAATCAATACGTCCAAGAGATCAGCACTCCCTTATTTATTGCAGCAGTATTCACAACAGCCAAGCCATGGAAACAACCTAAGTATCCATCAAGACATGAATGGATAAAGTATGGTATATATACACAATGAAATACTATTCAGCCATAAAAAAGAATGAAATGGTGTCATTTGCCACAACATGGATGAACCTGGAGGACATTATGTTAAGTGAAATAAGCCAGGCACAGAAAGACAAATACCACATGAACTCCCTCATATGTGGAATCTTAAAAAGTTGATCTCATAGAAGAAGAGAGTAGAATAGTGGTTATCACAGGCTGAGGAGGTTAGGGGAGAGAGAGGAATGAGGAGAGGTCGGCCAATGTGTTACAAAGTTACAGTTAGATAGGAGGAATAAGTTCAGCTATTCTATTGCACAGTAGGGTGACTATGGTTAGCAATAATGTATTGCATATTTCAAAATAGTTACAAGAGAGGATTCTAAATATTCTTGCTACAAAGAAATTATATATGTTTGAGGTGATGGATTTGCTAATTACCCTGATTTGTTCATTAAACAATGTGCACATGTACTGAGACATCACATTGTACTTCATAAACATGTATAATTATTATGTGTCGATTAAAAATAAAATAAAACTGGCCAGGCGCGGTGGCTCACGCCCGTAATCCCAGCACTTTGGGAGGCCAAGGCGGGTGGATCACGAGGTCAGGAGGTCGAGACCATCCTGGCTAACACGGTGAAACCCCGTCTCTACTAAAAATACAAAAAATTAGCCAGGCGTGGTGGCGGGCACCTGTAGTCCCAGCTACTCAGGAGGCTGAGGCAGGAGAATGGCGTGAACCCAGTGGGTGGAGCTTGCAGTGAGCCGAGATCGCACCACTGCACTCCAGCCTGGGCGACAGAGCAAGACTCCATCTCAAAAAAAATAAAAATACAAATAAAAAAATAAAATAATAAAATAAAACTTAGAAAGCAATAAAAATATAAGTCAATTTGATTACTCAAAATCCTGAAGTTTTTTGTGCACCCTCCAACCATTAAAAGGAGTGGGAGCTAGAGGACTCTACCTACACAGCTTGTCCCAGGAGCCACAGTGCAGTGAAAGTAATCCTGGGCAAACATTCATTACCAGCAGGCTCAAACAGTCACATAACCTCTGCTATAAGTTGGTGATGTCCCCATCTTTTGTTCTTTTAGGCTCTGCAAAGTGCATCTTGCATAAAAGGGAATGTTACCAACTCTGCTAAGGGCAGATAACGTAAACTGGCAAGTGCAGTTGTGAAACTCCTCTACTGATTTGGGGGCCACAGGATCAGGGTGTCAGATCTAAGGTTGCTGGAGATGTCTGATTATTTTACCCTCCACAGATAAAGCAAAGGTTCCTGTATAACATCCCTGGTCAAATTGAACCTTCATTCATTTTACCTATAAAAATTACTGCGCTAGTAAATGCACCTTTCAGGGTCGATTTACATGGTGATAAATAAATCTCAATCATGTTTTCAAAAATGAACTCTCCCTTAGGCTCTTTTATATAACACTGAGGTATGGGCTACTATTGGGAAAATTTGGATGTTATCTAACTTTCCATAGGTATAAATTAAGGCAGTCATATTCTATGCTGCAGTATTTAATACAGACAATAAGCAATACTAAATATATTTAAAACACTTCTTTGTAGTCATTTGTTCTTAAAACTAAAAAGTATAAACCTTGCATTTAGATGTATTTGCTGTCTCAGCAAAAACGACAACAACAACAACAACAACAACAACAAACTTAGCAAATATACAATTCTCCCAAATAACCAATGGTATTTCTTTTAATGGGTGAACATAGCCATGTTAAGACGTTCAGGTACCAGTAAAATATAAAGCCATTCAATTTTAGTACCACACCTAGCTCTTGAGCACAAAGAACTTCTACTGAAGCATGGCATAATTCAAGCAAAGGTTGCCATTTTTACCACACTTGGAACTCTCAGACTTGGGAGTAAGGGGCTTCTATTAATATTACAGTCTCCTTTGCTCTCAATGCTGTAGACTTCAGCTTCACCTTGATGCCGCACAAATAATACAGCTCGATTCAAGTTGGAGCCCTTGGGTGCTGCTGTCAGCCACTCTCTCCAGCATCTTGGTTTGGCTATTTTGCATTTATTATTTTCTGCGGAAAGCAAGAACCTGTGCCTTTTGAGTGTCAACAACTTTGATGTTTTCTCACTGCGGAGGAAAGGAGATGAATTATTCTGGAGAAAATGCTTTCTTTTTCCTCGGTGTTACTTGTGAAGGGCCTGGCACTTCTAAGAAAGTAGTTGATATTCTCCAAGGCTTTTTTCTCTAGACAATATTATTTTCAGTGCTTGGTGAATATGAATCAGGTATCATGCTCCATAAAAAAGATATTTTCAGGAAGTGTTCTGAAAAGGCTGCTTTTGCAATTGAGCTTTCCATTTTAACAAGCCATCCTTAATTTAAAGAATCTACAATGAAAGGATCTTTGTAAGCCTTGAAGGTCCAAGTGGGCTGGAGTTGAGGAACGCCACAGCGGCTCTGGTAGTGAACCACAGTGATTCAAAGCATACAGTCCCCCTTGCTGCCCAACCTCTAGCTGTGGCACCTTGGACATGTTTCTTTCCATCTTTCAGCCTCCACTTTCTCACCTTTAAATTAGGGATGTGAGAGAACGCAAGACAAGGGGCGAGTGTGAGGAGGCAGCGCTCTGCACAGTGACCAGTGCCTAATAAGCATTGAGGAGCTCAACACATGTGAGCTATCATAGAAAGCAGCAGCTTTACAGAAAGCTGTCTGGAGGCCAAGCTGGAGGATCACTTGATATTTGGCACTTTCTTTCATGTTACCAAGTGGTGGCTTATTTAATCCAGTAAATTCCTGGGTAACATGGAATACATCTTACACTAAATTCCTGTCTATCATGAATAGCATTAAAACCAAGTTCCAGTCTTGCACCTTTTATGTGCAAGAAAGCTTGTGGCTCGGTCCATGGGGATAGTTAGATAGAACCCTGCTGGCCAGGTGCGGTGGCTCACGCCTGTAATCCCAGTACTTTGGGAGGCCAAGACGGGCAGATCATTTGAGTTCAGGAGTTTGAGACCAGCCTGGTCAACATGGTGAAACCTCGTCTCTACTAAAATACAAAAATTAGTCAGGCATGGTGGTGGGCACCTGTAGTACCAGCTACTTTGGAGGCTGAAGCAGAATTGCTTGAATCCAGGAGGCAGAGTTTGCAGTGAGTCAAGATCATGCCACTGCACTCCAGCCTGGGTGACAGAGCGAGACTCTGTCTCAAAAACCAAACCAAACCAAAAAAACCCTGCCCACAGGGGCAGGGGAGATCAAACAGATGTCTGAAAAGTTCACAAAGCCAGGATTGGTTAAGTGCTAAAGAAAGATGAAAATAATGTGTTACCAGTATTCAGAAGAGGGAGACAGTGCCTCCTGTAGGGGAGTAAAGGGAAGAACTGAGAAGACTTCAGGAGGAGATGGATAGGTTTGGGATTTGTAGAGAAGGGGAGAAGGCATTGAGATGGGAGGAAGGGTGCCAGCCAGAGTGTTTGTGCCAGACGCTGTGCTAAGCTTCATGTTCACACAGACTCATTTAACCTTCACAAAACGGGTTGAAGTAGGTGCTATTTTTCTTATATTATTAAGGATGAAATGAAGGCTCACAGTGATTAAGTCACTTGCCTAGACTCACACAGGTGACAAGTAGCAGAGCCAGGGCTAGAGTTCAAGTTGTCTGAATCCACAGTCTTTTTTAAAACCACAATACATGGAGAATAAAAGGATGCTGGCTCAAACCCTGGCTGGAAGACAGCACGGGAAAGATGACTGTGGGGAATACACTGAAAAACTTGATGAGGGACAAACTCAGTCCAGACTGCCCTGGGATCAGGCTCAGATCCTGAGATTCTGGTCATTAGGTACTAGGGAACACATGACCTTTTTGAATGAAGGGTGACATGATCAGACCTGTGTACTGGTAGATTCACTGTGGAAGGCCCCACCACCAATGATCAGAGAGAAGAGTGCTGGGACTTGTTCCTACAAAGTTCTCATTAAGCCTCTCTGGGCATCATCCACAGAAGCTGAGCCACTTAATCCCAAATGTGTGAGAGAGCAATATTCTTCCAGGGTCCAAGCTTCTGTTTTCTAGAGTAATAGTTCCAAATATGTTGAATGCCATAGAAAAAAAAAGTTTATATGCAAATCGCAAAAATGTTTGCCTACAATTTCAGGCAATTTTCAACCCTGAAACTCTAGAGGAGTAGTTCTCAAACTATAATGTCATAAAATAATAGCCAGAGAGCTTGTTATAATGCAAATTTTCAAACTCCAGCCTCAAAAATAGTAATCTAAGGGATCTCAGGAAGAGGCCCAGGAGCCTGCAAATGAACAGGCACTGCTTCGTAATTGCAATGCAGGTGGCCTTTAGACAAACTTCTAGAAACTCAGACCTAGGGGCCCCCAGTCCCTAGAGAAAGAGCCCCTATTCTAGAACATCACATAGTGGTATGGTTTGAATGTGTCCCCAAAAGTCAATGTGTTGGAAACTTAGTCCGCCATGCAGCAGTGTTGAGAAGTGAGACCTTCGGGAGATGATTGGGTCAAGAGGACTCTGCCCTCATGCATGGGTTAACCTATTTATGATTTAGTAGATTAATGGATTAATGGGTTATTGAGGGAGGGGGTTAGTTATCACAAGAGTGGGTCTGTTATAAAGCCAGTTTGACCATCTATTGTGAGCCCCCCACTGTGTGAAGGCCCCAGCCACCTCAGGCCTCTGCAGAGTCCCCACCAGTAAGAAGGCCCTCATTAGATGAAGCCCCTCAACTTTGGGCTTCCCAACCTACAGGATTCAAATAAAGAATTTTTTTCTTTATAAATTACCCAGTCTTAGATGTTCAGTTATAGCCACAGAAAATTAACTGAGACACAGATTCATAATGAAAATGGTCCTAAAATACAAAATGAGGACTGCTTCACGACCTCTTATTGAAGTTCTGTTGTATACTCCTTCTGACTGAAGCCTCTTTCTGCTTTCTGAAAAAAATATGGCAGAGCAAAAGGAGACATTGAGAGTTTCTTTTACAGTTCAGCCACAAAGTCCTCTACACACAGTAACAGACTCCAGAATTGAATCCAGGGGTACAAATGTTTGCCATTATTTACCAAATAAATTGCCCATATTTGCCACTTTTTATTTGCAAATGCTGTCTACTGTATCAGGAAATCCATTTTTCCTCCTCAAGTAGTACTTGCAAAATAGGTAAACATTTTGCTGAGAAAACACTACATGGCTCACTGAGAAGAATTATCCAAAAGGTTATCCAAATCTGAGCTGGCCATTAGGCACTGTGAGCATTAAGAGGAAATGTGCTCTGGTGGGTAAGAGAAATTTAAGACTTGAGATATAATTAGGTATTGAAAAGGTGGCAGAACCGAGAGGGTGTTAAAATGAGGTGCGCCTGTGAGAAGGAAAACGTGACTAGAACAACCAAAAGCCGTCATGAAGGCTGCATTTATCAAAGCGGGCAGTTTGCACAAGCCTGGAGTGAAACGTTAGCTCCGTGCGTTCATGACTTGTTCGTTACACAAAGGTTTCATGCTTTTCCCAAAACACTTCATCTTACATCCACGGACAAGGTCTAGCAAAGATTAGATTTACTCTATTTGCCTTCACATTGGTTGCATTTTTGACAGTTATTTGTGGTGCTTATAAAGAGTCTTTCATCTGGAAATTCACAACCTGCACCGTAAGGGAAACTCCTAACTCGGTCAGCACTGATGTTCATGAAATGGTCTTCAAAAATCCCCAGAGAAAGTTTAACTTTAAAAATAATGACAATGTTCACAGCAAAATTCTTTTAACCTTCCTGTATGCTGGGACATTTTCATAATAAGAGATGGAAAAGATGTTGGTCAAAGGATACAAAATGTCACTTAAGAAGAGTAGTAAGTTCAGACCTATTGTACAACATGGTGACTGTAGCTATAACAATGTATTACATACTTACAAATTGCTGAGAGTGGATTCTGAATGTTCTCATGACAAGAAAATGGTAAGTGTGCGAGGGAATGAATGTTAATCAGCTTGATTTAGCCACATCACTGCGTGTGTGTGTGTATGTGTATGTGTACACACACATCGTGTTGTACATCAAAAAAAAAACATGAAATCCAACAAAAACTTATACCTCAACTTAAAAAAAAGAGAAAAATTTCATAATAAAATGTTGGGAAAAGGATATCAGGAAATCAGCAGGATGGGATTGGGGAGCCCATAGGTACCTCGAGCTGTTCTAATCCTTGAGTTTGGGAGATGTGTTTGTTTTATTAATATGCCTCATATATACATATACCTATTCCTTTTGTTCAAATATTATATAATAAAATTTTAAATAGAACAAAACAGAGATGAGTAAGTATATTCCATCTGAGTTGCTGTTAGGGGCACAGCAAAATGTCAACTACTTTAAACCATTCTTCTTTGCTTACTATCCACACGTGGTAAAGGAAGGGACATAGTGACAATGTTTTCTAGTGTGTCAATGAGTTGGTTAAAATAAAAACTTTGTGCATCCCCCAAAAAGGAAACAAAATTCCCTGGAGCTGTTTTTGTTATTGTGAGCTGACAGCCTTTTTTCATAAGGAAAGAAAAAAAAGCTACTAAGATTGAGTGCGAAGGAGAGAAATAGTGAAGCTTTGACGTGGTGGCCAGGGAGCTCATCTGAGCTCATTCAATCCCAGGGGACAAGAACCTCGCTCAGGGGCTAGTCCAGAGAATTATTCTTGATCTGGATTGACACTGGGAGAAGATCAAGGAAGCAGAGAAGTAATTAGGGTTATCTCTGAATGACATCAATAGTAAGCAGAACAAGACACACCTTTGGATCAAGGAGTAGAATAGCTGCAGAAACTAAGAAAGAAACAGCATTTGCAAAGTTGGCTGGTTGGCTCTGAGACCCACTATGTATGACCCAGAAAACCCAGGCTGATAAGGGTCCAGCCTCCCTCATAAGGGATCTCCATGGATCCTCCAGTAGCAATGATGATGTGTCAGAAAATGGGGCTTTGTCAGGAACTGGGGGACAAACCCATTTCTTATGTAGCAGGGATATTTAGGACATCTTCCCAGTATGCTCTGAAATTCCACCTATCAAGACTCATTTAAGGCTAGGCACTGTGGCTCATGCCTGTAATCCCAGCATGTAGGAAGGCCAAGGTGGGAGGACTGCTTGAGGCCAGGAGTTCAAGATCAGCCTGGCCAAAAAAGCAAGACATTGTCTCTACAAGAAAATTTTAAAAAATTAGCCAGGTGTGATGGTGCATGCCTGTAGTCCCAGCTACTAGGGAAGCTGACGGGGAGGATCACATGAGCCAGGAGTCGTAGTCTGCAGTGAGCTTTGATCACCCCACCCCACCCCAGACTAACAGAGTGATACCCTGTCTCCAAAAAAAAAAAAAATCATTTAAAACAACAGGCACCTGGGTGGTGGAGGTGATACTGTGAGTCTTTCACACTCCAGAGCTGAGGTCCCCAAATCCTGGACCATAGACCAATAGTGGTCCTTGGCCTGTTTGGAACTGGGCTGCACAGCGGGAGGTGAGCTGCAGGTGAGAAAGCATTACTGCCTGAGCTCTGCCTCCTGTCAGATCAGTGGCTGCATTAGACTCTCATAGGAGGGTGAACCCCACTGTGAACTGCGCATGAGAGGGATCTAGGTTGCATGCTCCTTATGAGAATCTAACTAATGCCTGATGATCTGAGATGGAACAGTTTCATCCCCAAACCAACCCTGGACTCTGTGGAAAAATTGTCTTCCATGAGACCAGTCCCTGGTGCCCAAAATATTGGGGACTGCTGCCCTAGAGAACTTTATTTAATCAGATGGCTTTCCTAACACATGGGGAGGGGTGGACAGCCACTGGAGGCAACACATGGTCACTGGATGCTCAGGAGAAACCCAAACTTTCTATTGACTGGCCCCAAGGAAACCAAACCGTTCTTTCCAGAAACCAGATAGCAAAACCATTCTTCCTCTGCTTAGCCATGCAAAGTGGCCCTTTAATTTTCCTCTGCGTCTTTTTTAGTCACCATTTGCAGGTGACTCAGATGTGACTAGAATGGTATCATACATCTGAAACCTGGGATCTGTTATCTTTGTTTTAATTTTCCCCAGAGAACCCCAGTTTCAAATTAAATTTTACATAGAACCAGAATATGTAAAATAGAGAATCAGAGGAACTTTAGCTTTAAGGAGTTGGGTGTCTGAACGCGGAGGCTTCTGTCAATGTGGTGTGAAACCACTGCTTTGGAGAGACTCAGGATTAGGAATCACAGACAGTGGGTGCTTAAAGGCACATTCAAGGGCTAGACAAAGGCAAACGAATGTGAAATGGTCTAGCTGTATGTGTTTTTCTGGCTGCTTGTTTGTTCTATCCTGAGTAAAAAAGTGTGCCTGCTCCTACACACGAGTCCTTCATGCTGTGTCCAAGGATCGCTTACAATGCCACTCAGAAAATAAGAGTATTTCTCAATATCAGGTATTCCTGTGAGCCTCTTATAATGAGGGCAGACTTCTAATTGTCACATTTGTTCCCTTTAGGGATCTGTGCCAATTAAGAAGATTCTGAGTTCTGGGGAAGGGACATAGGGCAGAAAGGGCTGAACCCTAATTGTCTCATGTCTTTTTGTTTATTTTTCTCACATGTAAAGCACGTTTATAAAAGTGACATTAAACATTAGGTAACACATTACATTTAATGCATATAGTAATAGTTAAATTAGTAAACATGGGTATAATTCAACCCTGCCTAGATGTATACATGGATTTTGATATATAAACATGGGCATGTGTGAAAGAATTTATTGAAAAAAAAATCCTAGAAATCTCTAGGATTTCTAGAGATTTTTAGAAAATACTAAAAATTTTCTAAAAATAGAAAATTTTTTTCTATTTTTTCCATAGTGAAAATACTAAGAGTTGTAGTTTGTATTTTATTTTATTTATTTATCTAGAGACAGAGTCTCACCCTGTCCACCAGGCTGGAGTGCAGTGGCGCAATCTCGGCTCACTGCAACCTCCACCTCCTGGGTTCAAGTGATTCTCGTGCCTTAGCCTCCTGAGTAGCTGAGATTACACATCCCCCCACCCCCACCATTGTGCCTGGCTAATTTTTTTTTTTTTGTATTTTTAGTAGAGACAGAGTCTTATCACGTTGGCCAGGCTGGTTTTGAACGCCAGACCTCAAGTTATCCACCCGCCTCAGCCTCCCAAAGTGCTGGGATTACAGATGTGAGCCACTGTGCCTGGATTTTTATTTTATTTTTGTACCTATAAGCAATCTACATAACACTGAGCAACTGTAAAAATCTTTTATCTGCTTGAAGATTCAGCTCATCAAAACTTAAAGCTCACAGCACACAAGTAACATTAAACTAATCTCAAAAACTGTCAAAAGAAAGACCCCAAAAGCATTTTACTTTTATTATCTACAAGTGCCATCTTACTGCAAAAGAGTTCTTGCAATGTAGCCAACAACAGGGAGAAGGGATAAGGATGCCCAATCCATTGAGGAAGATTCTGTATTAAACACTTTCAAGTCTGATAGTTTATCATTCTCAGACAATTCTTCAAAATCTCAGGCTTAGATATTTTTCTAGGATATGAGCTAAACGCCCCTTTTTTCCTTTCATTGTACTGCATGCATCTGTTAAAACCTATTGTATTGAAATGGTTTTTAAGAGGCTGTTTCCCACTTGTTTGCGAACATGGAGCTCCTGAGCATTGTCCTTTCCTTGGAGCCCCTGAGGGTCGTCTTTCCTTGGAGCCTGGCCAGCACGCAGTGGCTGACCAAAAGTGTGATGCCCAAACTTTTCAACGTTCATTCAAGCTTTGAGCAAGAACTAAAGAAATAGCAGACTTATGGACTGGAAAATACAACTGTGAAAAAATGAGATTTTATAAAAGCAGCACACGAAATCTTAACCATCTGAGTGTGTGTGTGTGTATGTGCCTGTGTTTCACCAGTAACTTTGGACAGTTCAATATTTAGTGGAATCACATTTCCCACCACTCAGAATATATGGAACTCCTTGATTGTAAAGGCACAATCTTCATTCCGCATAAGAAAGTCAAGCATTTTACTTTTTCTAAACTCACACACTTATTTTCATGTTTTCATTTTTAAGTTAAAATTTGAGAAGACTCAAATACCAAATCCATGGATTTTCATGCTTGTGCACTCCCATCTGACCAACCACAGTGTGCCCCTGTTGAGCTTTTGTAAGGAAGCGAAAATGCGACTGATCCACAACAGTGTCACTTTCTCTAGCTCAAGGACACTGGTTTCATTCATGTTTCCCCTGGCTGCCTAACCTTTTGCACAAACGTTTTTCTTTTCCTCCCTGTGTGGGCAAGGACACTCACCCTGCACATGTGCTGCTCCGCCCTACTTTCAGCTCAGCCAACTCTGATTTCCTTGGGGTCTATGTACTCACTCTATCCCCACCTTTGCACGGTCAGCTGGGCCACTTTCATCCCTCACTGGATAGCTGGCATCCACTTAATAAGTCCTTCCTGAACTCACTCTCACTTCCCAACCCATCCTCCAGGCCTGGATGATCTGTGAATTTGCTTTCTGTTAATACATACCATGCACCTTTGACAAGGCCCTTTCAAATGCAACCCCTGCTACCTCTATTTTCCAGCCACCCTGACCTCTGCCAGTGAGAGTGTGCTGTCCCTTCCGGGTCTGTTCACGAGCTGTAACCTTACGGTGACTAACCCCTTCTTTTGGCCTAAGCTAATTTGCATGGGTTTCTTCCATAACCAAGAGTCCCAACTCATATGTGACTGGGAGCCAAGGGTGCCCGTGAAACCAGCGGTCTCCAACCTTTTTGGGACCACGGACCTGTTTCGTGGAAAACAATTTTTCCACAGACAGGGGTGGGGGAGGATGATTTTGAGATGATTCAAGAACTTTACATTTATTGTGCACTTTATTTCTACTATTATTACATTGTAATATATAATGTATATACATGTATATATTATTACATGTTAATATATACAGTAACAGATCATCAGGCATTAGATCCTCATGAGGAGCCCACAACCTAGATCCCTTGCATGTGCAGTCCACAATAAGGTTCGTGCTCCTATGAGAATCTTGTCACCACTGATCTGACAGGAGGCAGAGCTCAAGCGGTAATGCTTGCTCACCTCCTGCTGTGAGGCCCAGTTCCCAACAGGCCATGGCCCAGTACCAGCCCCATGGCCCGGGGGTTGGGGACCCCTGCATTAAATGATCTGTCCAGCGGTTCTGATAAAGACGATGTTGGCAGACAAAGTAATCACTTACCCTCTATACATGTGGCTCTGTGCTACCCTAGAGGCTCAAAATCAATCAGCCTCACCAGGTAGGGGATTGTCTCCTGGGGGTGGGGAATTGGCATCATGAGGAGGAAGATGAGATGTGTTTAAGATACAAAGATCGGGAGGCTGAGGCAGGAGAATGGCGTGAACCCGGGAGGCGAAGCTTGCAGTGAGCCGAGATCATGCCACTGTACTCTAGCCTGGGCGACAGCGAGACTCCGTCTCAAAAAAAAAAAAAAAAAAGAAAAGAAAAAAAGATACAAAGATAAGAAAAGCAATATAATGTACTTTTTGTTAAGGAGTTTATAACACTGGTCATTTTAGGCAAGAGCAAAGTACTAGCATATGATGATTAAGCCCATTACTTTTACTCTCATAGAAGTGAAATTGGGCTGAGTTGGGATGCTTAAGTTCTTTTTCTGAGCTTTCTCTGGACACCAGTGGTTCTCAATGGGGAAAAGGGTGTATCTCCCAGGGGTATCCGTCAATGTCTGGAGACATTTTTGGTTGTTACACCTTACAGTAGAAAGGGTGAGGGGTGGGTTGCTACTGGCATCTGGTGGGCAGAGGCCAGGATGCTGTGTCACACCCTGCCATGCGCAGGTCAGCCCCCATGACAATAAAGTGTCCAGCCCCTGGGAAACACAGCTCTAGGCTTTACATTTCACCTCCATACAGGTATTTCCTGAACTTCCGGATCTCATCTAACTTATCATCAAAATGTAGTGGAAAGATGACAGAATTGGGAATGCAGGGTCCTCTTTCAGCTATGGGAGTAGCAATGAATAGCATATGATCCCTTGTAATTACCCAGTAATGTAAATTGAGGGAGAGCATTTGATTTCTTTCCCTACTAATTTCAAATATACAAGTAATGCATGAACATATTCTCCTGGTAAAACAATTTAAATACTACAGGTAAAAGTAAAGTCCTCCAAGAAATCACCCCTCACCCAAGCTCTCAGAAGCCACCATTTCAGTTTATTATCAGTTTGGTGCATATCTTTCTATAGTGAACAATGAGAAATTTCCTGCCCCCCTTAAATGTTTTATTTCACCAATCTGGTTGGAGTAGAATCATATCTTGTCAGTGTTTTAACATGCATAGTGCTAATTGCAGGTGAAACTGAGTATCCTTGCGTATACTTATTGACTTTTACTTCCTCTGTGAATTGCCTGTTCACCTCCTTCACTGATTTGTGTCTGTCTATGTATGTGTCTCTTATCCCTATTGATTAATACATACTATTATTATTATTCTTATTATTATTTTGGAGACAGGGTTTTGCTGTGTCACCCAGGCTGAAGTGTAGTGGTACAATCACAGCTTACTGCAGCCTCAGAATCCTAGGCTCAAGTGATCCCTCCACCTCAGTCTCCTGAGTAGCTGGGACCTCAGGCACACACCATCATGCCTGGCTAATTTAAAAAAAAATTTTGAGAAGATAGGGTCTCAGTATGTTGCCCAGGTTGGTCTCAAACTCCTGGCCTCAAGGGGTCCTCCCACTTCAGCTTCCCAAATTGTTGAGATTACAAGCGTGAGCCACCATGCCCAGCTGGCACATACATATGAGATGCATCCCAAGGTCTCTGTGTGTTCACCTGTATCCCTGCACACCACATACTGTATAATAGCTGTATGTTTCCTTGTCTCTCTCTCTCTGTCTCTCACACAGGCTGAACATATAATTGTGGTCTGAATTAAGATAGCATCCCATGATTCAACACTCATAAACATGATCTTTGTGCAATGCAGGTGCAAGATATTGGGGACATCATGCAAAAGTGAAACATGTCCAGTCCCTCTCCTCACGACACGTACACAAATCTACTTGTAAAAATAAACTAGTTGGTAATTGAACAAATGCCGAAAGGAAGCGTACACCACGGGCTATGGGGATTTAGAGATGGGAGGAATAATTTTACTTGGTGGTGTGGTGTTGGTGAGGGGTATGTGTGATGTGTGAGTATTCAGGAGTGCTGGGCTTACAGTATGGTTGTCTGGTTCAAATTCTAGCTCCAGCATTTATTTACTAGCAAGCCACCTAACCTCTCCAAGCCTCAATTTGTTTCCTCTTTAAAACAGGGTGTGTGTTAGAGTGTGAGTGATCATAATAGTACTGTTTAAGAATTAAATGAGGTGATCCTAGTAACACTTTTGTCAGCCATTACAGGAGAGAGGGTGGTACTTGAACTAGAACTTAATGCTAGAAGATACCTACATGGGTGGAAAGCAAATTTGTGAAGGTTTGGCTTTTACGCCACAATCCCTCATCCTTCTTTTTTACCCTTTCCTCCCTTATTCCTCCTGAACACACATTTCTTGAAACCTGCCCCAGCATGCCACCTATGCATTCTCTTTCACTTCTTGTAGGTTCCTCTGTAATGTCCTCCCATGTCCTGCTAGACCTCATCCTCCGAACCTCTTCCAACCTCCCTCCATCTGGAGTTGTTGAATAGTGGATCCCTTAAATTCATATCCACCCTTCTAGAACTTCAGAATATGACTTTATTTGGAAAGAGGCTCTTTGCAGAGGTGATTAAGCAAGGATCTTGAGATAAAATCACCCTAGATTTAGGGTGGACTCTAAGTGCAATGACTAGTATTCCTCGAATAGAAGAGAAGACACAGAGACATAGGGGAAGGAGGCCATGTGGAGATGAAGGCAAGGGCTGGAGTTATGTGGCCACAAACCGAGAAAGGTCAAGCACCACCAGGAGCTGGAAGAGGATAGGGGAGGATCCTCCTCTAGGGCCTTTGAAGGGAGCATGGCCCTTCTCATACCTAATATGAGACTTCTGGCTTCCAGAACTGAGAGAATAAATTCCTGTTGCTTTAGGCCATAAAGTTTGTGATAAGTTGTTATAGCAATGGGAAGTGAATCCACTATCTCATCAGAAAGGGGTCTTTTGGAAACATCCCACTCTGGTCATGCCTCTTGCCTGCCTTGCGTCATTCAGTGGCTGCCTACAGCCTGAGAGGTGAAGTCCCCTGGGGCCTGGCACACGGGGTCATCCACATGCGGCCACAGTTGCTGAGCTCTCCAGGAGCACCTGTCATCACCCATGACCAGCCATGGCCTGGGCCTGTGCTGCCCTCCCTGGCCCCACCCTCAGTCCTGTGCTGGTAATTAATTAAGATCAATAATTCAAATGGGCCCTTTCCACCTGACCAACAGAATGGTTTGCAGCATTCACCTCAGTGTCTTAGTACTCTTTAGTGGACAAAGGTTCCTATTATACTTCCTCTCAAGTTATGAATCATCTATAATCATCAATAAAATGTAATCTGAAGGATAATGTATACTGTACAATGTGAAATAAACAAAACATCTTTTTAGTAAAGAAAAGCTTTTACTTGTAATGTGACTAACCCCTATCTTTTCTTAAAATATCAGTAATAATAAGAGTTGGCTCAGGGGTCAGCCTTCCCTCATCCATCTCCACCCTGCAGCTGGCCTGGGTGCTGCTTCTAGATCCTAATACTATTATAGCTTGGGTAGGCATCTAGCTTATCACTCACCATTTCAAAGTCAATCTCCTTCACCAGGCCAGGCACAGTGGCTCATGCCTATAATCTTAGCACTTTGGGAGGCCAAGGCAGGTGGAACACACCTGAGGTCAGGAGTTCGTGACCAACCTGGCCAACATAGCAAAACCCCATCTCTACTAAAAATACAAAAGTAGCTGGCTGTGGTGGTGGGTGCCTGTAATCCCAGCTACTTGGGAGGCTGAGGCAAGAGAATTGCTTGAACCCAGGAGGCAGAGGTTGCAGTGAGCTGAGATAGCACCACTTCACTCCAGCCTGGGCGAAAGAGTGAAACTCTGTCTCAAAAAAAACCAAAAACACAAACAAACAAAAATCCCTTCACCAGAGAGGAAGGAAGACTTTTAACCATGTCCAATTCATCTTTGTGACCTAGCCACTCCAGCTGTGCTTGAACCACGGCAGGAGCTCATAGACACTGGTTGAATAATTGAATGAGTGAATGAGTATATTAATAGGCAAGGAGTTAGAGGGAAAGTCCTCTTTTAAATCTGCATTGGGACTCAGAATCTCAACACATGCAAATGGCTGATGGCATGGTTTTATATCTCTGGCATGACTGATTGAAATAAGAAATAGAAAGGAAGTTATTTCTGCTGGAGACACAGCATCTCAACTTTATTTGTCTTAATATAAAGCTTATAGCATATTTTCACAACTGCTGGCATGATTGATTGTAAGGAAACTATTACTAAAAAAAAATCTAAGTGATTAGAGTGGGCTCACAACGCCTATGTATGGATAAAAAGCATCATACAACCAGAAACCAAAAACTCTGCATAGGAGAGTTGTGTCCTTTTCAAATGCACAAAAAGCAAAAATAAAATCACTCTTATGTTCTCAAATCTATCTAAACTCCACAGAGTAAGCATCTTACACCTTCACGGATAATTGATTGAATTGTTATTAATGACCTTTGATGTCATTAGAGGCTGTTGTATTCAAACACACACACATACCTGTGTGCACACACACAAACACCCCCCCCCGCCAAAAGCCCAGTGTCCTTTGCATTATTTTCTAACCTCATGATATGTAACATAATTCATACACAGTGTTCTAAAGTTGGAAATTGTATGCACATGGCTGCCAATGTGTTCTGGAAATCTCCAACTCTGGACACAAAAGTGAAAACAGAGGAAAAGAAAAAGGGAAATTGACACATTTCAATAAACATTACAAACAATCAGTGCACTGTAATAATACTTGAAATAGATGCCAGGGAAAATTAAAATCCCTTTTATTTCCATTATTTTATTATTTTCATCATTTAGGGATTGAGAAGGCCTTACTATTGAAACCAAATTTCAAGCCAGACTAACTTATGGCATTTCTCCAAAAGTGGAAATGTTCTGAAACAAGGGAGCAGTTACAAATATAGACAAAGGGGCATTCCCTGACTCAGAGAGAGAGGAACCTTTAGAAACCACTGATTCATCCTTCTGCTTTCAGCCATGACTCTTCACTCTTAAGACACTCGCTGATGAATGAGCTTGTGTTATGATGACCTGCAGAGTGCAGGACAAATATTCTGAATCATACACCATGGAAGCGCGGCTGCATGCTCGGCATCTCCTTTCTAATTCTGGAAGAGTCTGCACTTGCCTCACATGCACCATCAGTCCTGGAGATCTGACCCCAGGATGTGGCGCTCTCTGTCCTCGCCTCTTTCTCCATTGCTTCTCCCTCCCTCCACACCAAAAGGAAAGTCCAGTCCAGTGGCCCTGAAACACACCCACTATGCACCAAGGACTGTGCCATGGCTGCTGGCCCTGCAGGGGCCTGACCCTCAGGAGGCCTGATAAAGGAAGGAGGGAGGGGTGTGTCTTCCCATGGGGAGCACAGGAGGGGTGCACTGAGGGGAGTCTGGGCACACAGCACAGATGCCGAGCAGCCCCCTCCACTCAAGGCTCGATCCAGAGGACACCCTGGTGCCTTCTTGATTTCCCAATGTTGCTGAATCTTCCCCCAGGAGGCCCCACTGGCACCTTCAACTCAACTTATGCAAAACACTGTTTCAATATGTGCTAACATTTTATTGGTCATGCACTTTTTATTAGCTGCTTTAATTTTTTGAAAGTAATTGAGGCATAAATAAATCATAAAAATAATAACTATTAAGTGCCAATGGCTGAGCCCTTCCTCCTCCTGCCTTCTCTGCTGCCTCCCTGTCTCCAGCCCATGCAGACCAGATGACTCGGGCCAACTCTGACTTCTCTTTGGCCATTCCTCTCCCCAGCCTGGTCCTTAGCTGCTCTTTGACTTCCCCCATGTATTGGCTCCCTTTCATTCCCACTACCTCCACCCAAGCCTGGGCCTCCAACCGCTCTCTTCGCTGCCTGCCCTGGCTCTTCTCCCTGTGTGAAATCTGCCAGCCAGGGCAGGATGAACTCCTGCCCACCTCCTGTCACCCAAGGCCCAGTTTTTTCTCTTAGACTGAGATTCTAGAAATACTAAATAAATTACTTGCTCTTGCCAGAACAGGACAATGACTTCCTTCTTTACAGTTGTACTCAACTGTTCGAGTCACCTGCAATACCCTCATCTTTGCTTGTCCAAATCCTTCCATCAAATCCAAACATCTCCACCATTTCTCAGTGGTTAGACCCAAGATGTGAGGGTTCCTGGCAGCCACATGTAGCAGGCAAGGAGGGAATGAACAAGATTAGGAAGAATTAAAGCAGAGCCATTTGGGGGAGCTTAGTTGATCGAACCTGGGGCAACTCTTTCCCAGGGGTCATAACTGGTCACTGAATCTGGGTTCTGGCTGACGGCTGGGAATGGAAGACCAGGAGCATGAGGGTGACTTGTAGCAAGCTCCCTGGATAACTGGCATATGGTCTGCGACTTGGCCTGGACCTTCAAATGGAAGGTCAGGGAGCCTAGGGAGGTGGGTTGAGGAATCCAGCCAGAAGCAGAGCCTGCCTCCATCTCCCCAGTCTTCGCAGCACCTCCCCCCGGACAGAACAAGGGTGGTGTTTGGCACACAATGAGCACTTCTGTCACTGCACACAGTGGGGGTGTGTATGTGTGTGTGCATGCACACTGATCAACATGGTGTCCTTTCCATATATGGTTCGCAATCCAACCCAAGGTGAAATGTATTTGCAATCCTCAAACTAGTAATGAATCTGATCGGATTTGCGTTCTTTTCTTCCAATAGCTTGGCAACGGGGAGAAATTGTTCAAGAAGCCTGGTGTGTGTTTGTTTGTTTATTGGGAGTGGTTTGCACAGATGGGATACAGCAAAAGGCTTTGGGACTGTTCTCGTCTGTGCTGTGTGCTCCTGGTCAACTCCCTTGCCTTTGCCTGCACAGGTCCAAAGGTGCCGGGTTGTTTCAGTTAATGAGTTTCATAGTCACACAGGATTTGGAGTCTAACAAAGGTAAGCAACTCCTCTGCTCACTGCTCATGTGACCTTAGGCAACTTCTTTGACTTCTCTAAGACTCATGTTCTTCATCTGTAAAACAACAGTAACAATAGTTGCCTCTTTATAGAGTTGTTGAGAGATTAGCTCAGATGATGCTTGTAAAGGTAGTTAGAACAATGCCTCCCACAGAACAAGTGCTCCATAAATTACTGCTGCTATTATTACAATGTTATTATTACAGTAGTATGGGAGCTTTGTTTATAGGGACCACTACCTCTGTATTAAAAGGCATTCCCAGGATCTCCAAGTGAGATCTTACTCAGTTTTTCTCCCTATGGAATCTCCTGGCTTACTGCCTGTAATAAGATGAATGGTGGGCCTCCAAAAGATATGTCCATGTCCTAATGCCTGGCAACTGTGAATATGACCTTATCTGGGAAAAGGGTGCATATGTAATTGAGTCAAGTATCTTGAGATAAAAGTTCATCCTGGATTATTCAGGTGGATCCTAAATCCAATGACAAGTGTCCTTGTGAGGGACACGCAGAGGAGAGACAGAGAGAAGAGGAGGCAGACCATGGAGATGGAGGTTGGAGTGATGCAGTCATAGCCACCAAACAACTGGAGCCCCCAGAAGCTAGGAGAGGAAAGGCACTGATTGGGCTCTGGAGCCTTGTGAGGGAGTACAGCCCTGCCAATGCCTGGATCTCAGACTTCTGGCCTCTAGAACTTTGAGAGAATACATTTCTATTGTTTTAAGCCACAAGTTTGTCGTAATTTGTTACGGCAGCCCAAGGAAACTGATCCACTAACAAGTAAGTTCTAAATATCATCTTGCTTTCTTTTTCAATTCCTTACAAAACACAAGGAAACGAAAAAAAGTAGCTGAGAGTGATAAGACACACTAATGGATAGATCTTGATGTTCACTAAAGTGGATATCCAATTGTTTATGGTGTTCATTAACGTGAAATCATTTTTTTCCTTCCACCAGTTATGAGAGAAGAGTGATCACAGAGCAAGTGACAGATGCCACCATCACATCTGCATGTTCAATAGTGGGCGGTGAAAGGCGCAAGCCCATGAAAAGCTCAAGCACCACCCCAGGACATTCATGGGAAACGGGTCACATTGCAGTTATAGCACAGAGGACACAGATACACACAAGTGACACCACAATGAAGACACTTTGCAGAGAAGTGTATATGGGAATTAGGGACTGGAGAAAAAGGAAAAGGAAAAATCTAAAACATAAGCTTAATTAGCCAGGAGTAACAGAATCACCTTAGTGATACAGAGACCTTGGAAGTTCACCCTCCAAAATAATGGAAACCGTCATCACCTCTCCAACCTTAGCTTGAATACTTCCAGGAATGGAGAGTTCACTATCTCACAAGGCTGCATTATCTGAAAGCGATATTTGAAATATCTTTCTCAGTCAGAGCCAGAGAAAATGTGTCTCACTGTACCATGCACTACTGGTGCTGTTTCTGATTTAAGAACTGTACACAATCCTTACATTCATTTACTCAACAGATACTGCCTAGGGCTGTGCTGTGCACCAAGCACTGTAATTACACAAGGGATCTAGAGGCTTAGGAGCCCTCTGCTCTCAGGACAAGGCCACACTTCAGAGAGGTTGCTATGGGATCTCTAACTTCCCTCCACCAGCTCTTCTCATTCTCAGACTGAATCTAAAACATTACCAATAGGAATACCATTAACCAACATAATGAAAAATAATTGTACCAATAGCATTAAAAAAAACCCAAAGCAATCTCAAAAACCATGTCATAGAAACCAATGGGCAACTGCAAAAGGGAGGCCTCTTGAAAAAGTGACACTAATTCAGATTCTTTTGTCATCCTTCATTCCCAATCAGTCATGACACACAGTTCCACCTGTGTGTCACCACTCCCTGGACTCTGAGTTTTCAAAGGTCCCAGCCCCGCTTTACTCCACAGGACCCAGGGGACTCACACACCCAGGGCCAACATCCCTTCAAGAAAGCTGATGGTTTAGAAGGAGAAAAAAAAAACCTGTAGAAATGGAGAGATGTTATAAAATTTAAATAAGGAAAGTAAATTGAATAAGGTAAAAATAAGTAAGTAAATAAATAAATACGACAACTGTAAAAGGCACAGCACAGCGGGCGGGAACAGTAGAAGTGCTGAAACTCATGAACAAAAGAGCTTGTCCCTGAGGTGAAATTTGATACAATTTTATTGGCCTTTGTGAAAGAAATAGGAGAAATAACATTTTATTTATTTGTAAGCCATCATAATTGCTAAAGAAATTTTGAAAAAAAGAAAATTAATGAGATGAATTAAAAGTATAGTAAATGACAATAATTAACAGTGTGGTTCTGGACCAGAACCACAGATCAATGGAACGAAAGAAACTCCAAAAACAAACACTGATACGTTGAAGACTTTGCGATGAATAAAAGTGACATTTCCAAACCAAGGGAGAATGGATGAATTACTCAACGCGTGCCTCTAGGACATTTATGGAGGGAAAACATTATATCTCTCTTTTATCAAAATAAAGTCAAAGCATTGAAATGTAAAAAGAAAGAAAACCATAAAAGTATTAGAAAATCCAAGTGGAGGTGAAGGCAGCTCTCATTTTTCTAACCGCAAGACTAAACCACAACAACACAAGTGAAGCATTGAGAGCTCTGACCAAAGAATGAAAAAAAGTATTTGCATAAAAAAAATTAACAAAAATCCAAAGGCAAACAACAAATTGGGGGGAAATATTGAAAATATGTATAAAAGGCAATTCTTTACATATAAAGGATATCTTAAATTATAAAACAAATGACAAACAGACCCATAGAAAAATGGGCAAAGATCACGAAGATGCCACCCACAAATCAGTAAGTGCAAAGGGACAAAAGTATCTGCAAAACTGTTTAATCTCACTAGTTATCAAAATAATGTGAAGTGAAACAATAGTTTAATTTGCTCATTTATCAATTGGTGAGGATTTTAATAAACAAGAAAATAATGTATGTACTATATTTGTAAAGATACAGCTGGGCGCGGTGGCTCACGCCTGTAATCGCAGCACTTTGAGAGGCCGAGGCGGGCAGATCACGAGGTCAGGACATCGAGACCATCCTGGCTAACATGGTGAAAATCTGTCTTTACTGAAAATACAAAAAATTAGCCGGGCGTGGTGGTGGGCACCTGTAGTCCCAGCTACTTGGGAGGCTGAGGCAGGAGAAAGGCATGAACCTGGGAGCAGAGCTTGCAGTGAGCAGAGATCGCCACCACTGCACTCCAGCCTGGGCGACAGAGCAAGATTCCATCTCAAAAAAAAAAAAAAAAAAAGATACAAGGAAATAGGAAATGCTTTCATATATTTGTAAAGATATAAGGAAATGTTTTTTGTATGTGTTAGTAGAATTGTAAATTCATAAAAACTATCTGATGGACAATTTGGCAATCTCAGAAACTTTAAAAATGTGCATATACCTGTGCCCAAGTTCTACTTTTTAGAAATTTTTTTTAAGGAAACTAATATATCAATGTATAAAGATTTAGCTAAAAGGATATAAAAGCCAGAGTTATTTGCATATGAGATAAATGGTTAAATAAACTGTCAGATTCCAATGAGATCACTTGGACACAGGGTGGGGAACATCACACACAGGGGCCTGTCGGGGGGTTGGGGGCTGGGGGAAGGATAGCATTAGGAGAAATACCTAAGGTAAGTGATGAGTTGATGGGTGCAGCAAACCAACATGGCACATGTATACATATATATCAAACCTGCACATTGTGCACATGTACCCTAGAACTTAAAGTATAATAATAAAAAAAAAGAAAATGAACAAAGGTAAAAAAATTGAAAAATAAAAAATTCCTCTTTAAAATAAATAAATAAATAAATAAATAAATAAACTGTCAGATTCATGCAATGGCGTGAATGTTTACTGCAGCAGTTCTCAGGCTGTGGTCCCTAGACCAGCAGCTCCAGCACCATCTGGGAACTTGTTAAAAATGCAAATTATCTGGCCCTTTCCCACCTACTCAATCAGAACCTCTGGAGAGTGATGCCCAGCAATCTGTATTTTAACAAACCTTCTGTGTGATTCTGATGCACAGTATAGTTTGAGAACCTCTCTCTTGGTGCATAAGTCAGGGTCCTAGGAGGAACTAGATGAGACACTTGAATTGGTTTTTTAAAGTATTTTGAACTATTCACAAAAAGAAAGTAAACCACGAGCATGGTGCAGTTACCATTGTCTCAAGGGGATGGTAACTGGAACCCAGGGAGAGGTAGCTGGGTGGGAATGACTGCCTGATGGAGCAGGCAAGATGGAAAGGGGGAGGGGATGGGATTGGAGGGGTAGATGGGAGATGTGTGGCACATGCCCTCATTGTAAAGGATTGTGCAGGAGAATATCCACATGAAAGGTGTTCATGAAATATCCAGTTTTTAAAAAGCGGTACCCAGCTCCTTTTTCATTCAGAAATATATATCATACATATTTTGTATGCACCCACAGATATGCATGAAAAAATGCTTGTAGGATATATGCCAAAGTATTAACAGTAGTTATGTCCAGATCTTGAGATAATGGGTAAGTTCTTATTACTTGATCCTTTTTGCTTATCTATGTTTTCTAAAAGTTCTACAATAAACATGCAAGAAACAAATTTAATGCATTCCCTTAAGCAAAATCATGAATATAAGAATCTCAAAGAAAATTGGAAAACTGGTGTGTTTCCCCAATATCTTAATTTTTATGGTTTATGTATAATAACCACCCATATTGGTCAACCTGTATTGCCTTTTACCTTGACAAGTTTTTGGAAGCAATGTGGTTGTAAGAAGAGAAAATGTAGTAAGTAATAGTACTATTTAGTAAACATTTCTTCAGTGACTACTCCAAATAAAACACTGCACAAAGTGCTTCCTGAATTATCTCAATCAATACTCACAAGAAGCTTAAAAGCCTTATATTATACTTCACTGTATTGATAAGGAAATTAAAGCTAAGATACATGAGTTATCTGTACTAGACTACATCTTCACTCTTCATCTTAGGGGAGCAAGGACTCAGACCAGAGCTGTCTAAGGCCAAAATCTGTGCTCTACATTTCTGTGGATGTGAGGAAATATGATTTTGAAAATAATGTATTGGCTGGGCACGGTGGCTCATGCCTATAGTCCCAGCACTTTGGGAGGCCAAGACAGGTGCACCGCTTGAGCTCAGGAGATTAAGACCGGCCTGGGCAATGCGGCGAAACCCCATCACTACAAAAAATAGAAAAATTAGCCAGGTTTGGTGGCATGTGCCTATAGTACCAGCTACTCAGTAGGCTAAGGTGGGAAGATCTCTTAAGCCTGGGAAACAGAGGTTGCAGTGAGCTGAGACTGCACCACTGCACTCCAGGTTGAGTGACATAGTGAGACCCTGTCTCAAAAAAAGAAAGAAAAGAATATATCAATTTTATCCTTATAAATGTAAACCCTGTGACAGCACAATTCACTGCATAATTTCACACAGTAATTTATTATTCTATGAGTACAGCAATGGTTTTCATGTAAGTATCTGAATATTACAGTCAAAATTATTATTTTAATAGTCTACTCAGAAATGATTTAATATATCAAATGTAAAAACTTTTTTTTTATACTTTGGTCTTGAATAATGCAGCCAGAGGAATGAATCTACTGATAACATTTTTTTGGATGTTTGATAGAATCTACTGGAAAGAATTCATTTTCAACTATGAAAACTCTGGAGTTTCCTAAAGATTAATTCAAGCCATTATACCTGAAGCAACACTTCCCACAATGTTTAATGTGTCCCATAAATGTTTGATTTTGGGCTTATAGTCTGAGTGGTACTTTTTTATACGCATGCCTCTCCTATTGAATGTAAATTCCTTTGAAATAAAGATGCATATTTTATTAGTATTGACTTCCACTATGCCTAGCACAAAGCCCAGGTTTGCGAATGAACATGTGTCAGTCAGGACAGGCTAAATTATGCTGTGGTAACAAATAGCCCCTCAAATCTCATTGACTTAATCTGATAAAACTTTCTTTTCTCATTCACACTACATGTCTAATCTGGGTGGGTAGGGAAGGCCTGCTTATAAGAAACTCATGCTGATGGAAGCTTCAGCTTGACCCATGCTTTCCTGATCACTTTGGTGTGGGAAGATAATGTGGTGAATGGCCTCATAAACTTCAACCTAGAGGTAACACACATCACTTCCACTTATTCCACTGGCCAGTGCAGATCACATGACCACGCCTAAGGTGAACAGGGCTACCACATGCCTGGAAGATGGAGAACCAGAAACATCTGGTACAATATTAAGGACTGGCACAAAAAGGTTTTGGGAATGAATCATGAAATTATTAATTAGCACTTGTTAATTCATTTACTCACTAATGACAGCCTACTATCTCAGGTTATCTTTTCTGACACGAATCAAGCCAAACATAGAAATAGATACACATCATTTTGAGGTTGCAGTTGTGTTATCGCTGAAATATTAATTTTATTTCATTATGTGTGGCAAAATTCATATTAATTCTACATTTACTCACTAGTTTGATCTTTCCAGAGGTACTAAGATAAGAGAAATACCATTGATTAATAATGACCATTAAGAAAAGTGAGAGAAGAAAGACTGGCTTGGGCACACCCCATAATTCATTCACTTAATTCAGTGAACACCTACTGGGGGCCTGCTCTGTCCCAGATACCTCAGAGACTCTGCGAGTATGAAGCTGACGAACACTTAATGCACACCAAAATCTTAAAGTATTGTAAAGAATAAGTTTTTCTTTATATGGTAGTCTTTCATGTACAAGATATTTGTCTTGTTTTCCTTTTATAATTTTATTAAAAAGTCATTTTTAAAAAACTTCCAATTATTGATCTTTCATCACAGTTTAGAATTGGTAGAATTTATTTCCCCCAGTTAAGTGTTCTTAACTATTTAACTGCAGTGCTAATTTTCTTCCTTTATTACTGTCACTGGACTCATTCTGGATTTACTGTTTTAAACGAACAAAGAAAGACACTAGTGAAATGTAGACTGTTGCCAGTCTAAGTGGTTCTGTCCATGAACAAAAGACCTTTGTGAGCACAGGCCTTTTGTGTTCATTCACGAATCTGCTGTTACACCTGTAAGATTGTTGTACTGGACCTGGGAAGGTGGCAGGACCTCTCTGAGCTCAGCATGCCTGTGAGCACAAGGGTTTCTCTGAAGTCAATTTCATAAAATCAGTGTCCATTGTATCCCATGATAAATGCTCGCCAGGTTTTATTATCTTAGAGACAATTGCTGCAGAGAAAAGTCAAAACGGTAATACAAACTGAGTAGAGAGGTACACACTCAGCAAATTTATCAAATAGCCTGTTTTAAATCAACCTCCCTGTGTTCACTATACAAAGCATTTCAATAATACATATATATAAAATTCTTTTGCCAAAGTAAAATACAAATTTCTGTAAAGACTTTATAATAATTTTTAGTAAACTCAATTTCCTTATAAGATGAATTTGTTTTCCTTTGTTTACTTGTTCTTCCTATTTTCATCTTGGATTTTAACCAAAAAATATCTTTGAAGAGTTATGAACCTTTTTTGTCCCCAAAGTCTCCTTTTTTCCCCTCCAACTTCCAGTTGCCATGTATTCTAGCCCTCTTGGTATATTCTCTGTTTATTGTTTATTTTTAAGAATTGTATTTCTTTGAGGACATTTTAGAAAGTTGTTAAATTTAATAGCAGCATATTGTGTCTTCATAAGGACATTTACATGTGTGTACAATTTCATAATTTCCAAGAACTTTCCTATATGTGGTCTCACTTGGTAGAGCAAAGCACAAAGTTTGTTATTTTGAAAGTCGTGCTACAAGTTAGCCAGCCACTTGAGGATGTTCCTCAGGAGGTGCATGAATTTACTCCATGACTTGAAAGCAAAAGGCAGGCTCCCTAAGTCACCTGAGCTGCAGCCTTGCGTTGTAGTCTGTACCCCTCACAGAAGGTTACACTAAATACAAAGTTCAAGATTGGGGAGGAGCACCTGGGTAGATGAAGCAGTCTCAGTAATGTTCCAGTTCTAAGTTTACATATGTTCTCTGTACATATCAAATGTTACATAATTTTAAAAATAAAACAAAAAGATAATGCCTAACCTTTCCAGAAAATTATACCTATTTCACTATGGAAGAAACATCACTCTGCAAAAATGCATCTTAGAACCTACCAGTGAAGGAAGGTTTGAGAGCAGGGAGATGTCTCCAGCAGAAACAGCGCAGTGTGGCTTAAGACATTCCTGCTTCCTGTGCTGGAATACAGGGCTTTCTTGAAATTTCCTCTTTAGGATGCTAGGGGCAAAAATTTCATTTCAAATGCATACTAATGTTTCCTAATATACACTATTTACCCCCACAAACAAATACACCTAAGGTGTAAAGAAGAACAATACAAATGCTCGTGAAAACCACTGATTACTACAACGAGAATATAATTCACTGGAGAATGGAGGAAACTTTCACGACCTAGAAATGCAAAGGGGACAAATAGCAACTAACCTGGGGAGATTTTACCATAATTTATTTTGTCTTTGACAGATAAAGCAGGTGAATGAATGAGTGAATGAAATTGGTCTTCTGATATTTAACTAGTAAGGAAAAATTAATAGTACATATCAAACTTGTACCTACTAAACAGGAAGTACATCTTCCTTGTAAATGGAACATGCTCAAATATATCAATATATTTGACAAACCACATCACTGGACCACAATGCAGAAATGTTAGAAATTATTAATAAAATTTTAGACACAGACATGTAAACACATTACTACTTGGAAAGATTGTTGACTATTGTAAATAAGTATTTTGCCATAGAGGAAATCAATACCACATTTATAGAACCTTAAGAAAATGGAGGCAGTCATTCATTATTTGCAAATCCAAGAAATAATTTTAAAATACTATTAGAACTGACATGGAATTTGAGTAACAAGATTAAGGCTACATCTCCAAAGAGAAATTGCTTTTCTAACAACTACCAAAAAAAAAATTACAATCTTCAAAAAGTAAACATCTCATTTATCTCATCAACAAAAAGCATAAAATACACAGGCATGTACCTAGAAGTGCCTTGTTCTAATAAAATAGTAAATATTATCTCAATCCTGTATGCTTCACATGAACTCTTTCTGATTCTCACAACTCCACAAGTGGGGTTACTGTCTCCATGTTTACTATACAAAGCATTTCAACAATATATATAAAAAATTCCATTTTCCTCGGTCAGACCTCAGGAAAATGACGTCTGGACAACTAAGTAAATTGTCAGATGCCACATAGCTCTTGGAGAGGCAGGCTGGAAACCTCTGTCCTTCTTCAAAGCCTCTTCAAAGTCTTTCCACTCTCCACTGTCCCTTGATCAGCTGCACAACCAATACAAAGAAAACAGATGCTGACAAGAGGGCTCTGAACTGAATGTAGAGACATCTATGTCCCCAGATGGGAAAACTAGACATGAGAAAGACTTTTTTCCCCTTAAAATAATGTACGGGTTGAATGTAACTCCAACCAAAATCTCTATGAGACTTCCTTTTTGTAGGGGGAGACACTTTTGTGGAAATGTTACCCCAAAGTTCACGGATATACATCGACAGGAAAGGGAATACATATGCCCATCTCCATTCTCTTTTTCCAATGCTGACCAGACAGCAGAAGAACACTGTAAAAGCAGTAATTTCACAAGGACAAGAAAATTCAAGAAATAATGACAATGAAACAATCCATATATTTTTTAACAATGGGCTTGATGGAGATCAGTGGTTTTAAAAAAAAATGCAAAGACCAAAAACTAGTGCCCCAAAAAGGAAGTCAACAGGAAACAAGCCAATTCACATCACAGAATCATAGAAAGTTCTAGAACTCGAGAGAAGCCTACATAAGAGAAGGTGTATATAGGGAAAGCTGGCTCTCGCATCCTCTTACCCACCCCAGCAATCAACAGAAAGTTTATTCTCAGAGGAATTTTTTTAAAAGAAGCTCCAGACTAAGAGGCACCAGGCACAGAAGAGGAGTGACGGACATTACTAAATTGCACCATGCTGACTTAAGCCTTCTCCAGCTCCCAAACTCACAGTCAAGCTCATATCCACAGGAAGAAGTCTGGAGGCTTCTCTGAAGAAAACAACCAGCTCAGGGGGAAACGCCTACAGATATGAAGACCCGAGGGCCCCCGGAATGAAGTGAGCTCCACCAATTGATAGACTAAATCTCATTCCTAAATGTGACCACAGAGCCAAGGACCACCAGATAGTTGAAGAAAGCTTCTAACAGGAAATATAGAGACCAAAACAAACAGGCAGGTAAAAAGAACTTGAAAGAAACAGAGATATTAAGGAACAGAAGAAAACTAACAAAAACAACAACAACAAAGCAATATTGTACCCTTATAAGAGAGAGCTCATCCATGAAACAGGAATATGAGTCTATAAAAAAGAATAAAGAGCAATATAATGCTCTGAAAAATTAAATACTTCTATCCAACATATTTTAAAAAACCATTTGAAACTTTAGTTCTGGATTGTTACGATTTTATTAATTTATGCCTCTTATTATTAGGACTTTTTTGTTCACAGTTGTATTCCCAAAATACATAGTTTCAAAATACATTTTGGCTTACCTGTGAGATTACTGCTTTCAATGCTTATAACTGTCTCACGTATGTACTATCTTTCACTTGTATTTGTTCTGTATTCTGATGGGTTTTAATGAGTGGTATAGGTCCTTGAACATTTTTTTTCCCAGAAATTATGCATTAACAGAATATTTCCTAAGTATTTTCACATCTCAAAGTATATTTCATTTGTAGCTATACAAATACTAGTTTGTCTACACAAAGGAATCCAGGTTCACAATCTTGGTGAATCTTGCTCCTTTGTCATCAGGCAATTAGTGTGGTAAATGAGCTGTTTGATGACACTTTAGGTTGATCTCTCCCATCTTTTTTTTAGTTTAGAGATCTATAGAATTTATGTCTTTACTCATGAAATTAGAACATATTATTAGGATATGTATATGTATGTGTCTTTTTCAATATCTTGTATGGGTTTGGGAGAAATTTTCACCAGCAACCTCAAATCTTTCTTTAGCCTAGGTAAATTTTCTCTTATATATCTTTAAATATTATCCCTTCTCCATCTGTTCCAATTAGAGTGAAGAGAATAAACATATGTTGGATACACTAAATCTATCCTCTCAGTCACTTCTATCTTGTAATTCCTATTTATATTTTCATTCTATGTTCTGTGAAAACCCCTCAAGTTAGTTTCTAAATCCCTAATTCAATTTTTAGCAATGTTTATTTGGTATTTGTTGCCAATATCAGTGGGGCTCCTTCAGCAATCACATTTTAAATTTCCTTTTTCAAAGCAGCCTACTTTTTTGGCACAATATCCCCCACAACTCTCCTTGAGATTGCTAATTGAGATGTTCTTCAATTTTTATTTTAAAAATTAATTCTGTTTTATGCATTTTCCCAAACACTTCACATCTTCCCCCAACCCATCTGATCTGCTGCTTTTCTTAAAGTGTCTTCAGTTAAAATCCTTCATTGTCTGTCCATGTTTATCAAAGAAAAGTGTAAATCAATCATTTTTACAAGGTTTACTAAGTACTTTCTGTGCCCCAGGCAGAATACTAAAGAATGGAAACTCTAAGTCAAGGAAACCCCAAAAATAATCTTATGAGATCATGTTATCCTCCCTGAGTGTCACCTGGGGAAGAAAAGGTGTAGCCAGCTGCACCCAGTTGGGAATTTTTTCCAAATTACTGAGATCTTTCTGCCTCTTGGCTCCACTCACTTCTCCAGCCTCTGTCTTGGGACCACGGGACCATCTCTGCAGTCAGGGCTGTAGGTGCCAGGAGAAGTCAGGAAAGGGCACATGAACTGATTTTTCTGTTTCTTTTTTTCTTGTATTTGCTGTGCAAGCCCGGAGTTAGCTGGAGGCCTGTCCAGGTAGGAGCCAGCCGTGGCCCACCCCCCACTTTACTTAGCAAGTTGTCCACGCCAAGTGAAGCCTGGGGGCTAGGCCGCAGCTGCCGTCTGTGTGGGGGGGCGCTGATAAAGATGCTGAAGTCCTTCATCACCCGCTCCCTGGCCCATGGACCTTCCCAGCCACAGCTGTTCTGAGCCAAGAATGTGGCAGGTGTCAACTTGGGACTCCTATCTTCTCTGGATGCCCTGCTGTGCCTGTACTGGGCGGAGGATCACAAAGCACTGACTGGTTTCTTTGCCATTGTGACGCCATCTTTAAAATGCTGATCCAGGCCTGATGCAGTGGCTCATGCCTGTAATCCCAGCACTTTGGGAGGCCAAGGCAGGTGGATCACTTGAGGTCAGGAGTTCAAAACAAGCCTGGCCAGAATGGTGAAACCCCATCTTTACTGAAAATACAAAAATTAGCCAGGCATGATGGCAGGTGCCTATAATCCCAGCTACTCAGGAGGCTGAGGCATAAGAATCACTTGAACCCAGGAAGCAGAGGTTGCACCGAGCTGACATTGCACCACTGCACTCCTGTCTGGGTGGCAGAGTGAGACTCAATCTAAAATAAAATAAAATAAAATGAAATAAAATGCTGGTTCAGTGACGGTAGCCTTCCAATGTTAAAGCAAATCTAACTGAAATCAATTGGTCAGAGGAATACACAGTGTTATAGACAGCGTAACTAAAAGCTTTCTTAGAAAGTTAAGTAACCTTGGTTCAAATCCTGGTTTCACAAATTACTATGTGAACTTCAGCAAGTTATTTTACTTCTCTATTTCCTTTTCTGTAAAATAGTGAAAATAATAGGGTTATTGGGCAGAACAATGAAGTAAGACACTTAAAACAATTCAGCACAGTGCCTGATTTGCAGTAAGTACAATAAATGTTAGTTATCATCATTTTTAACCATAAGATATATTGCACTGCAAGAAGATATCATGAGATAATATTAGACAAACCCAAAATAAGGGACATTCTATGAAATAGAATTGCATTGCATTCAGCAATGCCAAAAGATATCTATGACCACTACAGTAATTCAAAATTGTTTGAGTTTTACTTTTTTTGATGAAAAAAGAAGTAAAAATAGTAGAAAATTAAAAGTAAAATCATCATTATTTGCAAATCATGCAATATATAAAGTCTAAATAAACCCTATTGTATGAGTGTGTTAATGTATAAAATATGTCTGAAAAAAATTTTGAAGAATATATCTGTAAATATTTTTATTTTAACTTTTAATTTTTGAATAATTTTAGGCTTATAGAAAAGTTGCAAAAATAGGGCAGAGTTACCATTTATCTTCCACCAAGCATCCTCTTAAGTTAATATCTAATCTTACATCATCATGATACATTTGTCAAAATTAAGTATTGGTACAGTACTATAAACTACTGACATTTGCATGTTTTACCAACATCACTTTTCTGTTCCAAGATTCAATCCAAGATCCCACATTATACTGTTATGTCTCCTTGCTCTCCTCTAATCCATGAGAATTCCTCAGCCTTTCCTTGTCTCTCAGGATGTGGACATTTCAAAAAATTCTGGACAGTTATTTTGTAGCATGACCCTTATTTTGGGTTTATCTAATATTCTCTCATGATTAGACTGAGGTTGTGTGTTCTGGATAAGAATACACAGAAGTGATGTGTCTTTCTCAGTGCATCATATCTGGAGGTGATATCGATATGTCAACATGATGACAATATGTTTTATTACTGGTGATAATTGACTTTGATCACATGGTTAAGGGGGTCGCTGCTCTAACCTCATTATTTTTTCTTTGTAATCAATACGTATTTAAGGGGGAGATACATTGATACTATGCAAATATTGTATTTCTCCTAAAACTTTTTAGCTTCTAATTTTAGCATTCATCTGTGGATTTTATTTGCCACAATTATTACAGGGGTGTTCTGATGGTAATTTTGTATTTCCTTAATTTCTTCTATGTTTATCAATTGGAATTCTTCTGTAGGGAAGAACTGTCCCTACATTTTTGAGACTCATTTACTTTCAGGGCTGAAGAAGACATTGGAGTCTTCTGAGATTTCAGTTTGCCAGCAGTGTAGACATCACCTGAGAGCTTCTTAGAAATGCAAAATCTCAGGCCCTATCCCAGACCTACTAGATCAGAATCTGTATTTTAGCAAGATCCTTGAGGTACTCATGTTCTTCAAAAGTCACTTTAGTTCCATGTCATCAAGGGACTTGATCAATTGAGTGTAAACTTGAAGTTAGCAGCAGAGCCAGACCACACCTCAGTCTCCTGACTCCCAATGCACTCTTCTTTTCTTATTTGATTGATCCATTCTCTAGAGAAATCCAAAGAGTACAGGCTTTGGACTCAGACCCAAATTTAAGTATCCAACACTGTTTACCTAGCAAGCTACTTAACCTCTCTGAACCTGAGTTTCTGCATATGTAAAGGGCAGGGCAAATATTAGCTAACTTTAAGGATCACAGTGAAGACAAGAGCTACTAGATGGAAAGCATCTGGCAGAATGGCTTGGGCATGAGGACACAGAGACATGCAGGCACATCCTCTTCCAGGAGGGACTGCAGCCAGGTGCTGGGAGTGCTGTCAGCACATGCCTTCAGCTGCTAGCCTCTTCAAGCCTCACCCAAGGTCATGCCTTTTCAGTGGTGACTCACATCCAAAGACAGGGATGTGGAGGCCCAGGCATTTTGGCCAGACACAGAATGGGACAACCTTGATGTCCATTTCAGCTCCAGAACTCTTTGAGGTCTGCTGGCCTTCTTTCTGCTCTGTCCTGTTTTATAGCTCACCTCTCCCTTGGCTCATTCCCCTTTCTGCCCCCTTCCTTCACAGATGTTGAATTCAAGGGCACTCCCTACACACAAATCCATCTCAGGTTTCATTTCCAGAAGAACCCAAACTGCCACATGGCACAAAATAGATTCTCAAGAATTGGGAACAACTGTTATAAATATTATTATGCCTTTGGGGGATGAGCTTTGCAAATTGCCCACTATCACTAAATAGAAAGTGACCCAAATATGTACTAAGTTTTTATTATACACCTGGCCTAGTGCTCAGCTTAGGGATATAAAGTTTAGTAAAACAATGCTAAGTGCTGTCTAGTAGGGAAGACTGAAAATAAACTAGACGGTGCAATTAACCCAAACATCATTCTGGCAAGACTACTGTGGCCAATGGCCAGTCCCTTCGCAGCTGAAACTCTCCTGATACACACAACTTGAAACAGCACCATCAAGGGCCATTACTGGAGAACCCTAGTTGGGAGATGGAAGATGAATCATCACTCCTTTTTTAATTAAAAAAAGGGTACATGACCTGATTTTAAACTAAAGAAATTTATTGTTTTCTTAAAAACTCTTTGTTTACCTTTGATACAAAAAAGTCCACAAATAGATGTAAGCAAGTTCTGGACATCCAAGCCATGATGAATATGGAACTGAGTTTTATAGCTCTGCTTTCAAAAGTACCTCTTACACGTTTATCTATGGTTTCATTTCATCTGTTCTGCAATAACAAAAGAAAAACTACATTGTGCTTCAATTGCAAAGGAATGGGCACTGAAAGCTGAACAAAATCATGTTTCTTCAAGCAAAGGGCAAAATGCACTCTATGTCACTATTTCAATTGGATGAAATGGTGTAAAGCTCAATTCTCAATTATTTACTGTAATGCAAGATGCTTAGCCTGGAGTGCTGTTAAAAAAAAACAAAACTACATTCTTTCAAGATTAAATGCATATTACCATTAGAGAAATCAGAATAGGCACATTAAAATATTTACCTGGGAACTACCTATTATTCTTTAGCTCTGGCTTTGAAAGCCTAGTAAAGGTTTCCTTGGATAACAGACAACTTTAATAGTCTTTCACAACAAAAGTTAAAAGTACAAAATTTCCATTACCCACTGCTGGCCAGAGGCAAGTTCCTCAAGGGGTATGCAAATACACTGCCACATAAAGCAGCCATAAAATAGTCTTTAGAAGCAATATGGCACCCCCAAAGTGGCAAATAACCTAGTTCCTGTATCCCAGTTTGATGATCTTCACCACCTACTCAAGTCCTCCATCTTCATTTCTTCATGTCCACATATTCTGGGATAAGCACCATACACTAATGGGCCATGAGCTGTCTGTGCACAGACATGGGGCTTGGCCAGTGCCCTGCTGCCACTGGCTCCTGATTAGCCTGGCACATCTTCCTTGTCTGCATGGAGTGGGCATCCCCAAAGAAGCCTTGTCCATCATACATCCTCTATTTCTCCCCTTCAGAAGCTTCTCTCTTTAAAGACATGATACTTCAGTGAAATTCCATCTAAGAACCACCAGGTGAATAGACAAGCAGTGGTTCAGAATTGTTACAGTAATGCTTGGGCAACTTATTAAGACTCGAATTTCCAGGTCCAACTGTAAATGTTCCATTCCCTTTCTCCCCTTTTCACCAGTTAAGGCTTATTCATTTCCTTATTATTAATTCAAAATATTATATACTGCCTTATAACCAAAATATTTCAGTGATGGCATTGATACATATAATCTAGTGGTTCCCAACCAGAGGCAATTTTGCTCCCCATGGGACATTTGGAAAACTCTGGAGATATTTTTGATTGTTACAACTGGAGAGGGTAGGGTGGGTGCAGCTGCTACTAGCAAGCAGAAGCCAGAGATGCTGCCAAATATCCTACAAAGCAAAGGGCAGCCTCCAACAAAAAAGAATTATTGGACCCAGAATGTCAATAGTGCCAAGGTGGAGAAACCCTAAATCCAATACCACAGAAAATTAAGTGGAAAAGGAAATTAGGACAAAGCAAAATTGGAAGCAAGATAGTAAAATTCAGTCAAAGGCAAACATTTTGCTGTAAATGGGGATAGATTTGGCTTTGAGTTTCCTATCAGCCAAACCAAAGAGGAGACACGGGGTAGTGGAGAGAATCACATCTTCCATTGTAAGGGCCCCAAGTGATAAATCCAGGTGTGATTTAACTGTGGCTTCTTCTCACCGCATACCACTGTGCAAGGAAGGAAGGAGCAAAAACCAACACCGTTCAGCAAGAGCAGTTCTACAAAGGACCCAAAGTGGTAGACCCAAGTCAACTTCCACTCTGTTATTATTATTTTTTTTTACCCTGGAGGTGACACACAGAAGATACAGAGGGTTGGGTAGCCTACAGATCTTTCATAAAATGATTTAGTGCTCTGTTTCTCACAACCATCCTCTGGATAACACTTGGGCAACAGAGAGTTTGAAATTATCTCTTGTGGCAATACATGAGAGCATACAGACTTTTCAATTAAGGGCAGAGACATATTCTCTAGACCTCTACAGCAGGAAGACACCTCTGCCTCCAGAAGCTGTTCATGAAGATATAAGAAAGACATGCCTGTAATCCCAGCACTTTGGGAGGCCAAAGCGGGAGGATTGCTTGAGCCCAGGAGTTCAAGAACCAATCTGGGCAACATAGCAAAACCCTGTCTCTACAAAAAAATACAAAAATTAGCCAGGCGTGGTGGCACATATCTGTGGTCCCAGCTACTCAGGAGGCTGAGGTGGGAGGATCGCCTGAGCCCAGGAGGTGGATGTTGCAGTGAGGTCAGATCACACCACTGCACTCCAGCCTGGGCAAGACAGCGAGACCCTGTCTCAAATATATACGTGTATGAAAGAAGGAAAGGGCAAAGCCATGCTGATTTTACCAGGGAAACACACTCCATTAATCATCTTAAGGGGCCATGCAGACTACATTGAGTTCATACAGCTTAACCCACAATCCAATCAACCCATATCTCAAGATTCAAAAGATAAGGAAAAATACCTTAAAAAGTATAAAATGATTTCTGTTGAGAGAGTTAGTAATTTATTTTGGGAATAAAGTTGTAAAACATCCACACCATGTACCAAAAGTATAGCTCATATATTTAAAGATTCAAATGTTAAAAAAAATGAAAGGACATATATGCAGATTATTTACATCTAAATTCATATAATTATCCACTGATTTGTCTTTAGAAAGAAGGAATTTTAAAAGCAAGTGAGAAAATAGAATGTAAAAGGTTGATAGATTTTGCTACATAAAATTTAATTGGGTTTTCGAACATCAAAAATACCGTAAAACCAGCACCCACATCTTGATGTCTGATTCTATTCCACAATAAAAGAAAATAGGGCACCTTGGAGAAATGGCTGATCTAGGACTAAAACAAGAAATATACAAGATGAGTCTGGAGTATTTTGTAGTGCCAGGAAATAAGAAAGTGCTCTAGAAAATAAAGCAACAGACAAAGAAACAAGAAAACTCCACAAAATGCAGCATATCAAAGGGACACACAAGTCAATAAAAGGGCTCCCAGACAAGTTCAACAACAAAATAATGTATTATTGGATTATAATTGAAATAATAAAAAAATACTCCTGAGTTCATACTGACAAAAATAAGTGAGTAAACTAATCAATGGGGGAGAAGAGTCCAATCTCCCTTGGGGAAAAATTCCATAGGTAGGTAGGTGTCTGCTTTCAAGGAGGAAGAACAGACTTCCTACTCCTTCAGTGTGAGCTATGCATAGTGACTTCCTTCCAAAGAGCTCTGCATGGGAAGGGGAAAAAGAGAAATTTCATAGAGGAGAAACCCAACAAACACTACCTCAGCCAAGTGATTAAGGTCAACAGTGATGAGTCATATTGATATTGTATACCGTTAATATAATGGAATGAAATGGCACCTTACTCTTCAAACCACATAGCCCCAGTATAATTGTGAGAAAAAAAGTCCCAATGAAGGAACATTCTATAAAATACCTGATGAACATTCTTCAAAACTGTCAAGGTCATCAAAAACAAGGAACGTCCGAGAAACTCTTACAGCCAACAGGTGTCTAGGAAGACATGATGACTCGATGTCATTTGGCATCTGGAATGGGATCCTGGAACATGCCAGACTTGCTGACCGTGAGTGCAGCAATATCATCATCTGTGACAAAGTGGCAAGAAGCCTGCTGGCCATTGGCTGACAAACACAGTCTTAGCAGGTCAAATCTTGACCAGGAAGGTTATGAGTTATACTCCTGAGTATGCAGAGAAAAACTACCTAGTTCCCTCTAGACTTCTGAGCTGGAAAAATTTCTAACTTAATCAATGTCTTGTGCCCACCCCAAGTGGCCATCAAATAAGGCAAATAACTCAGTCTCCCCAGTGAGTGTACATGGAATGACCACATTTTGCAGGTTGAACAAGCGGTTGGTAGCCAGGAGGATCTTCTCCAAAGTCCTTTGGGCAGTTGAAGCAGCAGCTGCATAAGGGTTCCAGGGCTAGACTCCTACAATTATGCCCACAGCTTCATCCTGGGGAGTGAGAGCTGGCATCTAAAGGAGGCATCCAGCTGGGCACCATGGCTCACACCTGTAATCCCAATACTTTGGGAGGCTGAGGTGGGAGGATTTCTTGAGCCCAGGAGTTCAAGACGAGCCTGGGTAGCATGGTGAGAGCCTGTCTCTAACAAAAAAATAAAAAAATTAGCCAGGCATGGTGGTGCATCCCTGTAGCCCTAGCTACTCAGGAGGCTGAGGTGGGAAGATTGCTTGAACCCAGGAAGTTGAGGCTGCAGTTAGCTGTGATCAAGCCCCTGCACTTCAGCATCATTGACAGAGCGAGACCTTGTCTCAAAACAATATATAAAAAAGAAAGGCGGCCTTGGCCGGGCACAGTGGCTCACCCCTGTAATCTCAGCACCTTGGGAGGCTGAGGTGGGTGGATCATCTGAGTTCAGGAGTTCACGACCAGTCTGGCCAACATGGTAAAACCCCGTCTCTACTAAAACTACAAAAATTAGCTGGGCGTGGTGGCATGCACCTGTGATCCCAGCTACTCAGGAGGTGGAGGTTTCAGTGAGCCAAGATCATGCCACTGCACTCTGGCCTGGGCAACAGAGCAAGACTCTGTCTTAATAAAATAAAATAAAATAGGCAGCCTACCACTCTCCAGTCTGGAGTGTTACATGGCCAAGCCCAGCTTTGGCTACCACAGCACCCACCACTCTGAGCCAGCCTGGGACCTGTCGATTTTACAGATCTGGGACCTGTCGATTTTACAGATCTGGGACCTGTCGATTTTACACCCTGTGCTCCATCCCACAGATAGGAGTGGATGCAAGACAAGCCGGAACCCCGCTTCTGAGCATAAGGCACAGGAAGCTATCAAGTGGATGCTGAAACTGGAGTGCTAAAAGAACCAATGTGTATACATGCTAGATCCTCCAGGAACTGTTGTCAAATTCCAGAGGTAAAACAAAAAATTAGAAGCCACATAGGATTTACCACAGAGGTAAAACAAAAAATTAGAAGCCACAGAGGGGCCAGGCCTGTGGGCAAAGAGATGTGAGGATGGGAAGCCAGTCTGCTGTCACTTTGAGCTGAAACCTAGCAGGACGTTGGCTTTGTGTGGGGAGGGAGCTGAGCCAGAGCCAGGACTGGTGGGCACAGCAGCCCACCCTCGACCCTCGGAAGGGAGGAGGTAACTTCCCCCAGCTTGGTCTCCAGTGCTACCCTTCAGCATGCTAGATTCTGTGCATGAATACATTTCTAAGAATTTTCTGTTTGGGTGACAAAGCTGCCCTAGGGGAACACTGGAGTGCGAGTAAGAATTATCTTGGGAACTTGTTTAAAAGTGCTGATTTTAGGCAATATCCACAGTGTTGTCCAAGTCCCAGGGGCCCGATTCCATGGGCCCCCTCCTGGGAGTTCAGAATCTGCAGGTTTAATTGGCATCCCCAAATGATGAGGATGCAGGGTATCCAGGCCAGGCGTTCACAACAAAAACAGGCATCCCACACCTCCATCAGACCCAGACCTCAATCTAGTTTTCAAGTCCTCAGAGAATTTTCTCTATCATAGAGAATGTGGAATGCAGTAAAATAAATGGAGAAATAAATACAGACTCCAGTGCAAGCACAGCGTGTGCAGGTTTTCGGGAGGAATAGAACTTTGAGGTCAGTTGCACCCAAACTCTCAAAGCCTAAATTAGAGCCAGTGGGAGGAATCCTGCAGTAGGACTTGAGGTGTCCGGCTCATAGACTCCAAGTCGCCAGTACACCCATGCTGTTAGGAAGGATTTGTATTTCTTTGGTTCCTTACAAACTGAGAAATTAGTTTTCTAAAATCCAAATATCTCACCGGGTGCGGTGGTTCACACCTGTAATCTCAGCACTTTGGGAGGCCGAGGCTGGCGGATCACCTGACGTCGGGAGTTCAAGACCAGCCTGACCAACATGGAGAAACCCTGTCTCTACTAAAAATACAACATTAGCCGGGGTGGTGGTGCATGCCTGTAATCCCAGCTACTCAGGATGCTTGAGGCAGGAGAACTGCTTGAACCCAGGAGGCGGAGGCGCGGTGAGCTGAGATTGCGCCATTGCACTCTAGCCTGGGCAACAACAGCGAAACTCTGTTTAAAAAAAAAACAAAATCCAAATCTCAAACAAAAATATGTTAAAACCCAAGAGAAATGTCAACACTCTTGGCTACATTCCAAGAGAAGCACATTCTAAGAAAACCACTAGCTTCAAAGGGCTCAGCCCCAGGTGCAGCAGTTCTCTGAGGTAAGCACTGTGACCCAGCAGGGGGTCAGCGTGCCTGTGTCTGGGCAATTCCTGGACAGGTGGCTTCGGTGAGATTCCAGGGCCGTGGGGGTGGGCACCCTGGTGAGGCAACTGAATAGAGTTTCCTAATGACCCCACTCAGTGGATTCAAGCAAAGAATGTTATAGCCAGAGGGAGCCAGCTTTCAGTCAGGAGTGGGTAGTGAGAAATGTCACCTCGCAGTGCTGGCAGACCAGACCATTGGTCAGCTTTCTCCATACCAAAGACGGGTGTTATGAACTGAATGTCTGTGTCTCCCCACAATTCACCTGTTGATGTCCTAACCCACCGCATGGCTGTATTAAGACACAGAGCTTCTAGGGAAGTAATTATGATTAAATGAGGTCAGAAGGGCAGGGCTCTGATCCAATAGGACCAATGTCCTAGGAAGAAGGGACCCCTGGGAGCTCTGTCTCTCTCTCTGCTTCTGTCTCTGTCTATGATGGAGAAGGCCACGTGAGCAGAGTGAGGTGGTGGCCACCGGGAAGCCAGAAAGCAAGCCCTCACCAGGAACGGACTCAGTGGGAACCTTGACCTCAGACTTCCAGCCTCCAGAACTGAGAGAAAATAAATTTCTGCTGAAGATGCCCAGTCTGTGTCATCACTTACAGCAGCCGAGCTGATACCGCAAAAAGGGAGCATTTGCATTACTTTGGGTTCTCCTAATCTCGTGGGAGAATACTGAGCACGATATATTGAATCATTGAATCACGTAATTTAAGACTAGAGGATCTTTTGGGACGCCATTTAGAAACTACCTTCAAAAAGTAACAAAAGAAGATAAATGAGGGACCACGAAGGCCAGAAACGATGGATTCGATGTGTGGTTCTTCACGGTTAATGAGTGTGACGGAACAGCATTACTTCAGCACTTAGATATACCCTTAACCAATGGGAAATAGCTCACAGTAGGATTTTTTTGGAGAACTGACAAGAAAAGAGACAGGAGACTTACGAGGGGGCACAGTCGCTCATCAGTCAAGAAGCACCTCTATGGCCTGGGACCTCCCTGCTAGTCCTGTGAGTCCACTAACTTCAGCAATCCCTTCATCCCTGCTTCATGTACTGTATAAAGATGTCAGCATAAAAATAATCAAATTCAGAAGAAATGGAAAAAATTTAATGAGGAGAAATATAGATGAAACAGAGCCAAAAAAGGATGTCAGAATCCAAAATTCCAAAGTTTCAAGGTGAATGGGGAAAAAATATGAAACAAATAATCAAAAATATTAAATAAGTATAAATTTAACAATAAAAAGATGACAAAACAACTTAAAATGTAATAATATTCACATTGCAAATAACCTTTATTAGACATTTCTTATCTAGCTAGGCACTGGGCTAAGAACTTTGGATGCATTTTCTCATTTAATACTTACAACAACTTATCACCAAGTCCATTTCACAGAACAGAAAACTGAAGCTTTGAGAATGGTTAAACAATTCACCTAAGACACCCAGACAGTAATGGTTGGGAAGGTAGTCAAAACCACATAATCTGATCCCCAAATTTGCCCTTTTTCCAAAGATGAAAGCCTCAAAATGAATAATGAAATAAAGCAATTAAGAGAAACGAAACCAAACTTGGATTAAGAAAGTAAATTAAAAGATTAGAAGCCGGGAACAATATAAAATTGTGTTAAATTTTTGAATGAAAAGAAATAAGGGAAAACTAAAAAGCAGAAAAATTAAGAAGGTATTATAATAAAATGGAGGTGGAAACAAAAAGAACACCAATTAAAATGGCACGAATCATGTGAAAACGCCTTGTTAAAACAATGCTAAAATACTAAATGTTATAGAAGAGAAAATATGACATTAATTAAATAGGAAAACAGGAGTCTCTAAGTAGGAAATGGATTCACAGCACGGTCTTCCTGGCAGCACAAAGGAATAGTTGCATGTTGCGTCTTTGACTCATCCTCTATGCAGGGGGTCTTTTGAACATTTCTGAGCCAAGCCAGTAGCATTTTAGTGGCCAGACAAGCTGTATGGCAAAACTTCCATTTTACTCTGATTACAGGATTTGCAACAGCCCAGGCTGAGGTTTGCCATGGTGCTCCCCATTAAACACTAGGCCTGAAAGATATTCTTTGAAGAACAAGAGTTTCATGCCAAATGCTTCTGGGGATGCTGTGGCAGCCCCCCTAGGGTCAGGTCAGTATTTCCCTCCTAGAGGCACCATTCACATCAGAGCTGCTCATTAAGAATAAAGAAGATATCATAATAAAATGGAGATGGAAACAAAAAGAACACCAATTAAAATGGCACGAAGGATGTGAAAACGCCTTGTTAAAACAATGCTAAAATACTAAATGTTATTAAAACAAACAAACAAACAAACAAAAAAACCAGTCTGTCTGCACAGCTGCACATGGAAACCTGGCCCTGGTGGAGCTTTACCATGCACAGCAGCCTGCCAAAGGCCTTGAGAAGTCCTGCAGTAAAGAAGCAAAGAAATCTGTTTCTCTTTGTTCAGGCCTCTTTATCTGACATTTAAAATCTCTCACCCACCCTTCCCCCTGCCCCTACCCTGGAATAAGCTCTATTTTCATCCTAAAACAGTTTTATGGAAAGCGCTTTGGAATACTCCGTCCTAAAACTGTTGCTTGAGGTTTTAGGTCACTTGGTCTAAAAGAGAGAGAGGGTTTTTACTAAGGCACAGAACACTAGCCTAATTGTCCAACTTATGTAAAAGCAAACGTTGTAGACATAGTTTGAGAAGATGATGATTCTATAGGGGTGGTAAATAGACTGTGCAGACAAGTACATATCCAGACAGAAAAGCAAGGCGTTTTTATAACAACACTTCAGAAATGTGGAAGAAAGGACACGACAATGAACTCCCCCAAAGCGACCCTCAACTCCTACTCCCAGAAGAAAACCACCCGGTGGTTCCTAATTAATTTACTGGCAGTGCTGGAGCAATCTGTGCTTTAGGAACTAAAATGGAAAAACAGACATAAAAACAAAACAAAAAACTCATGTTTTTAATAAAGAGATATTTAATCATCAGCATAGATTAAACCATTGACTACATAAGCCGAGAAAATGTAAGTTGAAATGATATCTTCACCAGCATCCAATAGTTCCTGAACAACTGGCTTATGCCAGTCCGGGCAGCAGCAATTCCAATCACTGAGAAAACATCTTCTTTCATTACCTCTCCCAGTTGGAGGGTTATTATTCTGACTTTTACAGCTAGAGAAAAAAATTCGAGGGTTATTATTCTGACTTTTATAGCATCTATTTATTGAACATTCTTTTGAGGAATCACACACATAAATGAGAGAGATGCAAAAGAATTTACAAACAAAGCCACTGAAATCATTTCCAAATGTGCATGTCTCTTATTCAGTATATAATGGCCGGAATCTTAAAAAAAAAAAAAAGTGTTGGTCAGAATAATATGACATCTGGATTTGAGCTGCATCTTTGGGAGGGAGTAAGATCTAAACAGGTGATAAAGAAAGCAGAAAGTGGCTGGGCACGGTGGCTCATGCCTGTAATCCCAACATTTTGGGAGGCCAAAGCAGGCAGATCACTTGAGCTCAGGAGTTCGAGACCAGCCTGAGCAACATGGTGAAACCCTATCTCTACTAAAAATACAAAAATTAGCTGGGCGTGGTGGCACATGCCTGTAGTTCTAGCTACTCGGGAGGCTGAGGTGGGAGGATCACCTGAGCCCAGGAGGTGTGGGTTGCAGTGAGCCGTGATTGTACCACTGCACTCCAGCCTGGATGACAGAGCAAGACCCTGTCTCAAATAAATAAATAAATAAATAAATAAATAAATAAATAAAAGAAGGCAGAAAGCATTCCAGGCAGAAAAGATATTATTTACAAGTTCCAAGAGCTGAGGATAAATATAGAATGGAATGTGCGGAATCTACTGATGAGTATCCATTTTAGAGAGAGGCAGGAAGGAATACTGGATGAATGATGAATGTGGGCCACATCTCTGGAGGGTCTAGACCATTTAATCATGGTCTTGGAACCTGAGCTGCAGATCACAGGGAAGAGACAGCAGCTCCTCAGCTAAGGGTAGCATGACTGAGGCTCTGCTGAAAGCATCACCCTGGGATTGACATGCCTGCTGGGAGGGAGGGGAGAGGAGATGCAGAAGAGATGAGCAGGAGTGCTCCTTCGGTGATTCAGACATGAAGCGATTGAACCCACCCCACACACTTGTGACAGCAGTGAGAATGGAAAGGAGGGAAAGTGGAATTCTGGATAACCTCAAGGGTATTTGGGTGATACATCTGTGTCTCACTGCTTAACTCTAACAGGTTGACCTGGATGGTGGGTCTAGTTGCTTAACTACAAGATTTAAGGGCAAGAAGAATTAAAATGTCATTACCAGGAAAAGTCATACTGTTGGCTTTGGGCATATTAAACTTGAGATAATAAAGGGTTTCTCAGCTGAAATGCCTTGAAAACAGTGGGATCAGTCTTAGGTTGGGAACATCCTGGGCTAGAGTCGGCCACCACCAGAACAAGTGAGAGTGGACGTGCATTGACTATAATGCTCCCCAAGGCACAGCACTGGGAATTGCTAATGCTGACCAATGTTTTGCAGCTCCCTGGGAAAAAGTTCTCTTATCTGCAGTTTGGATGGGTTGGATTGCAAAACTGTGATCTGTTTGAGAGGGTAATTTAGATGAAAACGGGCTGGAAATCTTCCACCTGTAGCCTACCACCCTATTTCAGATATGAGGCTGAGGCCACAGCCATACACTGCCAGAAAATGGGTTGTCATTCCTCCATTGTGGAAGGAGTGCTTCCAGAAGTGACCCGTTTTTGCCAGCTCTCCTTCCTAAGCAGTCTCTTTCTACAACTTCTGGGAGATGAGAGAACCTCCCTGTAATTTCAGCCCAGCTGAGGAAGGAGTGTGCTCTCAGCCCTGGGGCTGGAATTGGCCCCCTTTGGGAATGAAGAGCTAAAGAGCTCTGCAAGTGCATCCTCTTATATTATTACCCAGGAAACAACCCTTGTTCCAGTCATGAGAGAAACACATATAACAGCTTTGGGAAGCTACTCATTCAAAATAAGCCCTAGGAGATATGCCTCAATAGATAAGTGCCAACTAAGCATTAAAATTTGGCAAGGTCTAGAGCCCTCATCCTGTCTATAGTAGTATCAGGCGCCTCTGATTCAGGCAGAACCCACATAGAGACAGGACGAGGTTCTTCTAATAATTTAGTAAACATCAGCCTGGATTGTTTTACTGTCCAAAGGTGAATAAACTGAGAAAAAAAAAAGTTGAATACAGATAGGGAGTGCAATTCTAAGAATTTGGGGAAAATCACAGTTTGAAAAGGAGCTATCAGCAAATAGTAAAAAAAAAAAAAAGTGTAAATGGTATCTATTTTGCATCCTGAAAAAAATGTCATAAAAGCATAAAAGGCCTTGTGAAATCAGGTGAGAAATGATGTGAAAAATAACTTAATCTTGATTTTAGAAAAAACTTAAATTCAGAAATCAAACGAAATGAAATGCAAGTTGAAATGAAAAAAGATATAACTCAAATAGGGGATTAGAGCTATATCTTTCCAGCATGAAAATTAAAAGTAATAGAAACAAAGTCTGCTTTAGAGTGAAAATTCAAATCAGAGGTATCAAAAAGGAATAAAAACCTCTTTAAGAATATGAAAGAATGGGTCAAAGGAAAAAGCTATGCATGAAAAGATGATAGGTGTAGATGGATAATTTACCTTTATTGGCTTATCAGAGAAGTTATTTTGTTCAGACATTGACCAAACAAGCCATGAGCATTTCCTTAGTCAAGAGAAATATTTATTTTCTCTTATGTGGCAAGAAGTCCAGAGATGGACAGATCTGGGGTGGGAGGGCAGCTACATGATATTCTAAGAACCCCAGACTGTTTTTTTTAGCCCTAGCTCCATCAAATTTAGTGTGTGGCCCTCCTCCCCAGCTTCCAAGGTGGCTGCTGGCACTCTAGCCATTACAATAACATTCCAGATCTAACAGAGGAAGAGTAAGAGGTGAATGAGGCATGTCAGATGAGTCATCTCCCCTTAAAGAGCATTCTCAGGAGCTCCACCTGGCAGCTTCCAAATTTATCTCATTAGATTCAAATATGTCATATGACTACCCCCTCCCTGTAAGGAAGACTGGGAGATAAAGCTGTTAAGAAGAGACCATTCCCAAATTAAGTCGTGGCCCTGTTAGTAAGTGAAAAAAGAGAGGGAAGATATTGGTAGATAGATAACAGCCTATAACAACATCCCCGAGATAAATACAGTACCACAGGGGGAAGAATCAATACACAAAAATATAATAAGTAAAGATTTTCCTTCACAGAGTAGGCAAATCAGAATTCATGTTTCAGGTAAAGTCAACGAGAGCAAAAACCTATATACCTAGACATTTTAGCAAAATGCTCTGATACATTTTTTAAAACTCTTAAATGTACCCAAGTAGAAAAACAATCCAGATTATCTACAAAGAATTTAAATTTAGGCTGCCCTCAGACTTCTCCATGATCACCAAAGGTAGAATAATATGTCAAGAGTCTTGGGGAAAAAGTCACAACACAAAAATGATAGTCGCAGACAAAACATTATTTATTAAAGTAAGAAAAAAAAATCCCCCAAATATTGAAAGATTGAGGAAAATATGCCACTTAAAAACCTGCAGAAGCCCAGCATGGTGGTGCATGCCTGTAGTCCCAACTACTTAGGAGGCTGAGGCAGGAGGATTGCTTGAGCCCAGGAGTTCAAAGCTGCAGTATGCTATGATTGCACCACTGCATTCCAGCCTTGGGGACAGAGCAAGACCCTGTCTTTAAAAAAATTAAATTTAAATTTAAACATAAAAACACTTAAACATAGACTTTCCCAAAAATCTATAGGTGGGAAGTTCATTCCATTCATATTTTAAAACACATTTATTCTTTTTTTTTTTTTTTTTTTTTTGAGACAGAGTCTCACTCTCTTACCCACACTGGAGTGCAATGGTGCAATCTCGGCTCACTGCAACCTCTGCCTCCCGGGTTCAAGCGGTTCTTCTGCTTCAGCCTCCCAAGTAGCTGGGATTACAGGCATGCACCACCACGCCCGGCTACTTTTTGCATTTTTAGTAGAGACAGGGTTTCATCATGTTGGCCAGGCTGGTCTGGAACTCCTGACCTCAGGTGACCCGCCCACTCCCAAAGTGCTGGGATTACAGGCTTGAGCCACCATGCCCGGCCACAAATTTATTCTTAAAATTTAAGAATGAAACACTTGGGCTATAAAAAAACATAATTTAGGTAAGTTTGAACAAGTTAGAGAGGGCTTGTGACTAATTATATTTTCCGAAGATGGACACAGCTATATATCCTAGCCTACATGTGACAATGTACAGCTCTCTGTTGAGAAGAATTCTTAAGCTAAATCTAGACTTAGCAGAAAAGAATGACTTAAAATTATTGACATGCCAAGATGGGAATCAACAAATAAAGTTTTCATCCAAAACAGCATAAAAAGAAAAGTAAAAGACACTCATGAAAACTGTATTATTAAAAATATACATATATTTGAAAACAATAGATATAAGAAAGTACAAAATAAAGGAAATGAATATCAGCATTAGTTCTTGAGTTAAAAAAACAATAAAATAGACACATTTACAACTAATCTTAGTTGAAAAAGAGAGGGAGGAAGAGAGGGAGAGAGTAAGGGACAGAGTAAGGAAGGAACAGAGAAAGAAAGAGAGAAATATAAAATGTAAAAACAACAACAAAAGGAATTAAAGCTACTAATAAACAGGAAACTATAAAAGAAAAATGGTCAAAAACTTGAATTTAGAAAAATAGACAGTTTTCTAGGAAAAGATAATTTATTTGTCTCAACTAGAAATAAAAACTAAAGAGACCAATAACCATAAGATTAATGAATTAATTTATCAGATTGATACGGAAAAAGGCATAAAGCCCAAGGAGATTTTCCAGGGAATAATAATCACATGATATTCATTTCCCAGGAGAATTTAAAAAGTTTACCAATTCATTTTATAAATGTTAAATACATAGTATAATAAAAATGCAAACTAATCTTATTTATTCATTTATATATAAATGTGTATATATTTCATATGTAAGTATATCATATATATATAAAACTAAACACATTGAGTCATCACAGAATTGAAAAAATAATAGTGCTCAGGTTGGGTGTATTTGAAGGCTGTAAAGATAGTTTAATTCTAGGAAACTTATTAATGTAATTGATCATTTCATTAGGTCAAAGGAAAAAACGCACTAGTTAACTTCAGTAAATTCCCCCAAATTCAATGTTTAGACATGATTAAAACACCAACAAAACTAGAAATAGAATCATCCTTCTTTCTTATTAAAAAACTGAAACAAATAGCCCTTATTATTTAATAATGAAAAACTAAATCCAGCTTAATTAAAGACAAGAACTAAATAGAACTCTTCTTTCACCACATTATTTATTATCGTTCTAATTTTAGCCAATGTTATAAGCACCTCCCACCTCCAACTGAAGAAGAAAAGAAGGGAGGAAGGAAGGAAGGAACAGAGGAAGGGGAAGAGACCAGGAGAGTGGAAGGAAGGAAGAAAGAAGGGTCAAGAATTAAAGAAAAGTGTAAGCACTCAATTTCTTGTGTTAGAGATAACATAAAAGGCACTCACTGGGCAAAATTGGGTTAATTTGAGCACCATGAAGAATACTGATTGTATCACACTGAGTAAGTAAAAATCCTTAAGAACCCAGTGACTCTCTTCCCCTAAAGGGAGGGGTGGAGGAAGGGAGAGAGAGAAAGAGAGAAAGAGAGAGAGAGAAGGAAACTCTTGTTCACAGAAGAATGACCACTAATGAATGTGAAGGGAATCATATGATTGTAAAGTTACCATTTTGCAACCCCCAATGTAGATTTAGGGGCGATCCATTCGATGATACGACAATTAAGTGCAAGGTTATTGGGGAATAGGAATTTGTCCCTATTAGTAAGTGTGAAGACAAATTGTACTTTTTGATGGAGACATCTGAAGATCATTATTTTAACCAATAGGTCATCACAAATAAAATTAAAAGACACATCTTAAACTGCATCAAAAATGATAGTTAACATCTATAATATATAGACTTAATTCAAATTGGCAAGAGAAACACCAAAACCTTACTTGGGGCGGGGGGGCGCTGTGAGGGGCTGTGTGGAGATGCAAAGTCCCAGTACAGAGAATTTGCAGAAAATGAGATACAAACATGATCCTTTCACTAAGAGTCAGAGAAAATAGAGTGGATAGGATTGCATTTGCCTTTGCATCTGAACCTAACAACAGAGGTTTCACTAAACTGGGTATTTTCCCCACTCGATGCCCTTGTAACCCAGGCCCCCAGGCCACCTTTCCCTCCATGTGGAGTCCTCAGCATGCAGCTTTCAATCCTCGGTCATAAGACAGCAGGAGGAGACAGAAGGACAAAGGGTGAACACTTGTGCCAACTGAAAATGTCCCTCCTGATCAGGAAAACAACATCTTTCCCAGATGCCACTCTCAGGAGTCACCTGGCTGCACCTACCTGCAAAGAGCCCACCTCCAGTATCCCTCTTCCTTTGGCAAAAGAGCAAAACTAAAAGGGTTTAAATCATAGCGCTGAGCACTGACAAGTTGGAGTCTGGCACCTTCATAGAGGGTTGGAATACAATATATGTTGTTACAACTTTCCTGAAAAGCCACATTCTTCAGTATGTTTGAGGAAACCCCAGTGTACCTTTTGATTCATCAGTTCTGCTTTTGAGAATCATTTCTATGGAAATACCAAAAAAATGCAGTCAATGATTTGTATACACTGTATTAATCAATTCAATGTTTCTAACATCCACTCCTCTCAAAAAACAAAACAAAGGTACATTTAACTTCAGTGCCCAGTAATAAGTGAAAGGCTGAAAATGCAGGGTTGGTCATTGGAAAGCCCAGCAGTGTGAGCTGGTCAAGCCATAGAAACACTTCAGGTCTCAGTACTCCCATCTGTAGACTGAAGTTAATAATACTTTTCACACAAACTTGGAAGGATTAAATACAAAAAAAATTTTTTTTTGAGATAGAGTCTCACTCTGTTGCCCAGGCTGGAGTGCAGTGGCAAGATCTCGGCTCACCGCAACCTCTGCTCCTGGGTTCAAGCAATTCTCCTGCCTCAGCCTCCCAAGTAGCTGGGATTACACGCGTGTGCCACCACGCCCATCTAATTTTTGTATTTTTAGTACAGATGGGGTTTCACCATATTGGCCAGGCTGGTCTTGAACTCCTGACCTCCAGTGATTCACCCGCCTTGGCCTCCCAAAGTGTTAGGATTACAGGTCTGAGCCACCATGCTCAGCCAAATAAAATTTTATACATAAAACATACAGTAAAGTGCCACACTAAAGAATCAATGCATAATAGATACATACATATACACAAAGTACTAAGTAGATTATTGTATACCCAGTTATTAATACAGGTTGAGCATTTCTAATCCAAAAATCTGAAATCTGAAATACTACAACGTTTGAAATGTTTTAAATGCCGACATAATGCCACAAGTGGAAAATTCCACAATGGACCTCATGTGCCAGGTCACAGTCAAAATTCATGTGCACCACACACAATTGATCCAGCCTGCTGATGTTTGTTGTCATTGTCTAACAGCTGATACAGGTATTCTGGTGATGCTACTGTGTTGCTTAGTTACCTGGAACACATTGTTTATCACTATATTAATGATATGCCATATTGTTTTACTGTTGAGTACTGAAGTGCGAATAAGTGTAAGAAAATGATTACTTATCATTTTCTTTGTAGCATACAAATTCTGAGTCAGGAATGATGGTGATGTCAAACACCCACAGACTGTCCACATGGGTGCCTGAGATAGTGACACCCTTGCTTTCTGACGGTTCAATGTACACAGACTGTATCATGTATAAAATTATCAAAAATATTGTATAATTACCTTCAGGATATGTGCATAAGGCGTACATGAAACATAAATGAATTTCACGTTTAGATTTAGGTTCCAGCCTCAAGATACCTCATTGTGTATATGCAACTATTTCAAAATTTGAAACACTCTAGGCCCAAGCATTTTGGTAAGGGATACTCAACCTGTAATATACACTTATACAATGTCAAAAAATCTCTGAGAAGAAAATGCATCTAATATATTGCTAAATGAACATAGGTGTTTTTGAGTGCTTAAAATCACACCTAGAATTATGTAAGTCAAAGCTTAAAAAAAATTGTATTTATGGTGTGATTTCATATTGCAATGTATACAATCAGCCTTTCTAATCTAAAAGTTCTGCATTTGTAGATTCAACCAACTGCAGATTGAAAATATTTGAGAAAAAACTGCATCTATATGAACATGTACAGACTTTTTCTTGTCATTACTCCCTAAACAATATAACCCCTATTTACATAGCATGCACATTGTATTAGGTATTATAAGTAATCTTGAGATGATTTGAAGTATACAGGAGGATGTATGTAGCTTATGGGCAGGTACCACACCATCGTATACCAGCGACTTGAGCATCTGTGGATTTTGGTATTCACAGGAGGTCCTGGAACTAATCCCCCATGGATACCAAGGGACAACTGTATACGGTTAGAGGAAATTAAGACACCAGTGGTTTGTCCAGCTAGTCATTGCATTACAGATGGTTATTTTGTCCTTTATCCGTTTTGTTTTTGTTTTTCAATTACCTATTTAATATAAGCATACCTCAGAGATATTGCAGGTTCAGTTCCAGACCACTGCAATAAAGTGACTATCTCAACAAAATGGATCATACAAATTTTTTGCTTTTCTGGTGCACATAAAAGTTATGTTTACACTATACTGTAGTCTATTAGCAGTGCAATAGCATTATGTCTAGAAAAATAATACACACACCTTAATTTCAAAAATATGCTAAGAAATGCAAACAATTATCTATCTGGGCCTTCAGTAAGTCATAATCTTTTTGCTGGTGGAGTGTCTTGCCTCAGTGTTGATGGCTGCTGACTGATCAGGGTGGTGGTTACTGAAGGTTGGGTGACCGTGGTAATTTCTTAGAATAAGACAATGAAGTCTGCCCCATCAACTGAATCTTCCTTTCACAAAAGATTTCTCTGTAGCATGTGATGCTGTTTGATAGCATTTTACCCATAATAGAACTTCTTTCAAAATTGGAGTCAATCCTCTTAAACCCTGCTGCTGCTTTATCAACTATGTTTATGTAATATTCTAAATCCTTCGTTGTCATTTCAACAATGTTCACAGTATCTTCACCAGGAATAGATTTCATCTCAAGAAATCACTTTCCTTGCTCATCCATAAGAAGCAACTCCTCATCTGTTAAAATTTTATCATGATATTGCAGCAATCAGTCACATCATCATGCTCCATTTCCAATTCTAGTTCTGTTGTTATTTCCATTCCATCTGCAGTGACTTCCTCCACTGAGGTATTGAACCCTTCAAAATCATCCATGAGGGTTGCAACCAATGTCTTCCAAAGTCCTGTTAATGTTGATATTCTGACCTCTTCTCATGAACCTCAAGTGTTCTTAATGGCATCTAAAATGGTGAATCCTTTCCAGAAGGTTTTCAATGGACTCTACCCAGATCCAGCAGAAGAATCACTGTCTACAGCAGCTATAGCATCAAGAAATGTATTTCTTAAATAATAAGACTTGAAAGTCAATATTACTCCTAGATCCATGGGCTGCAGAATGTGTTATCTTGGCAGGCATGAAAACAACATTCACCTCCTTGTATATCTTCACCAGTGCTCTTGGGTGACCAAGTGCATTGTCAATGAGCAGTAATATTTTGAATGGAATCTTTTTTCTAAGTGGGTTTAAATATTTAGTAGACCATGCTATAAACAGATGTGCTGCCATTCAAGCTTCATTGTTCCATTTACAGAGCACAGGCAAAATAGATTTAGCATAATTCTTAAGGGCCCTAGGATTTTTCATATGGTAAATGGGCATTGGCTTCAACTTAGTCACCAGCTGCATTAGCCCCTAACAAGCAAGTCAATGTATTTTTTGAAGATTTGAAGCCAGGCACTGACTTCTCTCTAGCTATGAAAATCCTACATGGCAACTTTTTCCAATAGAAGGTTGTTTTATCTGCATTGAAAATCTATTTTTGGCCAGGTGCGGTGGCTCACGCCTGTAATCCCAATAATTTGGGAGGCTGAGGTGGGAGGATTGCTTGAGCCCAGCAGTTCGAGCCCAGCCTGGGTAACATAGTGAAACCTCATCTCTACATAAAAATCAAAAAATTAGCCCAATGTGGTGGTGCGCACCTGTTGTTCCTGCTACTCAGGAAGCTGAAGCAGGAGGATCATTTGAGCCCAGGAAGCCGAGGTTGCAGTGAGCTGTGATCATGCTACTACATGCCAGTCTGAGTGACAGAGCAAGACCTTGTCTTTAAAAAAAAAAAAGGAAAATCAATTTTTAATGTAGCCACCTTCATCAATGATCTTACCTGGATCTTCTGGACAATTTGCTGCAGCTTCTCCATCAGCACTTGTTGCTTCATCTTGTACTTTTATGTTTGAAGATAGTGTCTTTCCTTAAACCTAATGAACCAACTTCTGCTAGCTTCAGACTTTTCTTCTGCAGCTTGCTCATGTCTCTCAGCCTTCATAGAATTGGAGAGAATTAGGGACTTGCTCTGGATTAAGCTTTAGCTTAAAGGAATGCTGTGTGGCTGGTTTGATCCTCTATCCAAAACCATGAAAACTTTCTTTATATCAGCAAGAAGGCTGTTTGTTTTCCTTTTTTTTTTTTTTTTTTTTTTTGAGATGGAGTTTCACTCTTGTTGCCCAGGCTGGAGTGCAGTGGTGCAATCTCGGCTTACCGCAACCTCTGCCTCCCAGGTTCAAGCGATTCTCCTGTTTCAGCCTCCCAAGTAGCTGGGATTACAGGCATGCGCCACCACACCTGGCTAATTTTGTATTTTTAGTAGAGATGGGGTTTCTCCTTGTTGGTCAGGCTGGCCTCAAACCCCTGACCTCAGGTGATCTATCCGCCTCGGCCTCCCAAAGTGCTGGGATTACAGGCATGAGCTACCTTGCCCGGCCAGCTGTTTGTTTTCTTATCATTCAGGAGTTCATTGGAGTAGCACTTTTAATTTCCTCCAAGAACTTTTCCTTTGTATTAACAACTTGGCTAACTGTTTGGTGCAAGAGGCTTAGCTTTTGACTTGTCTCGGCTTTTGACATGCCGTCCTCACTAAGCTTGATCATTTCTAGCTTTTGATATCAAGTGAGAGACATGAGACTCTCCCTTCCACTTGAACACTTAAAGGCTGTTGTAAAGTTATTTATTGGCCTAATTTCCATATTGTTGTGTCTCAGGGAATAGGGTGGCCCGAGGCAAGGAAGAAGGATGAGGGCATGGCCAATGGGTGGAAGAGTCAGAACACACACCACAGTTATTGATTGAGTTCGCCATGTTATATGTGTGCAGTTCATGATGTCCCAAAGCAATTACATTAGTAACATCAAAGATCACTGATCAGAGATCACCATAACAGATATCATAATAAAGAAGCTTAAAATATTATAAGAATTACCAAAATGTGACACAAGGAAACTAAGTGAGCACATGCTGTTGGAAAAAATGGCACCGATAGACTTGCTGGACTCAGGGTTGCCCAAATCTTCAATTTGTAAGAAAAATGCAGTATCTATGGAAGTGCAATAAAGTGAAATGCAATAAAACAAGGTATACCTGTATACTTGTTTTCATATAAATCAGCAGTTAGGTCAATTTTTTCTTAAAGGGCTAGTTAGTAAACATTTAAGGTTTTGTGGGTCTAATGGTCTCTGTCTTAACTAGTCAGCTCTGCCATTATAGCATGGCAGTAGCTTTAAGCACAATGTAAATGACTGGCATGACTGTGTTCTAATAAAACCTTATCTATGAAAACAGAAGGCCAGCCAATTCAGCTTGCAGACCCTTGCTTTAGACAATGATATATATGTGTTATATTTTAAAAATAACATTTCTAAGGTGTTGTAGCAAAAATCAAGTAAAGAGAGGAATTTTTCTAGTGGTGGGGAAGAGATATAGATGATGAAGAAGGTTTGCACAATGCTTTATGGACAAGAGAAAATAGAACAATTATAAAAGGGAAGGAGCAATCCCTAAGAATCCAAGGAGACTCAAGCTGGTAGGGTTTCATTTAAATAGGAAAGTGATCCTCGTCAGTACAGTGGTGAGTAAAAACCAAAAAAAAAAAAAAAAAAAAAAGTGAGAACAAACTCATATACACGCACGCCTTGCATTTACATGGATTTTGTCCCCCAAAGCTTTTGGACCATTTCCCATGGCATGTTAAGGCAGTTGGAGGTTTTCAGGATGACTACAAAGCCAGGTTAGAAAGCAAGGTCTCCTTGAGCTTAGACTGAGGAAGTTATGAGTTCACTTCTCCAGGATGGGACAGGACCAGCCTCCATCCAGCAGAGACCTTTCCAGCATCCCTTACAAAAGGCCGCTTGGCTCCATTCAGTGGCAACTTTCGTATTAATGCCTCACTCTTTTTTTTTTTTTTTTTTTTTTTAAGACAGAATCTCGCTCTGTCACCCAGGCTGGAGTGCAGTGGCACGATCTCGGCTCACTGCAACCTCTGCCTCCCAGATTCAAGCAATTCTCCTGCCTTAGCCTCCCAAGTAGCTGGGATTACAGCCATGTGACACCATGCCCGGCTAATTTTTTTTGTATTTTTAGTACAGACGAGGTTTCACCATATTGGCCAGGCTGGTCTCGAACTCCTGACCTTGTGATCCACCCACCTTGACCTCCCAAAATGCTGGGATTACAGGCGTGAGCCACCACACCCGACCAATGCCTCACTCTTCTTGAATAAGTCTGAGTAATAGAAAATATATATTGTTATTGAATCAAAATCTTCTACCCGCTACTTTTCATTCTGGACTCAGAGCAAGTCAGGAGGTGCCAAGCCCCTCTGCCACATTCAGATTTTAGTTATTCGAAGCCATGATCATGGTCTTTTTCCATTCATAGAAATCCTCTGTTAGAGACTGAATGTTTGCACCCCTCAAATTCGCATGTTGGAATCCTAACTCCCAGTGTGATGATACTTGGAGGAGGAGCCTTTGAAGGTAATAGGTCATGAGGCTGGAGCCCTCATGAATGGCATTAGTTCCCTTATAAAAGAGGCCCCAGAATGCTCCCTAGCCCTCTTTCCACCAAGCGAGGGTGCAAGGAGTCAGCAGCCTGCAACCCAGAAGGGGGCTCTTACAGAACCCGACCACACTGGGTTGGATTTCCAGCCTCCACAACTGTAAGAAATAAATTTCTGTTGTTTATAAGTCACTCAGTCTATGGTATTTGGTATAACACCCCAAACTAAGGCATCTTGAAAACACAGTTTTCCTACAGCAGAGGTTGCAAATTGGAGACTTACAGTTATACTTGGTTTGGCCCACTGAGTATTGTAAAATCATTAAGTTGAGTGAGAAAAAAAATCTTAAAATTATAAAATTTATCTTAAAAACACAATCTTTTGGTTTGCTTAGAAAAATGTGAAGAACTAGCAATACTGTTAATAATTGGCTTGAAGATAAGGCACAACCAGGGTAAGCTCCTGGCTACTCCCAGTCCCCTATCCCAGCACTGACTTTGCACCTCGATCGTTGATGCCACCAGCCTGCACCCTGAGGACAGCCCCTGAAAAGAGCTAGCAAAAAGTGCTGCAGAGCATGAGGCCCCAAGCTCAGAGACAGGTTCCTCTTTCAGGTTTAACAAATATAAGTTCTGTGGTCCTGGGAGATGTGTGCTCACAACGTGTTTCACTGTGTGGAAAATGAGTGGGTTGAATGGGACCATGGCTTAGGTTCCTTATCCAGACAGCATTCTATGAATCTACAAATGGCTTAGCTAATTTTCAAATCTCACTGAGCTCATTGCCTGAAAATTGCCTGAAGTCATGAGTTCCACCTGCTAATAGCACTTTGAAAAAACAGATTTGAAAAATAAAATATCTGGATCCCTCAAAAGCTATTTGCGAATTTATACCAACATGTGCTAAATGTAAAAGCAAAGCCGTTCACTCTCTTTTGCCTCTAAAATGAAATTTCAAAGGCAGGAGTTCTAACAGTGAAGAAAAAAATATCTACCACAAAGTTTCATGTTTCTATAAAAATAGTGCGTCGATTACATCGTTTAGTAGACACAAATGAACACTTGAAAAAGGACGGAGTCAGGAGCACAGAATGAAGGTTTTCTATCTTAGAGCTTGATGCTTCCCTTCAGTTCCTACCCACCCCCAATCACTCCCACACCTGTAGATACAATTTGGGTTTAGATTTGTTTTCTCTCTCTTGCCATAATCTCTCAACTTTCTCTATATAGCTTAAATGGTTCATTAAACACTTTCTCCAAGAAACTAAAACACATTCTAGAATAAGACAATATGTGCCGTTTAACTGAGAGCAGGACACAGACTTCTGGAGAGGAGGGCCTGGTCTTCCAGCCTCCACTCCCAGCCCACAGCCCACCCGGTTGGAAGGGCTATGGTACCACTATTCCACAGCATCAGGCAGGCAAGAGGGCTGGGGCTCATGTCCAGTGTGGTCTGGAAACATCTGCCACCCTGGCCTCATCCACCTGCTAATTATGTGCACCAAGCCAGATCATTCACTCTGCCTGGGTCCTGACCAGGCAAAAACCACAGAAACTTGACTTTCAGGCCAAATCTGAACCTCAGAATGGGCAAAGACTGCAGATGGGCAAGGACACAGCTTTTCATTAAAGTCCATATGCAATATTTAGACAGAAAGTGCTCCCTGCTCCAGAAGACTCTCTGGATCCCCTGGAAAAAGGCAACTTATGTCAAAGCGCAGGGTCACAGGAGAGCATGTTCCTACAGCAGTGGTCTCTCGGCAAGCAGACCTAGTGCCTTGGCCCTAAGGGACCCAAGGTCAACGGCAGGTACACTCAGTTTTGGTAAAATTAAGTTTAAGCCAAGAATGTCACGATGATTTCTAAGCTCCTGACAAGGGCAATGTTCTGTTTAATGACCGAACTGTGAGTAGCTCCTCCGGAAGCAATATTGTAAAATTGAGGAGCTCACTCTGTAAAGACAAGAAATGTGCTGTGGATTCATTCATCGTGGTAATGGCCCCCAGCCCAGCGTCTGGTACAAAATAGATGCTCCATGAATAGTGCAAAAAATAAAATAATCACCCTTAAAGGCTACAACTTTTTCATTTTGCCTTCTCAAATTAGATGTTTCTGCATGGGAGGGATTTAATTCTGCTTTGTCTTTGGACATTTTCACCTTTAACCATAAGCAGATTTTTGTCTAGATGGAAAAATCTCACACACAAAAGAACCGAAATGCTTTTCACATAATAGCTCAAGAAATGTTTTCGGAATAAATAAGCAACGGAAAATGATTTGAAAATAACCAGAATTTTAAAAATTATATGCATGTGTTTATATATGTTATGTGTATGTAGTTTTATACATATTTGTGTATAGATATATAGGACTTATTTTTAGATTTGTGATTTAGTAGTCCCTTGGTCAAATTTCTCTTTAGAATCTCGAAGCTTAACATTTATTATACATATAGTGATATTTTTTTCCTTTCCTGGGAGAAAGGAGAAAATAACAATTTGTGAATTTCCGCTATTTTTCTCAAGGATGTCACACCATGATCTGAATGTATGTTTCTAAGAAAGATAAATTTTACTTTATTGCGACAACAGGATGGATAGTGCTTGCAAAGTTCTTATGAGAGAGGTCTCATCAAAAAGTTTGCTACTTGCTGTTAAAAGTTGTTTCTAAAGCAGGAGAGGAGCACTGCCAATAAACCCCCCTTTCTGGGTCTCTGAGTCCTTTGAAATTCTGCAATTTCTACTCTTGCTTCTTTCAGATGACCTAAAAATTAGACCTTGCCTAAAGAAGGAAGCTCCTCAGATATTGGTAAGAAAGTAACACTAGTGAGCATCACCTGGAAAGAGTTACTGGGACAATTCTCGCTCCGGTCTGACACTATTCATGGCAGGGGTGGAGATCAGGAGAAAGACAGGATTCACGCTGCAGAAAACTGGGCTCTACTTCTGACCTTGTGAACCTGGGAAAGCTCTGCAGTCCTCGGCTTTGCTCATTTATAGAACAAGGGTATTAGAAATTTAAGATGCCAGCTATGTACTTCATTCATTCTTCAAATGGTTACTGAGTGAAGAGCACTGTTCTTTGTCCTTGAAGAATCAACAAACAAATAAAAATCTGTCCTTGTGGAGTGCACCTCTTCTAACTTTCTACTTACCTTTGGGGTACGCATTTTGTGGACACAACATGGCGTATAGCATTCTAGAAGCAACGAAATGCAGACCTTCTCAACTCTTAGGTTGTTCCTTGAGCTCATTTCACATTCGGAGAAAGAAGTACCTGCTGAGGCAGATACTGAGGCAAGTAGTTTCAGGAATACTAAGAGAAGTGTGACAAGCCCTTAACCTAGAGGAGCTCAGCATTTAGTAGGGAGGCTGAAAGACAGGAGAGTGAAGAATAAGCAAATAATGATACTCATTCCAGGAGAATTCTGTAGGGAGATAAATCATATCCTATTAGGAAACTGAGTGATGGACTCTGCTAGGAGGTAAGGTTTAAGTTAGATCTTAAAAATGGTTACATTTACAGAGGGATGGGGAGTCTAAGAGCAGAAAATAGCATCATTTATTATACATATAGTGATATATAAAATATCACTATATGTATAATATAGTGATTTTACATATCACTATATGTTTACATATCACTGTATGTTTACACAACTACGGAAAAGCACAGAGCATGTTGGGAGAAATGGGAAAATGATTTGCTTGGCTGCCACAGAGGGTCAAAAGAGTGCATGGGGATATGAGCTGGCCAAGGCCTACAGCCCGACGATGCCAGCCTAGGGAATTGTGCGTACTTTGGCCACTCCTGAGAGCTTTGAACACAGGACTGACAGGCTCACATTCAAGATGACAAAGTCAGTGTGGCCCAGAGGAAGCAAAGAACAGTTTTTATCAAGTCCTGGCAGCAACAATAACAACAACTAAGTGATTCAACTCAACAATAATTGAGTTGCCGGGTCTACTTGCTGGGTGCTGAGGAAGCAAAGACAAGCTCAAGCTAGCCACTCTCTTTAACTGTTAGAGAACACCAGCCAGGAGAAAAACACGGAAGTTCAGGACCAACAAAATGTCCAGGCAGGAAGGAAGAACCCCAGCCACCTCCTTGTAGGGGAGGGAAAAATAGTGCATGGAAAAGGGAAGATATATGCTCAGAGGATCCTGAGACCTGAAAATATCATCTAAACTCTAATCCAGCAGCTTTTAGGGGGGTTTTATCTGCCCAGGCGTGGTGGCTCACACCTGTAATCCCAGCACTTTGGGATTACAGATCACTCAGATTTGCAGATCACTCGAGGCCAGGAGTTCCAGACCAGCCTGGCCAACATGGTGAAAACCCATCTCTGCACAAAATACAAAAATCAGCCGGGTGTGGTGGTGTGCACCTGTAGTCCCAGCTACTCAGGAGGCTGAGGCAGAAAAATCACTTGAGCCTGGGAGGCGGAGGTTGTAGTGAGCCAAGATCATGCCACTGCACTCAAGCCTCGGTTACAGAGTGAAACCCTGTCTCAAAAAATAAAACAAATAAATAAATAAATAGAGGGGATTTATCCAATATAATGTGGACATAGAGAAAGTTCTGAGGTTGGATTTCAGTTAAGGAAAGCACCTGTTACATCATTCGGTCAGTCAGCAAACATTCAGTGTGGTGTCTAATATGTTCCAGACACTTTTCCAGGCACTGGGTAAACAAATAGGTTCCTGCTCTAATGGAGATTACAAGTTAGAAGGGGAGACAGAGAATAGCACATAAGCAGAAACTATGTAACAAATTGCGTGGTGCTAAGTGGTATGAAGAAAAAGCAAGCAAACAAGCAGATGGAAGAGAGCACATTGTGTGTGGTCAGAATAAGCCTTTCTGAGGGTGTGATATCTGATAAAGGGGGTCAGGATGCAGGTGGCTGGGGGACCGTCCCTCCAGGTCAAGGGAACAGTATTTGTACCTGGCACGTTCTAGGAAGAGCAAGGACAACTGGGGACTCGGAGAGTGGCAAGGCAAGCCCTGTAGGCAAAGTAAGGAGTTTGGGTTTCATCCTGAACAGGGCTATGGTCAAAGAAGTAACACAATGTCCACTCCAGGAGGACAAGGACTTGTGACTGTTTTGCACTGTGATCCTGCTACATCCCAGCACCTAAACCAATGCCTGGCACACAGCAGATGTCTAGGCAGTATTTGTTGAATGAATGAATGAATGAGAAGACTTCCACTTTTAAAGGCTCGTTTGGGCTGCTGTATAGGGAACAGACTGCAGATGGGCAAGGACTACAGAAAACCAGTTAGGAAAGCTTACTAGCGCTTAGACGGGGATGGCTGTGCTGGATGGAGAGGGAGAGAGAAGGGACAGAGATTTATTGAAAGCTGGATCTGGGTGAGAAAAAAGTCAGAGGGACTCACAGGTATTTGACCTGAACAACTGAAAGGACAGAGTTGTCCCTGAGAGAGATGGAGGACACCAGAAGAGAAGCACGTTTAGGGAGCAAAAATCGGGGGTTGTATTTTGCACATGTTAATTTTAAGCTAACGTGCCATTCAAAGGGAGATGCTGGGCGGTTGCATTTTCAAGTCTGGAGTTCTGGGAATGAGTCAGGGCTGACGAAATAAACTTGGAATCATGAGCATGAAGACAGTGTTGAGAGAAGGAATTTAAGTAAGAAGGGAAGAAGTCTGAGAGCCAAGGCCTGGGGAATCCCCGTACCCGCATTTAAAGGTCAAAATTCAGTTGAGATCAATCGGGATAAAAACTCAGGGGCCATCCAAAGAGCCTGAGAGAGAAGAGCCAGAGAGGCTGCGGGAACACCAGGAGAATCTGGTGTCCTGGAAGAAGCCAGGTGCTTAAGAAAAGAGTGGTCCCCCACAGCCCCATGGGAAATGCTGCTCAGATCAGCAAAGCTGTGCCCTTGTACTTCACCAGGTAGAGATCATTGGTGACCCTAATGACAACAGGGAGGGGAGTGACAGGAACGAGTGACTGATACCTGATCGAGGTGCTCTCAAGACAGGCAAAAGGTGAGAGGTGGCAGAAACACAAAAGTAGCTTCAAATAAGATGGTGATCTTCTGGTCTCAGGCTGCATGGTGGGTGTGTGTCATATTTTGCTTCATATATTTCATATATGTTCAATGTGCTGTTTGTCAAAATCAAATATGTCACAATAAAATATGTCTTTAGAGGCTGAGATGGAGGGAGTGAAGAAGGCCAGTGGGACAACCTTTTTGAAGCATATTCTTTAAAAAGAAACAGAAAATCCATCATGGGGGATGTGGAGTCAGGGAGCGGTTTTATAAATGTCATACATCACAGTACCATTTGTATGCCAATTATTTCCTTATCATCATCCTCTTTATATGCAGGTCCTATGCCCGGTCATGTAGAGGGGACACCAAGGACAATGCTGGGGGTAGGCAGGGGGAAATAAAGCTGGCAACAATCCTCAAAACGATTTTTTTTTCCAATTTCAAAAAGCTCATTTCTACAAAAATAATTTATATTCAAAATAGAGGGAAAACGTCATTAAGTAGTTTTAAGTTTTGATGGCACAAGGAATTATGAATAACGGTAAAGAAAAAAAGAAGTCCTTTTGAGGATAAAAACTTACTGACTGCGTCCTGTGGTTTCTTCAGCTCATCTGTGTGTTACAGGAAAGAGGATGAGGAATCACTTGCTGATTGATTTCATCAGCTCTGGTACTGACGGCACTGATGGCAAGGTCTTATATGTTTAATTTTATTCTCCCCATCTTTTCCCCCCTTAACCTAGATCTCTGAATTTTAACAATGTGTAGGGCTGAGATTTATGTTTCTCCAACTGCTCTGACTTGAACCCCCAAAGCAAAAGCAAAAGCAGGGAACATCCATGCACGTTAAATGGATGTCAATTTCAGGACAAAATGATTGAATTACAATCCCTGGCCATGGATGTGAATTTTGATCTTTTTTTTTTCTTTCACACACATGATATTTCCCTGACATCTGTGCAATACAAATATATCTAGAAAGTGTGAAATGGAAAATCTGCTTCACTAAATATATAAAAGGGACCCCGAATGAAGTCTCCATGATGGCATTTGTCATCATGGGCACAGATGGCGTCCTTTCCCAACTCTTCCCCCGCCCCCCTGGTACCGGCTTAAGTTCCATCCACCAAATTCTCCCTGCATATCACATGCATAGATGCCTGATAACACCAGGAGAGCCTGTCTGTATGCCACATCCTTATTTTTCAGGCCTCCATATGCATCAAGCTTCAGACCAATAAATCAGGAAAAGTATCAGTTCTGAACAAATAATGCAAACAGTGTATACCACTTGTTGCTATGGGAATCCAGATGACCTAGGAGCTTAGTGATCTTTGTCATATGTTGCCAGTAAGTAATTGCATTATTATCATTCTCCTTTCAGTGCCCATGTCACAGAACAGTACAACTACTTACCAATACCCACACATCCAAACACTGTGGGATGGGATACATAAAATTGCTAATATGCTGCTTTGCTTCCTAAAATATTTAAAGAGGCTTTAAGACACCTAAATGCATGGCATTGAGGTTCCAAATGGTGGTCAGAAAGTCTGTGAGAAAAAGACGTAAACGATAAACAATATCGTTAAAAGATTCGACCTGCTTCTATATCTCATTGTGTCTTAACTTGGAAAAGCAATGGTAATGAATAAACCTCAGAAAGTAGAAAAGATTGAGCTGAGTAAGGAGGTTGTGAAGCTCTGACTCCTGCCTTTGGTGGGGCGGGTGGGGGGTGGCAGTGTACTACTGGCATATGGCTTATGTATGTGGGGGATGTTATAGGAAGTTGAGTGGAGCTAAAGAAGTGGAAAAAAAGAGCAAAATGAGGAACCAGAGAGAAACTGAAAGGGGAATTTGTTGGATGAATTGCAGGGAACACTTTGACCATAAGAGTTATTCAGCTGTGAAACATACTCAGTGGTGAGAATAAAAATGCTTGGAACCTTGGCTATTAAACCCCCAAATTCTAAACACTTTGTACATTTTGGAGATTGCATACTTTTTCCACCACTGCATTCCTCACTGGGAACAAGAAATGCCACAAATCTTTCCCCTTAATATAGTAAATTTAGTTTTACAAATAAGAAAGGATTATAGAAATGTATAAAGAATAGTTTTAACAGAAGGCTCAAAGTAGTTATCAGATAACCACAGGCTGCACCATGTAGCCTTAATTATTTCTTCTCTACATATTGCCAAATTAAATTATTTCTAATCTTTTTCTCCTTTCAACTTGCTCAACTGAATAAACCAACAAAAATAATCACAGAATGGTGATGTTAGAAGTGACCTTTGGGATTACTTGATTCAACTTTCTACTCTTAAAGAAGAAGAAACTAACCCTCAAAGAGGAAAAGTGACCTGAAGAAAACCCCACAGAGCATTTCATACTGTTTTCTCTAAAAGTCCGTGAACATCAAATGTGCCAACGGCTGTTTTACAGAGAGGACATGTGGGTATTGCAACTTCCTGGTTTCCTAATGTAGCTTGTCCTGTTTTTTAGGATGGAAAAGGAAGCAGGTAAATGGGAGAGAAGCAGGTGTCTTGATGTCTGTAAGTCACACCTGTTAGTCTAGAAACCTGCCATTGGGAGACTCAGTCAAGCTTGGCTGGCCCAGGAAGGATGGTTGTCTCTGGTCTAACTGTAGGTCATTTCAGAAGCACTTACAGTGGTTCAATGTTGCTTGAGCAAATAATGAGTAGACATTCCCTAGACGTGTCCATCATCCTAGCAAGCTCTGGTTGATAGAACCAGGACTTAGAGAGAAAGTGGGCAGAAGGGTGCTCACGTCTTCTGTTTAAGTGTGGATTAGAGGTTAAAGTGCTTGGGCCATGTTTCCTTCTAAGGCCAGAGCAAGACAGAACAGAGCAGTTATCAGATAAATTTTGTCAAAATGGATAATCCAGATCATTCAAGGAAAAAAATAAATAACCAAAACCTACAGCATTTGAACTCATTCTCTACGTGTTTTTTTGTTTACTGAGGGTGGGTGGTGGAAGGCCTGGATTTGAGTCCTGGCTCTCGGTTCCCCCTTAAGCATCTTACATAACCTCTCTGATTCCCCCAGCTGACTCACAAAGTGAAGGATTCCTACCTACCTCCTGCCTATACAATTAGAGGGCATTTTTATGACCTGAAATCCACTCAATAAACATTTCTGAGAACACATGATGTACCAGGCAAACTGCTAGGTGCTGGAGAGATGAATATAAACATGTCCTTGTTCTGAAGAAGCTCATCCCATATTTAAGATAAGGAGACTGTGGCACATTTACAACTCAGATAACTGCAATATTGTAAGTGCTATCTTAGCTCTATGAACAAAAAGGCTATGGGAAAACAGGAGAAGAAGTGGTTAATTATGCCTTGCAGGGACTGTAATTTCAGGATATTATTTTGATTGTAACTTAAAACAAATGAGTGCACAACTACGGAAAATTGTGTGGCTAAGCATGAATCAACAAATACCTTGACTATACCTAAATTATAAAAATTACCATAGCGCATGAAAACACTGCCTGCCTGCCTATTTAGACCAATCATTGCTTCACCCATTTTTGTGACAAGCAACAGCGCTAGCAAGTTTTGAGAGCAACACCAAATTACATCAGAGAAAGTAAGTCTCATGCCATTGTCAATTACTGCATAGGATGAAACAGCTATCTAGAGTGTCTCATTAGAAACAAACAAAAACCAATGATTGGAAAAAGTGAATTCTCAATTATCTAAGATGGGGTTGGAATGAATAACTCCACAAAAGGAGAACACCTGTTATCCAATTAATTCAATCTTCTTCTCTTTTCCCCAACCCTCCACCAAATGTTTTGCTATAGTGGACAAAAAAAAAAAAAAAAGACCTGTTTGAGTTGGTGAGTAATTTCACTTATGGGGAAAATGCAGACGCTTGGGTTTTAAAAGCTGCAAGGTATAAAAATAAGCCGCAGATTCTACAGTCAATCCTTGGTTTGCTTGCATGGTTCACGTTATAATTATTTGCCTTTCCAACACTGGGTAACTTTTCTTACTCCTCTGTCAGTTACCACAGAATGCTGGAACTAGAAAGAACGATAGAAACCAGCCAGTCCAACTTCCTTTACCATGAGGAATGAGACTCAGGCTTGTCTTTCCATATCACATCTGGCCTTTTAATATTTCTTTTGTTAACAATCATATCAGATGGAAGCATAATAGAAGGTAAAGCTCAAAGTGATCTTGTAATACATCCATCTTTAAAAGCCAGAGTGTAAAAGGAATCAAGTCAAATGATGCTATATACACAAATAACAGAGCTGCAGTCCCTCTGTATTGATACATTGATGGGCTGTTCCAGCTCCGGATGTGACCTCCCTATCAAGTCAATAATGTCACAATCTAAACAAACTTAGGCAATTTGCCTTCATGAAAAAACTACTCCAAAAAAAAAGAGAACTGTCATTCCACAAAGCAGCCAACTGCACTAGACTGGGATTATAGTGTGGAATTAGTCAGAACGTGGATTATTAAATAAAACACTAGAACGGCCAATTTGCCTGGAGGTCTAGGAATTAAAATAGTGCTTTGTTTTTCCAATGCCACATTCCAGAGGAAGCAGCAAGCGGAGGGAACAGGCAACAGGGAATTCTACCAACAGGGAATTCTACCACAATCTATCTCTCTACCAAACAGGCACACACATTCATACCAGGGTGGGCATGTGGACTCTAATCCCTTCTTAGTGGAAAACACACATTTTTAAATGAATCCCCAATCTAGAATGAATTACCGTAATAGCCACAGCCGGAGTGAGTCTGCTGATGAGAAACGCAGATCTGGCCACCTGCTTTGAGACGCCTTGGACCACAACACTGCCGGGGTCTTTAACGGTTGGCCTTTTCGGGTAGGGCATCTGCCCTCCTAAATCGCGTTTAAATCCCAGGAAAAGAGAGAAGATGCCTCCCTCAATTTTTGAACTATGCTGCTCTTGCTGTATCCGTTTCTGCTGAACATAGCATTGATATCTTTTCAAAGAGAAGGGGGGAAAACAAGGGGAGAATTGCACCACTGCAGATTCCAAGAGAAGTAAGCACAAAACTACAGCAACGTCAAATAATATCTTCTTCGGCAACTAGGAAAATCCCCACATGCTCTCTGGTGTCAGCCCAATGCAGACTGAGGCGCGCTGTGCCCGGAACCACAGGAAGCCGGGCATCTCTGCAGCCTGTGTCCCTGCCAGCTCCCCCTACGCGCTGAAATTCGGCAGGGAAGAAGTTATGGTGCCCAGCCTCTGTGTGCAAGACAGAGACACCGCGCATCATGGCTCTGAAAATCAGCCAAGTGGCCGGGACGTCAAAGCGGCAGAGCAATCAGAATGCCCTGGAGCCGGGGATGGAGGGGCCACATTGTTTGAGCCCTCGGATTTTGCTGCATTGTCACCGCCCGGGAACGTGGGGGTAGCAGGAAGCGCACCTCCAGCCAAAAATGGACCGGACGCATTCCCCCCCCCTCCCCGCCCCGGCAGCTCCCTCCCTGCCTGTCTGCAAGTCGCAATACGGTAGGCGACATGACTGCTCCCGCTAAAACTCAGGTGGCAGGCCCGGCTGAGCGGCGCAGCCGGCCGGTAACAGGGAGGCGCTGGGGGAGCACCCACACAGCGCCTCCTCCCCTCCTGCACCCGTCCATGGGAGCAAGGGCCGGACCTGGCCACGCGCCCCTCGAGCGAGCACCGGCGAGCCCGTGCGGAGGCTCTGGGCGCTCTCTGGGCTAACCACGGGCATTGCATGGGACACAATTGTTCAAAAGCGAGCCCAAGGCGAAGCGCAAATCCAGAGCTTTGGTTCACAAGGGGTGGGTGTGGGCTGGGAAGGGGGATTACGTAGGTCTCTCCGCCCCCTCCCCTGACACCTCCTCGCCACTGGGAGGGCGCTGAGGGGCGGGGGAGGCGCTGCGAACCCGCTTGGGGGCTTCTTTGTTTCTCTCCGTACCCCGCAGGAGGGCCGGGTGCGCCTGCAGTACCCAAGCCGGGGTCGCCACCCGGGGATGCCGGCCCGGACCGGGCGGCGGCGCGACCCAGGCTGACAATTGAACCTCGCGGGAGAAGCGAGAGGGTGGGGAGGAGGGTGGATCTCGGCCCCGAGAAGGGAGGGCGCTGCCGGGGCCTCGCGTGCGGCGGGGAAGCCGCCCAGAGAAGGGCGGGGGGGAAGGGGCGGCAGACAGTGTCCCCGCGCTACGCCCGCTTACCTTGGCAGCCCTGGCCTGGGCACAGATCATGCTCCTGTCAGCGCGCAGATTAGAGCTGGGGGGCGCACGTGCCCCGCATAGTGCACCGGGCGCCTGGGACTGGCTGGGGAGGGGACCCTGGCGACCGCCCGCTCTCGCTGCGCTCTGGCTGCCGGGTGCCCCGAGAGAGCGGAGGCCACGGCCACTGTCACGGCGGAGGGGCGCGCGCGGCTCGGCGAGTGTGTGCGCGAGGAGGGGGCCGGTTCGGTCAGAGTCGCACGGTGTTCCGGCTCCAACAACAGCGCCTGATGCGCGGTAACGCAGCACACTTCATCGCTTTATCCTCCCGCTTGCATCCCCTCCCTCCCTGCCTGCTCCTCTGTGGGTACCAGACTCCAGAACCAACCACAAGCCGGGCTTGCTCTCATTAGCGCTGCCCCGCCCTGCAGCCTCCGCGCACCCCCACCCCCGCCCCCGCGGTAAATATATATCGATTCTTGTTACCGCCGGCCCCATCCTTCCAACACCCAGCACGCGTACTGGGCATATCCAACACCAACCCTGGCTCCTCGGCCCTTTTGTGTGTGTGCAAACAGTGTAGCAGAAAGGATGCGGTACAGACACTCTAGGCGGGTACCCTGTGACAGGTGTTCTTGGCCTCTGTCTTAGACACTTTCCTCGCTTACCTTACACACAGTTAAGAACGCTCAGAGACACATTTCAGGAACCGTCCTGTATTTGCACAAGCACACAAAACATCGTAATGACAAATGCAAAGGATGAAAATCACCCCAGAATATCTATTGTTGGGCAAACCTAGCTCCCAAACCGCGTTTTCTATTACACTGCACACAGTGTCAGAATGCTAGAACGAGAAGGAGGCAAAGTCTAGACCCTTCCAGGTACAGCCAACTGAGATGCAAAGAGAAGTGAAATGCTGGTTACTATTGGTGGTTGGCTGCTCCATGTATGCACATTTTTGTGCATCTGGTCGACATTTGGTTTGTGTGTGTTCACATAAAATGCAGAGGCTTTGAGCACATAATCTCTATAGCCTGGGATTTTATGATCCAACCACATTCTCTACAATGCTGATTTATTCCTTCCCATTATTTTGCCCAGCATCCTCTACATGAGCTTTTTTTCACTTTCTGAGAAGTTATCTTCTTTCCCAGACCCCAAACTCCGCCTCCTCTAGAATAAACAAAGGCTTCACCCTGACTTCAGAACTCCTTACTGAAGACCTGAGTACGGACTTGTCAAAACCAAATCTCCTTCCCCTTCCACCCACAGTGGCTAGTTTCTCAGTGCCTCTCATTCCACTGACCTGCCTCTTGGCATTGATTTCACTCTTACAACTGGAACTTTCCAGAACTGGAAACTTTGGACGATGTGAAGGCAGCTTCACCAGCTGTGCTCTTTTCTGCAAGGAGGCACAGCCCTTCTCTTTCCGTATTCCACTTGGGGTGCCCAGTCCTTTCCTGACAGACCCTTTTCTTTGCCTGACAGCAGTCAGATCTTCTGGTCAGATGAGCTCAAAGCAGACCATTTTCAAACCTTAGCTAAGAATCCACACAGAAAGCTGTGCACACATTTCTCCGGATTTTACACTTGGATTAGTACCAACTCCTATATGAAGAAAACTCTCCGAGAATAGACTTGAACAGGCTGTGGCAGTAAACAGCAACAGCAACCAACCATGTGATGTTTCCAACCAGAGACTTGAAAGAAAACAAAAACTTTCACATAAACCAGCATCCATGGTTTCTAAATTAGCACAATGTCACCAAACCACAATAAAGGATAATTTTTTTACCTCAACTAATTGCCAGGATGTTCACCTCATTATTTTCAGTGAATCAGCATCAACTTGGCTCAGAGATGTTTGCTCTCTGTTCTATCCATCATGGAGATGACTTGACAAGTCCACATCTCTCATAGAGGTTATTGATGTAGCAATCCTTGTGGTGTGCTTTATCCTCCCCTGAGGAGTTGCTTTTTTTATACTGAAGACAAAAGATATTAAAATAGCAGTACACAAAGTTTCACATCCTGAGTAGATAAAGAAGCCTTGTAGAGCAGCTTCTACATGTCAGGTGCAATGGCAGCATATACAGACTCCTGTGTATTGTCCCCTTTTATTTTTATTATTTTTATTTTTTGTGAGGGGTCTCACTCCAATGCCCAGGGTGGAGTATAGTGGTGCAATCTCCATTCACTGCAACCTCCGCCTCCCAGGCTCAAGCAACTCTCCCCCCTCAGCCTCCCGAGTACCTGGGAGTACAGGTGTGTGCCACCATGCCTGGCTAATTTGTTTTTTGTATTTTTAGTGGAGATGGGGTTTTGCCAAGTTGCCCAGGCTGGTCTTGAACTCCTGAGCTCAAGCAATCCTCCTGCCTCAGCCCCCCAAAGTGCTAGGATTACAGACGTGAACCACCATGCCTGGCCTGTTTTGTTTGTTATTCCTAACAGTCCCCCTGTAGTCTGGGTAGCATGATCCTATTTTACAGAAGAAAGCAAAAAGGCTATGTTAGTTCTGTAATTTCCTTAAGTCTTGTTTCAAGCAGAAGACCTTGAATCTGGAGTTTACAGATGTCAGCTGCCCTAACCTTAAAGAGAAGAGTATTTGGTGGAGAAAGGAAAAGACATGGCATGAATCTTAAAGCCATCCTAGTAGTCATATTTATTAAGTTTCTAATGTACTCAAAATACTGTTATAAATAATAAGTCACAGTCCCAGTGCGTCCCTCCTAATACTAACCTTATATAATGGCGTAAAGTGAATGTTGAAGGTTTTGAGATGCATATACAAACACCTGTATTATCATAATGCCCATGCAACCGAATCTTCCACCTTTTGTAACTCGAGGCCCAGGAGGACCCAGGGAGGGGGTGACATGCCTGCTCACCTGCTCATCTCAGGCCACATGCAGATAAAGATTAGCAAACAGAGCACCATTCACAAATGGTCCCTACAATGCTGAGAAAACGATAACTTGAACCAATCCGGGGCTTTATCTTTGGGGATAGGCCTTCAACATAATGTCGGAAGTGAACGCACTATAACTAGGGGAGGAAAAAGACCGAGCTGTTGAAGCTATCTCACATAGTCTCTGCACAGGAGCAAATTGTAGCCAATAATACAAGATTGTCATTTGGACTTTCCTAATGACTAATGATGGTGAGCATCTACTTTTGTGCTTCTCTTCCATCCGTCTATCATTTGTAGTAAAGTGCTCAAAATTTTTGCTCATTTTTAAGTGGGTTGTTTGCTTTTATATTGTTCATTTTTGAGAGTTCTTTCTGTATTCTAGATACAATGTCTTTGTCAGATAAGTTTTCTGAATATTTCCTCCCCATGTGTGGCTTGTCTTTTCATTCTCTTAGTAGTTTCTGTCACAGAGTAAATGTCTTTAAAGTTGATGGAGTTCAATGTATCAACTTTTTCTTTCAGAGATCATGCTTTTGGTATATCTAAGAACTCTTTTGACTAACCAAGGTTACAAAGAGTTGTGTTTTGCTGATAAGTTTCAAGATTTTACATTTTACACTTAAGTATTTGGTTCATTTTGAATTCTTATTATTTTTTAGGTGTGAGCTATGGATGGTGACTTTTTTATTTGTTGGCTTGTTTTTGCACATGGGATGTCCAATTCTTCTAGCACCACTTATTGAAAAGATCCTTTCTTGATTGAATCGCTTTCGCAACTTTTCAATAATCGCTTGGTTAGATTTGTAGGGGTCTCTTTCTATATTCTCTGTTTTGTGCCTCTGATCTGTCTTTCTATTGTTTTACAAATAGTACACTATTTTGTAGATGTATACTGCCTTAAAATCAGGTAGTGTGAACCCTCCAATTCTGTCCTTTTTAAACATTATTTTGGCTATTTTCATTTCTTTGCCTTTTTATATGAATTTAGAAATGGTTGTCAATATCTACAAAAAAATTCCCACTGGGATTTTGATTGCAGTTGTGTTAAATTTATAGATGAATATCAGAAGAACTGACATTTTAACAATCTTCCAATTTCTGAATACCTTTCAACCCACAAACTTAGCATTTCTCTGCATTTGTTTAGGTTTCCTTTGATTTATTTCATCAGTAGTTGAAGTTTTCAGTATGCAAATTCTACACAGATTCTAAGAGTTTCCATGTAGATTCTAAGAGTTTCATTTTTTTGGTACTATTGTAAAAGGTATTGATTTTAATTTTGAATTTCACTTTGTATTAAAGTGTACCTGGGATTTGTTTTAATTAAGTATGCACATGCAGACATACAGACATGGAAATGCTTCTCATGAAGGGAGAAGTTTATACTCACAGAACCCTAGAAACAGGAGGCATGGCATACCGCGCAGGGCCACAGGGGGAGCTCCTGGGTCAATCAGGAGGCAGAAGCCTGGGAGAGCATGGCTCAGAGCCTCTATTTTGTATGCTGTGGTACGGAATGGCCAGGCAGGGCAGGCCAGTTTGAGCAAGTCTAGGATTTGATAGTTCCAATAATTTCAGTGGCTGTGGGCTACAGAGGTAGTCTCTAGTTGTCCTGTACTTGTCCCTGGGGAGACTTAGGGCAAGGGAAATTGGTTTGCTATGTGAGTTGGACAAAGGAGGTGGTTGTGGGCATGGACTCTGGATTGGTTGGTTTACATATGAATGGTGGGCTCTCAGACAAGTTGTTTGCCATCTCTAGGAATTAGCTAGCCCTGGGAGGGGCAGTTTCTTCCAAGCCTGCAAAGTCCCTAAGATGTCAAGGCACCACAAAATATGGAAAATAAAAAAACATAAAAACTCATTCACTGGTAGAATAGAAAAAAAATAATTAGTGTGTGTGTGTGTGTGTGTGTGTATTTTTTACGTATCCTGTGACCTTGCTGAACTCATTTATTCATTCTAGTAGCTTTTGTATAGATTTCTTGGAATTTTCAATGTAGATAATTATGTTGTCTGTGAATAGAGGATGTTTTATTCTTGCTTTCCAATCTGTATGCCTGTTGTTTCTTTTTTCTACCTTCTTTCACCAGCTATGCTTTCTATTTATTGCACGTATTTTTTATTTTATTAATTAAAAAATTTATTAATGAGCTTTTACTTTATGATAGGCAGTGTAAATATCAATCACACTAAACTTGTGGTCAAGTTAAACATGTAAGTACAATATGATACAGGTGCTGAGAGAGGGACATGTTATCAGTGTGAGAGGAGCAACCACTCTAATATGGCTAGGGAGGCTAGAAACGCCTCTATTAATAGAGCTTTGAATGAAGAACAGAAGTTTGTTGGGTGACCAAAAGACATCCGAAGAAGAAAGAAAAGCATACATGAAAAAGCAGAAGACAGAAAGAACAGAATGTACTTGGGAATGTACTTGGTGAAGAGTTCAATTTGACTGGAGCAAAGAGAGTGGTGTCAGAGAGAAGACTGGAAGCAAAGGTTTGAGACATACGTGATAGGCCAAACATGCCCTGCTCCAGCTGTTAGAATTCATTTGGCAAGTAATGGAGAACCCTAAAGATTTTTAAAGCCAGGAACGGAAACAACGAGATTTGTCATTTAAATATATAGCAAAAGCCATGTGTGGTGGCATGTACCTGTAGTTCTAGCTACTTGAGAGGCTGAGGTAGAAGGATCACTTGAGCCCAGGAGTTCAAGTCCAGCCTGGGCAACATCATGAGACCTTGTCTCTATTTTTTTTTAATTAAACATAAATAAATGAAAAACATATTGTGAAGCAAAATATACAGTGTATAAATTTTACAAATTATTATTTGTAATACTTTTAGATTATTAATATATGTTGATCAAAAATTAAAATTAAAAATTCAAAAAAGAGAGAGATGTTGATAACAAGTGTCAGATGAGGATGGCAGCTGGCTAATTTGCCCTCACCCACCTTTCCATCAAAATACTTATTAAAAAGCACGAGACTAAGAAAAGTGACACACAAGTATGAACTATGAATGCTTATCAACAATTTATCATATGCCAGAAAGTTTCTCACTAACCTAATCAAAGTGTGTTTAGGCATTAAAACACAGCCAGACCAAAAAAAAGAAAGAAATTAGAAACAAATGCCTTTAGAAAGGTGAAGCCTTCATTTAGGAACAGCAATAGAGGGTGATAATAAGAGTACAGACACAAGGCAAATCACCTGGGTTTGAAACTTCGATCAATTATTTACTTCTTTGTACTCTTCTGCAATTTATTTAAATTCAATTTCCTCATCTATAAAACTACTTATGAATATTTTTACCTTAAAAATTGTTGGCTGGGCGCAGTGGCTCACACCTGTAATCCCAGCACTTTGGGAGGCTGAGGCGGGCAGATCACGAGGTCAGGAGATCAAGACCATCCTGGCTAACACGGTGAAACCCCGTCTCTACTAAAAAATACAAAAAATTAGCTGGGCATGGTGGCAGGCGCCTGTAGTCCCAGCTACTGGGGAGGCTGAGGCAGGAGAATAGCGTGAACCCAGGAGGCAGAACTTGCAGTGAGCTGAGATCGTGCCACTGCACTCCGGCCTGGGCGACAGAACAAGACTCCATCTCAAAAAAAAAAAAAAAATTGTTGAGAGTCAAGTGAGATAACAAATGTAAAGTTTATAACGTTGTGATTAATACGTGGTAGCCTTCAGTATTCCTTAGCTCATTCCATCAGTAATGTTCTTTTCAAGTCCATTTGGAGATTTCAACAGGCTGTAATGTATATGACTAAGTTTAAAAGTGTTTTGAGGAAAGTGAGATATTGCAAATTTTTTTAAGTTTTACTCAAAAAATTTTTAAACCAAATTACACAAAAGTAAAGTGGGCAAAAGTTACTAAAAAACTTTGATGGATGATTTAAAATTTGCAATGAATGCATGAAAAATTCTTAAATAGCCCTATGACCCAATTAAGTGCAAATTAAATTGAGATACCTTTTTCCTCATTTTAGGACTTGTATTTCTCCTGGTAGGAAAGTAAATCATTCCAACATATCTGAAGTGTAATTTGCATTTATGTCAAGGATCTTTACACAGCTCCTGTGATTAAATGTAATGCATCAGTTAGTTATTGCTGCCTAACAAACCATCCCAAAACTTAGTTAACAACCATGTACTATTTCTCCTGAGTCTATAAATCCACTATAAATTGCTGATCTAGTCCAGACTAAGCTGATCTCAGCTGGGCTCCTTTGTGTGGGCAGTTGGCAGGTTTCCTAGGAGCTGGCTCATCTAGGACAACTTCATCTGGGACAACTTGGCTCTGTTCCATATGGTCACTCATCCTGTAATAGGCTATTCCAGTCTTGTTTTCATAGCAGTAGCTGGAGCGAGCGAGCGAGAGAGAAATATGCAAGGCTTCTGAGGTCTGGTCTCAGAACTAGCACACTGTCAGTTCTACCATATTCTGCTGGCCAAAGCCCATCATGAGGCCAGCCCAGATTCAAGTGATAGGGAAAGACACTCCACTCACTGATGGAAGGAACTGCAAGGCCACAGGGTAAAGAGTATGAATACAGAGTGGATGGAGAATAGAAGCCAAAAAACAACAGTATTGTCAGAAATAAAAGAGATAAGAAAACCACACTGGCCAAAATCTGAGCAGGAGTCTAACAATTGCACCCTTAAAATGAAGGACTGAGATTGTATTCTTGGACTGTATATCACATAATCTGACCTCTGGAATCTAGCAGGGATCATACAACATCAAATGAGGTAGGATAAAACTTTGAGCCCTCCTCCCACCACATTTTCTTTGACCAACTTTGAGGCATTCACCTAAACACACCAGGGGTCATCCTTCCACTGTTTGACATTTATCTTCTGAGCTGGCTAAAAATGGTCTTGCAATTGTCCCTCTATTTTTTTTTTCTATTCATCCGCTTAGATCTATATCTCACAGAATAGACATGACAGAGAACATAAGGGCCAGGAAGAGCTACACTGCTCTCTAGAATGCTTAGTCACCCATGATGAAAGCTTTATGAGCTAAAGTGGATCCAGGATGAGCTATGGAAGGAGTGAACACTGGAGCAGGAGTATAGACTTAAATGAAGTATGCTCTTCAAAAACATTGCAAACTGGGTGTCCAGTTTAAATAACCTAGCCTACCAAAGGATGTATACACCCAACCACAATCCTGTAGACCCCTGTTGCCTGCAAGGCACTGAAAGTTACAGTTAAACTGAAGTCAGCAGTGAGGAGGCTAAGAATGTTCCTCTCACCGCACACTCCAAGAACCTGGAGAACTCTCTGGCCATTTGAGGAATCATAAAATAAACAATTTAAAAACAAAAATGGGAGCACTAGAAGTACACCTTATTAAAGTGATAATATTGTTCTGAGAAATTTAAAAAAAGATCATATAGATGAAATAACTTTATGCCAATTTTTTTAATTTAGAAGGTATTTCCTAGATAACTTTATAAAGTTGACAAAGAAAATATAAAAATTTTAAAAAAACTGATGGACGTAGATATACAAAAAGGAGAGGAACAACAAAAATGTAAGAAAATTCTAAATGCAAATACAAATTAAAAATCAATATTGGAGACTGACAGGGAAGAAAAGGCACTATAGAAAATAAAGGATTGATATAAAAGATAACCCTGAGGAAACTACCAAATTCCAGAGGAAAATGACAATGAAATGGATAAGAGAATAAATGCAAGCTATATAGTACAGATAAAGGAGCCCCAACCTTAAAGTTTTGTTTTTCTCAGGGGAAAGAGGGAAAACTTGAACCAAAAGTAAAATAAAACAATCAAAACTTTACAGAAGCAAAGTTTCCTGAGTTGATGTAATCCTTGGGTCTACAAGTCTAAAGAATTCTTGGTATTCCAAAAAAATATATAAATAAATAAAAATCTTACACCTAAATATATAGTAAATTTTAGATTATTATCAATACTGAAAAAATTATACAAGTGACATTAAACATATAGAAAAAAACAAAAGAACAAAAGACTGGCTGAACTGATTTCTATTCTCCATCATCAAATGCTAACATACACTAAAACAACATTTGAGAGTGCAAAATATTTTGTCAGTAAAAATTCTATACCTTCCTAAGTTATTCAGATGTAAAAGCAATAGAAAGATTGCTCAAGATATCGAGGAGTTCATAAACATAATACTCTTGTACCTTCCTAAAAAAATCTCCTCTAAAATATACATCAAGACAGCAAGATAGAAATAAAAATGCAGAAATATAGAACTACAACTTACATATTTTGACTCTGTGTGCCCACCTAAATCTCATGTTGAATTGTAATCCCCATGTGTCATGGGAGGGACCTGGTGGGAGGGGATTGGATCCTGGGGACAGATTTCCCCCATGCTGTTCTCCTGATAGTGAGTGAGTTCTCAAGTGTGTCGCTTTCCACCTTGCTCTCTCTCTGCTGTCACCATGTAAGGTATGCCTTGCTTCTCCTTTGCCTTCCTCCATGATTGTAAGTTTCCTGAGGCCTCCCCAGCCATGCAGAACTGTGAGTCAATTAAACCTCTTTTCTTGGCCAGGTGTGGTGGCTCATGCCTGTAATCCCAGTACTTTGGGAGGCCATGGCTGGAGGATCACTTGAGGTTAGGAGTTCGAAACCAGCCTGGTGAAACCCTGTCTCTACTAAAGTACAAAAATTAGCCAGTCGTGGTGGCTGGCGCCTGTAATCCCAGTACTCAGGAGGCTGAGGCAGGAGAATCGCTTGAACCCAGGATACAGAGGCTGCAGGGAGCAGAGATCACACCACTGAACTCCAGCCTGGGCAACAGAGTGAGACTCCCTCTCAAAAAAATAAATAATAAAAATAAAAATAAACCTCTTTTCTTTATAAATTATCCAGTCTTAGTTATTTATAGCAGTGGGAAAATGGACTAATATAACAACTGAACATTGAAACCAATTAAATATAAATCTCATTAGAACTTTGGTAATAGAGTAACAAAATCAATGAAAAAAAATGCTCTTATTGAAGTAGAAGTTATATATGGAAAAATCATGATAAAGTACAACTGTAATTGTGTGTTGATAAATTGTGTGGCTAAAGACAGGAAAACTGATGGTTGGGTGGGAGGTAAGGATACACAATAGTCGTTGTTCTGATTTTGATAATTTAAAAAATATGAGTACTTAGTTGATTAAGAAAACTTTTTTGGAAAGCAGTTGTGGAGTATTTATTAAAATATGAAATATGTTATGCAAATACCCAGCAGTTTTACTTATGAGTCTATTCTTAGACAAAGCAATAGTTAAACAGGTAAGTAAAAATATTTATGTACAAGGATAGCTATTGTTTGTAATAGCTATTGTAATAGCTATTTATTGTTTGTAATGTACAAGGAGTATTGTTTGTAATACAAAACCAAGCAAAAAACTGGGAAAGACTTAAATGTCCATTAATAAGGAAATGATACATATAATCAAAGGAATTCTATGTAGCCATTATAGAAGAATGGAGGAGAGCTATATGTGCTGGTCTGGACAGTTGTCCATGTTTTATTGGTAAGTGAGAATGAAAAATTATAATATGATCCCATTTTTGTAAATAAAACATGTTATTGCATATTAATAGCTAAACATCTCTATATTGATTCATGCCAATATAAATATATTTTATGTCTATAAAATCATAGGGAAAATATAGGAAGGACAAAAACCAAACTGTTAACAGTGCTTTCCTCTGAGGATTAGGCATGGGAGAGCTTGAGCTCTTTTAAACCATTTAAATACTAGAATATAAAATAAGATTTCAACATCTTTTCAATCCACAAAATAGAAGCAAACAAATCATAAACCATATTCATAGAGACAGAGAAAGATAAAGTAATAATAGAATTAAGGTCAAACATACCATTTGGGTCTGATAATTGTTGCCCTATTTAAAATAAATGGCTTAAATTCCTCTTCTAAAACTCCTGAAGTTAACCAAGCATGGTGGCGCCCACCTGTGGTCCCAGCTACTCAGGAGGCTGAGGTGGGAGGATCGTTTGAACCTTAGAGGTCAAGGCTGCAGTGAGCCATGATTGCACCACTGTACTCCAGCCTGGGTGACAGAGCAAGACTTTGTCTCAAAAAAAAACATACACACACAGAACCCTGAAGAAGGTTTTAAAACCAATATAACACGTTAATTCACACATATACAACATATATACATATATTAAAAGTGTAAAGTAAATATAAAGAGATTTAAAAGGAAAAGTAGGCAGAATAGGCAAAATAATACATTAAAATAGCATTTGCAACTCTACTGACAAATTTAAGCCTTAAACATACCAACAAATTGCATAATGAATAATTTTATACTGATATTAATTATTTATAAAAAAAGTTCTTAAAATTGGCTGAAGTGGCTCACACCTGTAATCTCAGGACTTTGGGGAGGCTGAGGCGGGAGGATCACTTGAGCCCGGGAGTTCAAGACCAGCCTGGATAACATAGCGAAACCCTGTCTTTACAAAAAATAAAAATAAAAAATTAGCCAGGGATTATGGGACAGGCCTGTAGTCCCAGCTACTAAGGAGGCTGAGGTGGGAGAATCACTTGATCCCAGAAGGTTGAGGCTGCTGTGAGCCATGTTCACACCACTGCACTCCAGCCTGGGTGACACAGTGAGACCCTGTCTCAAAAAAAAAAAAAAAAAAAAAAGAAAGAAAAGAAAAGAAAAAGAAAAAGAAAAGAAAAAAAAAGTTTGTAAAGTCAGAATGTGTAGAATAACCTTGTATCAAGATGTGAACAAGTGTTAAGCACAGAGAAACTGTTTACAAAATCTTTTTTGGGGTGACTTCAGTAAATCTGAACTAATTAATACCATATTGCACAGAGAAATTTAAATTGCATACTTAGAATAACATTATTGAAAAAAATAGTAGACACATACCACGTTTTAAAAATCAAACAGATATGTTTGATTTAATCAGCCAAGAAACATTTATAAAAATGGACTATATACAAGGCTACAAAGTAAAGCTCCTGAATATCTAAAATATTTAATACTTCATATATTATAATATATTAATAGGTTAAAACATCTTTGTCTTCTTTCATATTTTCCTCCATAGGATAAATATTCTTTGACTCTTTCTTTCTAGTTCTTAACTGCAAAATCCTGGAACTTGCTGGTACACATTAACCAGGTCCTGCAAACCCTGCAGTGTGAAACCTATTTTCTCTATCTTGGAAAATAGACAGTAATCACCAGTTGTTATGCTGAGACCTGACCCTAATTTAACAGGATAGAGATAATGACAGGAGATCAGGGCAAATTTGACAGAGGACAAGATTCATCTTGTAAGATTCTTGCCTCACATGTGCCTCTACAAGGCCTCCAAGCAAGGAAAACTTTTCTAGCAAAGGCGAAACAGAGCTGCCTCTGCTGGACTATGGTTTTCAGGAAAATCAACCAAATGTCCCACTCTCAGGTCTTAAGTCCCATTCTTTTCCTACCAGGGACCTAACTTTGACATAGGCAACCTATCAAGGCTGTGCTGTGCATTCAGTTTCTTTTGCAGCTTTACCACTCTCTGACAGTAAGATCGTTGGCCTGATTTTCAGCAGTCTGCCCTGTCACTGAAAGATGTAAGGATTTCCCAAAGTCCTGTCATAGAGACCTTCCGGCTTTTATAACATGCTGGAAGTGCACAGTTAGCTGATCTAAGCCTGTCATTTTCTCTGCTAAAGGATTCCAAAACAATTAAGAAAACCCACTCAGGATGTTACTCCCCATGCATCTACAAAGATAGGGTTATAAATTATTTTGTTCTATTGCCAATAGAACAAGGATGCCAAAAAGGCATCCTTTTTCAGTGACTGGATGTTTACTCAAATAATGGTAGGTATTGAATATTTGAATAAACATCCGGTCACTGAAAAAAGATGCCTTTTTGGATGTGTGTTATTAGCAATAAAAGGTCATCAGGGACCTTTCTATACAGTGGTTCTTGATATCTTTATGATCAGCTCAAACGTTCTACTTCCACACTCTGGGGAAAGTCCTAAACGTGCTAGAGAGTTATTCAAATTCTTGGTGTGCTCATATTCTCAGTCATCTCTGACCCTGGACAACTTCTGCTTGCTATCGTAATGGACTGCATTGACACAGATGTGATGCTATAGGATGCCCCAGTTACCCCTGTTTTCTTTCTTTGTCCTGACCAAAAATGACAGAGTACTTCGACTGTTCTGTGACCTAGCCAGCTGCATGATTTCCCCTGCAGGCTTGAACCAAAGCAGGCGAGTGGACTATTCCCGGGCACTGATAAAGTTGTCTAGGTTTTTGCTCAAAACACTGAAAGACCAACCATGTTGCTACACCTGCAGAAACTAGCCCCGGCCTTGAGCCAAATTCCTTAAACCCTCAAATAAACTCCATAACCTGACCCCTACCCCAGCCCATTACTGACACATGTGGGTAGGACATCTTTTGTCTCACTGTCCCTTGGAGAATGCTGCAGCCCTTTTGATGTAAGTTACCCTAATACATTCTTTGGACTGAGCACCCTGGCGTTTAGTGCTTTTTTCTTTGGAATCTCAAAGGGTCCCATCTTGGGATGGTTTGGGGTGGTTTCTTGAGGGAAAACTTCACTGTCACTGCTTTTGGGATTAATCCGGCTGCAGGTTCAGCCAGACGGAACAGAGGCTGTTCTTCACCTACCCAAAAAGAAAAAAAAAAAAAAAGACAAAAATGACACATGGAGGTATTTCTGGATATTTGGGAGTAGGTTGTAAGGGAGGGGAGGTGGCATAGCAAATGTTTACCGACTCAAAATCTAACAATCTGTTGTTCAAATTCTCTCCATCATTTTGCAACTGGAGCTTTGCCCCACCTCACGGGTTCTTCCCTTTCCTCTGGTCCTAATTTCCTCCCACCAAGATTGCCTTGGAAACCAAAATAGTTTTTCCTCCTTACCTTTATGAAGAGATAAGCTTCCCTCTAACTCCTCCCCAAAACTTCCCCACACAAACCCTTCAGCCCAGCAGAAAGGTGCTGCTGTTCAACTCATGTCACTTTTGTTATCAGACATACAGATTATAAATAATAAAATTAATTATTCTCTTATACTTTCCTAATTTTGACTCATTGTTATCCCCTCATAGTCTCAGAGTGCATAATACTAATGCTTTTACAAAGATACAAGAATACTCCTCTACTGTCAAGATCTATTTATCCCAAGGTAAAAATTTCTATGCACATTCTACTATGCTTTATTGCCTTATGTAGTCCTAAAGTCCAGTTCCTTCTTTTTCTAATTATTCTCAGTAGCAGTGGCTCATATATGTACAGGTGTGTTTTTCACCTTCTTTTTCTCAGTTTCCCTCATTTGAAAATGGGTACAATAATGTCTTCATAAGTTTATTATGAGGATTAAACAAATAAATACATGTAGGCACTTAGTGTCTTCTTACTACAAATAAGTTTCGGATATATGTTAATTATTCTATTTTCATTATAATTAGCACATGCTGGACCCAAGAGTCCTCTAGTTGCCAAAAAAGTACAACATAATGCAGCAGAACGTCACTGACGTCAACAAGGGGCAGAACAGGAGCTGACTGGGAAACTTCACTGCCAGTTTAAAATAGCACTTATTACAAAGTACTCCCCCACCCTCCAGTCCCATGTTTTTTCTGTTTTTTTGAGGCGGAGTCTCGCTCTGTCGCCCAGGTGGGAGTGCAGTGGCACGATCTTGGCTTACTGCAACCTCTGCCTCCTGGGTTGAAGTGATTCTCCTGCCTCAGCCTCTCAAGTAGCTGGGATTATAGGCATGCACCACCATGCTGAGCTAATTTTTGTATTTTTAGTAGAGACAGAGTTTCACCATATTGGCCAGGCTGGTCTCAAACTCCTGACCTCAAGTGATTCACCTGCCTTGGCCTCCTAAAGTGCTGGGCTGCATTTTTGCACATAAGACTCTACCCCATTCTTAATGTATTACTTCTCCAGCTAAAGACTAGCAAAATAGACTGAATCTCATGTTTTTCTACAGACACACACACACACACACACACACACACACACACGAGATCCATGTGACATATTTCCCAGCCATACCTGCACACCATCCAGATTTCAGAGCTTCCTGTTGGACATAAAGCTCATTTGTGAAATCCCATTTCTGTACATGTTGAAGAGTGTGTTCTCTCTCCCATGAATATTGGGAGCATGTGGCTGCCAACATCCTGGTAGAGTTGTACTGGGGAGCCATTCTCCTCTTTTTCTTTTGCTCCAAGAGGAGACTTAAACTCAACATTTGCCTTATTCAAATGGGTAAGATAAGCAATGTGTCTTAAATAGCATTCTTATAATTAGAAATAAGCATGCAAAGATGAATTTTGGAATTTATGCCTTTTTTTTCCCTGAAGAGCAGTTTTCTAAAATCTGGGGGAAAATAGTTTATGTTCACACCAAGTTTTTGAAAAAGACAAAAGAAGTCTCAACAAGCCTTCTTGTTTTCTTAATTTTCGCTTTGCAACCTGAATTTTATAAGTTGAGTATAAGTACAAAATGTAAATGGTAAAAAAACTAGGCAAATTTTTTGACACCCGTATAATGGATAAATTAATAATGCTTAAAGAACAATGACAAAGCAAAAAGTAAAAGGAATAATCCATTAGAGAAAGAAATAAAAAGGACAAACTAGTTATGAAAGAATTACAAGTGACCAAGAAACATTAAAAAAAAGTTATACTAGTAATCTAAGGTAAGCAAATTTAAGATGATGGGTCTTAAAAAACGTTTTAAGACTAGTGTATTAGTCTGTTCTCACATTGCTAAAAAGAACTACTTGAGACTGGGTAATTTATAAAGAAAAGAGGTTTAATTGACTAACAGTTCCACAAGCTGTACAGGAAGCACGGCTGGGGAGACCTCAGGAAACCTACAATCATGGCCAAAGTGGGAGGGGAAGGAGGCACGTTCTACATGGCTGGAGCAGAAGGAAGTGAGAGCCAAGTGGGAGGTGCTATACACTTTTAAACAACCAGATCTCATGAGAACTGTATCATGAGACAGCCCTAGGAGGATGGTGCTAAACTATTAGAAACCACCCCCATGATCCAATGACCTCCCACCAGACCCCATCACCAACATTGCGAATTACAATTCAACATAAGATTTGGGTGGGGACACAGAGCCAAACCATATCAACTAGTCAAGTGCAGTAGTGAGAAGGGGTGAAAGAGTAGAGCAAGCAGTTTGCTCTATAACTGACTGTGAACAATCAATTGAGATAACCTGCTACCTTCAGACCAGCCAGATCTTTTTGTCTAAGAAATTTGTGGATACTAATGATAAAGTAAACAAAACTACCTGATTTTGGTGATGGTGCTGGAATACTACTACTCTCTTACAGCATAGAAAATGAGGATGAGTTGATTCAAACTTTGTAGAAGGCAAACTGGAAATGCTTTTAAAACCTTATCCTTTGACTCAAAAATTACTCTTACAGGAATTTATCTTAGAAAGTTATCTAAGAAATATTTAGATATTTATCTCTGGTGATGCTTAGGGGGTATTTTTGCAATTGAAAAAAATTACAAATTACCCACAAATCCAAAATAGTACATTTGTTCAATGTAATATGGCATTCTTCAAATGGACTATTATACATAAATTGACAATGATACTGTAGAAAGATGATGGATGATATGGAAAAATATTTATGGCATTTTAAGATACAAAGAAGGTTAGAGAACTCTCTCTCTAGCTATGCATTCTTTTCTTAACACAATTCAAACATTCATAATCCTTCAAATTTCTTATCCAACACACTTTCTTTATTCACACGTTCTCAACTTTTACCTAAAAGGAAAAAAAAATCTTTCCTTTAAAGCAAGCTTGTCTAACCCATGGCCTGTGGGCCCCATGCAGCCCAGGATGGCTTTGAATGCAGCCCAACACAATTTTGTAAACTTTCTTAAAACATTATGAGACTTTTTTCTGACTTCTAATTTTTTTCAGCTCATCAGCTATCATTGGTGTTAGTGTATTTTATGTGTGGCCCAAGACAATGTGGCCCAGGGAAGCCAAAAAATTGGAAACCCCTGTTTTAAGGTAAAGATAGGACCTCTCTCAATTTCTATCATGACACCTACAAGGTTCTTGACTTACAGCCATGGATGCTTCATATTCTCTCTCTCTCTCTCTTTCTCTCTCTCTCTCTGTCCTTCAACAGTGAAAAGGTACTCCCTCATCTATTCCAAGCTCATTCTATCACCTGGGTTTTTGGGAGCAATCTGGCCCCCTATAATAAATGAAGGGCAGGGCAGACTTCAAATGGACACTCACATATTGTGTGCATAAACAATTTAAAATTAGAATTCAAGTTAACTGTTATGTAAAATATGTTCAATCCTCCTGATGAACAAATATGCCTTCCTAAGACTTGGAAAACCAATTTGGAAATCAAATTCCTGGGAAGTTCTGAGCTGAACAAGCTAGGTGCAGGAATGGCTGGCCCTGGCTTCACTCTCAGCCTGCCCTCCTTCTCTTCTGGCCTTGGGCTCCATCCCACACTGAAGGGACCTCTCCTGCAGGTCCAAGCTCTGTGCAACCCCCAAAACAGTCACCTTTGACCTCCACCTTAAGGGTGGCTCAGAACTACTGAGCCCACTCACAGGAGGAAGAAGTCTGGGAAGAGGCCACTCGGACCCAGAGGTGGCTGTGCAGGGTCTTGTAAACAGAGAGTGAGCTTCCAATGGGCATCAGACTGGTCCCAGGTAGACACATCTCCTACAGACGTTCCCTTTCCTTCAGAGAGGGGCATCTTCTGAGGAGGGACAGAACGACCCGGGACCTGGTTTTTGTCTTCTCTCATCACAGGGAGACCACCACTGTGTGTGGGAGAGAGAAAGGTTGCTCTTCTTGGAAAAGGTAAGATTTACTTTTTGTTTTGAATAAGACTTGAATACAATGTTTAGCAATGCTGAAGAACAAATAAAAATGTAATGGTTTTACAATTTAATGAGTCTTCTTTTATATATTTTAAATAGTCCTATGTTAATTATAAGATGGGCCACCAACAGCCTCAGGAAACTTACTCCATGTAAAATTCCTCTTCCCAGTGGATTCTTTCAATTGTCATTCACCTGCTAAGTCTAAGTCTCTCGAGTCTCATCTTTAAAAAAATCTTATTAGTAAACACATTGATTCCTAGACTGTTCATGTAGTATATTTTCCCAGTTTATCATTAGTATTTGGATGTTTTATATATCATCATTAAAAAATTTGTATACACTTCCAGAAATCTTTTTGTTTTTCAGTGTTGTGCACTGAGGATCATAAGTCAAATCACCTTCAATTTCTCGTCTTCTTCCTGCTCCCCAAGGTTGTATATTCTCCCATATTTTCTTCTTGAACTTTAAATTGTGCTATTTTTTACATTTAGTTACTTAGCTTATTGGAATTTATTTTAATATATGGCATGAAATGCTATTAATATCTAACCTTTCCTCTAGAATGGAACCAGATATTATAACTTAATCTTACTATATGGTGTGAAATCGTATCTAACCTTTTCTGCTAGAACTTAACCAAATTTTATAACTTAATCGGTTGACAAATCACTTTCCTACTTTTTCATAAAAGATGCCGTTCAGTGAATTATCACCATGTGAACACATTCATAAAAACACCATCCAGCCCAAGAAATAAAACATTGCCAGCATCTGGGATGCCCCCACCAAGTCTTTTTCTGTCACTGTATATCAGCAGTGACCAGTTTGTGCTAGAAAGGAAAAATCATAATAATTACTGTATGTTTACTAGTCATGATAGTATCATATAGGTAGTAGTATAGGTCTATACTACTAAATATAGTGGAAGGTTTCTTTCTTCTATTTGTGATGTTTTCCATTTCCATGTAAATTAAAGAATCCTCTTCAACCCCCCTCCCCCAAACATTTAAATATTGATTGGGATTACATTGAATCTTATATTAGTTTCAGGGCATACTGAAATTTTTGCTATACTGAATGCTCATATACCTCCTCAAAGTATTTAATTCCCCCAATAGTGCTTTAGATTCTGTGAAGAACTTTTCCTTATCTTTTGTTAGTTTTATTTTTATATGTCAGATGTTTTGATATTATTTTAAATAAAATATTAAAAATTTTTTAATGTCTAATTGTTTGTTGCTGGTATATAGAAATAAAGTTGAATTTTTTTTAATCTGGTTTCCACAGACCTTGGTAATTCATGTATTAATTATAATGATTTATTGGTATTTTTTAAGGTAATTACAAATACACAATCTTACCATCTGAGAAAAATGCGGGTTTTCTTTCTACCTTTTTAATCCTTTATCTTTCATTTCTTTTTCTTGTCTAATTACACTAAGACCTCCAGCACAATATTGAATAAAAGTCAAGTAGGCAGAAATCTTTATCTGGTTCCCAGTCTCAGAAAGCTTCCAACATTTTACCATTTGACTGTTCAGAGATCTGCTATAGGTTTTTGCAGATACTCTAGGTTAAGGAGTTAATTCTCCTCTCTCCCTAATATACTGAGAGTCTTTTCCCCCTCAATAAAAGGATGATGAATTTTATTAAATGCTTTCTCTATTTCATTGAGGTTATTATATAAGGTTTTCTTTTTTGTGTGTGAATTTGGTAGTTTATTTTTGAATGTTAAATCAGCCTTACTTTCTAAGAATAAATCAAAAGGTTAGTATTATTTCTTTTTACATATTACTAGCATGGAGTAAGATTTTATTTTTTTATCAGATTGCATTATCAAAGTTTAGCTGGCTTTACAATATGAATCAGGCAATGTTCTCTTTGTTGATAATATTTTCGTTCTGTCATTTTAATATTTGTGAGATGTCCCTTTGTTCATTCCTTATATGAATGATGTATGTTTTCTTCCTCTCTGGTTCTTGATCATCTTGCCAGAAGTTTATCAATTTCAGTAGTATTTTCAAGGAACCAACTTTTGGAATTGATAATCCTTCACATTTTTCTACATGATAATGATGATGATGTCATACTTTTTACACTTACCTATTTTATTTCATTTTTTTCCTGCTTATGGGTTTAATTTGCTGTTCTTTTACTAATTTTTAGATGGATGCTTAGATTATTGTTTTTCAGTCTTTCTTCTTTTCTAATATATGCATTTAATTCTATAAATTTCATGCAAGTATGGCTGTAGTTGCATTTGACAAATTTACCATGTTACAATCTCATATGTTGGCCTAGATGGAGAAATCCTTTTCTGTGCTACATTGTAATTGCTATATTCTGTGTGCACTGGACTCTGTTTCTGAACTTTCTTTTCTGTTCTATTATTTTTCTGTTTATTCTGGTCATATTCCCACCTTGTTTTACTCTTCCTGGCTTTATAAGATGATGTGATAGCTCACAGAACAAGCCCTCTTCATTGTGTAAGATTCTCTTGGCTCTTATTGGGCACTCATTCACAGTTATGAACTTGAAAATAGTTTTGTCACGTTCTCTAAAAATATTTCATTCCACTCATGTTCTCACTGGAATTTAAAATATAGATTAGTTTAGAAAGAAGTGGCATGTTTATGATATTAAATTTTACATCCATGGATATGTCTTGTTATTTATTCAATAATTCCTCAATAAATATCAACCATTATCTACATTGTTTCTCAATTTTACATTTATATATTATAGGTTTGTAGATTTTAATATAGATCTTATATATATGTATTTCCCAACAACAGTAATTGTAGGAATTATCTTCCAGGAAATATTTCTGGGTATTATTTTTCCATTCTAGCACAAACTGGTCACTGCTGATGTGTAGAAAAATTCATTGACTTGGCCGGGTGCAGTGGCTCACACCTGTGAGCACTTTGCGAGGCCGAGGTGGGCAGATCACCTGAGGTCAGGAGTATGAGACCAGCCTGGCCAACATGGTGACACCCTGTCTCTACTAAAAATACAAAAATTAGCTGGGCATGCTGGCAGGCACCTGTAATCCCAGCTACTTGGGAGGCTGAGGCAGGAGAATCATTTGAACCCGGGAGACGGAGGTTGCAGTGAGCCAAGATTGCGCCATTGCACTCCAGCCTGGGGGGACAAGAGTGAGACGTCTCTCAAAAAAAGAAGAAAGAAAAAAAAAGAAAAATTAGTTGACTTGTTACTATTTACTTTTTAACAGGTTAATGTTTTTAACTATCTGTTTGATCTTATGATTTTTTAGTTAATTCTGTTGGCTTTTCCAGATAAAATCATATCACCTGCAAATAATGATGACTTTCTTTTCTTTTTCAGTATTCCCATTATTTTCTCTTTATTTCTTATTGCATTGATTCTCTCAAACATGTTAACAACTGTAGTGACAGCAGCCATGGTCTTTGCCCTGATTTTAATAGAACTATTTTTAGTGTTTCACTACTAAGTAGAATATAGGTAGTAGGTATGTATTGCATTAAGCAAGCCACTTTTTATTTTTGGTTTTCTAAAAGCTTACTTTTATTTATTTTTAAATTTAAGAAGGCTGATTAATTTTATCATCCCTTTTCAGCCTCTATGATTCAAGGATCTCAGTTCCAAGTGAAAGAACTGAATAGCAGATCTAATCAGAAAGGGAATTTGTAAACTGGAACCTGGGGGGCCCAGATCATTCCCATGGAAGATGGGGAATCAGGCTGGCAAAGTCCTCAGAAAGGGGAGACATCAATCAGGATGACAGCCACATCATCCATGAAACCAGTGAGATCACTTCCGCATACCAGATGACCCTGGATTCTTCTGGGGGCACAGCTGTGCTGCCACCCAAGAGCATGGACATGATGCTGCTGCTGGCCTGACTTCTTTGCTTACCTATTTAATTTTTATTCAAATTTGGTGTCAGTATGATTGGCCAAACCTAGGAGATGTACCCATGCCCTGGATGCAGAAGAAGCTGAAAGAACAGATAATTTCTACTTCCATCTTCTCTCTCACACCGTACATTACTCACAAGGTATGGAATTCCATAGACATAAGAAGAGGTTCTGATGCTGAACAGTCACCTACACACAATCACAGAGGCAGCTTCCCTACTTTAATTTAAATTATGTAATGGGTTGCCTCCTTTAACCTATTAATGCAAAAACACATGTTCTATTAGAGTCCCTGCTGCTGTATGCCTGGAAAGACAGTTGTCCTTGGCCATGGTGCATTATTCTTTTAATATGGTATCGGTTCAACTTGTTCATACTTGCCTATTTATAATCAAGGGTGGCCAAGTAGTTTCCTTTTCTGTGCTCTGTGAGGGTTTTCAAAGCTATACAAAATGTGTTGAGAGGATTTCCAATTTTATCTAGGCCCCCAGGCAATTCATGTGAACCAAAGCATCATCTGTTCTTGGAGGGATTGGTCTAAATGATCAATAAAATAGCCTAGTATATTTTGGGACAGACATTCTTTGACAATATTCCCAAACTCTTCCACAATTATTGGTCTATTCAGGTTTGTCTCTGCTGGAATCAATGTCTTAGAAAATGTCAAAGTCTGAAGTAAGTATGTTGAAGTCTGTGAGAAAGCAGCAAGAACTGGTTTCTGGTTCCTGAATACGAGTGGCAGGGATTGCAAAGAGGTCATTTCAGCTCAGTAGACTGTTAGACTGTTAAGTTATCTATGAAGGGGATATTGAGAAAGGGTCTGTTCGGAGGTTGAAAACTGGAGGTGTCTGGTTGGACATACAGAGTGAATTTCTTTTTAATGAAACTGGTTTGTTCCTGTTTGCTACAGTTCTCTAAATTCCCAGACTTTGTCACACCTCAATATCTTCCTAAGGCTTGAAGGCATTTAAGTCTATTTCCCTTTATGGTATCATTTTTAAAATTCTTTTTTACACTTTGAAAATTATAACAATAATACATGCATATTATATAATAAGTCAAACAATGCATTATAAATAGGTATAATGACACAGCGAATCCTCTCTAACCAGTGCTAATAGCACGCTGTGTGCCAGCCCTCCTATCCCTCACATATACATTTAAGCATATCTGCTTTCTCTCTATCTTTGTTTTTTCTGAAATGGAATCATACTATATCTACAATTGATTTTCTTTTAGTGTTTCATTGTGAAAAATCTTGAACGTGTACAGGGGTAGAGAGGAAAGCATAATGAATTCCTATGCATTCACCACAGAGCTTTGGCAAGTACCCACTCATTTCAATGCTACCCTCACCTATCCACCTCCCCCACATCTTGGATTAATGTTATTTCTTTAATACGTGGCATCCCCCACCCCTGCTTAACATTTTAGTTTTTAAAATTTCAAACCTATAAAAGACGCTGGAAGGCTAGCACAATCCATTTACCCATCACTTAGCTTCATCAGTTGTTTTTCACCATTGAAAATATTTTATAGACACTCTTATATTTACGGCAGGAGTTTGGTGAGATGCTTAAAGCAAGCTGGCCAAGTTCACCCAAACAGAAGGATTGAACCAACATAGCTGCTGAAGACAAAGCAAAGAAGGAGCATCCATGTAATGATTGTTGAGGCAGGCAAGCTCTCATGCTTACCTGGGAGACTTCCAAAAACCTCTTTTGCCAAAGCGCTTGCAGACACTTAGGATTGGGCCAAGGCAGCTGTGTATTTGAGGTAGCTGCACCCCTGGAGGAAGCCTCTGGGAGCACTGGGTCCTGGCCTTGGACTCAGCCAACTTCTTCAGTGGTCAAACCTCTAGGCAATGTTTCATTTAATAAACTGTTGGAACAGCAAGTAATTCCAAGTCCAACTATTTGTAGATCATTCCAGTTGCCTCTTGAATTGGGTGAAGTTTATACTAATGTTGTATTTCTTGTCAATTCTCCATGTATTTCTAAAAGATTGTGCTTTACATACTTTTTCAAGGCATTTTTGTTATATCAAAGCTCATGACATTGATAGCTTCATTTTAAATGTCAGTTTTTATAAAAGAAAAATGATCCATTTTCCCCCTAGCTAGTAATAAGTAGCACACCTTTACCTAGCCTTCTCTGTACTCATGTCCCTTCTTACCCTGGAGCAGCAGTAAGCAAGTCTTCTGAGAAATCTGAATGCCAGCCCATTTTCTCTGTATAAATGTTTCTATCTTGGGCTATGATGAATTATACCTAACATCTGCCCACATAGTGATGTTTAAATCTCCTCTCCAGATTCAGATATGAAGGGAAGTTTGGTATGCATCAAGACTTGAAGTCTACATCAACTAATATCAACATCACAATCCCAATAATATTTTGTCTGCATCTCCCTGCTATGCTGTTAGGCATTCTAAGAGGTTTAGCATATCATTTTGTTTGAGATTTTAACTTTTTATTCACTATCTAAAGCTACATAACAAATTACCCCAAAACTTAGTGGCTTAAGTAATATACATTTATTATTTCATGATTTCAGTGTGTCAGGAATCTAGGGATGGCTTATTGGATGGTTCTAGCTCAAGGCATCTCATGATCATGGTTATGGTTAAGATGTTACCCAGAGCTGGAGTCATCTGAAGGCTGGACTGGGGATGAATAATCTGCTTTCAAGATGGCTCCCCTCACATACTTGATCAGTCAGTGCTGGTTGCTGTAAGAATGTCTCAGTCCCTTGCCATGCAGACCTCTCTGTAGGAGTGCTTAAGTGTGTCCTCATGACATGGCAGGTGACTCCTACTCAAGGGATGGATCCAAGAGAGTGAGAAAGGAGGAAACCATAATGCCTTTTATAATCTTGTTTCAAAAGTTACACATCATCACTCCTGCCACATTCTACTCATTAGAAACAAGTCATTAAGTACTCACTTAAAGGGAGGGAAATTAGGCTACCTCTTTTTTTGGTTTTTGAGACTGGATCTTGCTTTGTCACCCAGGCTGGAGTGAAGTGGCATGATCACGGCTCACCACAGCCTCAACCTCCTGGGTCAGGTGATCCTCCCACCTCAGCCTCCTGATTAGCTAGGACTACAGGTATGTGTCCCCATGCCCAGCTAATTTTTGTATTTTTTGTAAAGATGGTGTTTCGGCATGTTGTCCAGGCTGGTCTCAAACTCCTGGGCTCAAGTTACCCTCCCACCTCAGCTTCCCAAAGTCTTAAGATTACTGGTGTGAGCCACTGCACCTGACCAGGTTACATCTTTTGGGGAGGAATATTCGATAATTAATTTATTGACCTCTTTTTAAACCATGACAAAGTCTCCTAAACAACACTAGTTGGACTTTGTTTGGGGACACAATTCAAAACTCTTTGTCATCTAATCGTAATGTTTAAGCCATATACATGGACGTTCTATTCCTTCCAATTTTATGCCCTCTAACTGTTTACTTCATTTTCTTGTAGTGTAGGTCTATTGTTGATGAGTTCTTTCAGACTTTGTATGACTGAAAGAGTCTTTATTTCATCTCTGTTTTTTCTTTTTATAAATGTAGAGGATACAAGTGCAGTTTTGTTACATGGATATATTGCATAGCAGTGAAGTCTGGGCTTTTAGTGGACCCATCACCTGAATAGTGTACATTGTACCCATTAGGTAATTTCTATCCCTCACCCACCTCCCACCCTCTCACCTTTCTGAGTCTCCTACATCTATCGCTCCACTCTCTATGTTTATGTGTGCACATTATTCAGCTCCTACTTACAAGTGAGAACGTGTGATATGTGACTTTCTGTTTGTAAGTATTTTACTTAAGATAATGGCCTCCAGTTCCATCCATGTTGCTGCAAAAGACATTATTTCATTCTTTTTATGGCTGGGTAGTGTTCCATGATGTGTGTGTGTCTGTGTGTGTGCGTGTGCGTGTGTGTGTGTATCACTTTTTCTTTATCTAATCATCCATTGATGAACACTTAGATTGGTTCTATATCTTTGTTATTATGAATAGTGCTGCAATGAATATGCAAGTGCAATTCTCTTTTTGATATAGTGATTTCTTTTCCTTTGGTTAGATACCCAGTAGTGGGATTGCTGGATCAGATGGTAGTTCTATTTTCAGTTATTTGAGGCATCTCTAACCTCCATAGAGATTGTATTAGTTTATATTAGTTTACATTCCCACTAGGAGTATATAAGTGTTCCCTTTTCTCTGCATTTTCACCAACATCTGTTATTTTTTGACTTTTAAATAATAGCCATTCTGATTGGTATAAAATGGTAGGTATCTCATTGTGGTTTTAATTTGCATCTCTCTGATTATTAGTGATATTGAACATTTTTTTCATATGCTCATTGACTGTTTGTACGTTTTCTTTTGCAAAATGTCTGTTTATGTCCTTTGCCCACTTTTAAATGGACTTTTTTTTTTCTATTGAGTTGTTAGAGTTCCTTGTAGATTATGGATATTAGTCCTTTGTTGGATGAATAGTTTGCAAATATTTTCTCCCATTCCTAGGTTGTTTGTTTACTCTGTTGATTATTTCTTTTGCTGTGAAGAAGCTTTTTAGTTTAATCAAGTCTGATTTGTCTACTTTTGTTTTTATTGCATTTGCTTTTGAGGTCTTAGTCATGAATTCTTTGCCTAAGCCAATGTCCAGAAAGTTTTTTGTAGATTTTCTTCTAGAATTTTCATAGTTTCAGGTCTCCCATTTAAGTCTTTAATCCATTTTTTGTTAATTTTTGTATATGAGGAGAGATATGGGTCAGTTTCATTCTGCATATGGCTATCCAATTTTCCCAGCACAATTTATTGAATAGGGTCTCCTTTCCCCAGCATATGTTTTTTTTCAACTTGTCAAAGATCAGTTGACTTTAAGTAGGTGGCTTTATTTCTGGGTTCTCTATTCTGTTCTTCCATTGATCTATGTGTCTATTTTTATACCAGTATCATGTTGTTTTGGTTACTATGGCCTTGTAGTATAACTGAGAGTTGGGTAATGTGATGCCTGAAGCTTTGTTGTTTCGCTTCAGATTACTTTCACCTCTGTTTGTGAAAGATATTTTTGCCAAGCATAAAATTCTAGGTTGATAGGTTATTTTTTTATTTGTTTTTTTTCTGTCAGTACTTTAAAGATATTGTTCCACTGTCTCCTGGCTTGCAATAGTTTGTATTATTTCAAACAAGAAGTTAGCTGTCACTCTTAATTTTATTTCTCTGTACATAGTGTGTCTTTTTTCCTCCAGCTGCTTCAAGATTTTTTCCTTTATCACTGGTTTTGAGCAATTTGATTATATGTTGTTCTTTGGTAAAGATTTTTTCATGTTTCTTGTGTCTGAGTTATTGAACTTTATGGATCTGTGGGTTTATATTTTCACCAAAATTGGGAAAATTGAAGCCATTGTTTCTTTAAATATAAGTCCCCAGTCCTCCATGGGACTTCAGTTACATGTAAGTCGGGCAGCTGTGTACCACAGCTATGCTCCATAGGTCCCCGATGTTTCATTTATTTTTCTAAACTTTTTTTCTCTTCTGTATACCTTCTAATGCTGTGCTTTCAATTGGAGACTGCAATCTTCTTCTGTAGTCTCCAAGTTTCTGTTAATCCCATCATATATATTTTTTGACTCAGACATTAATTTTTCATGTTCAGGAGCTTAATTTGGATCTTTTTCATACCCTCCGTGTCTCTCCTTAGCATGCCTGCTCTCTCCTCTGCCTACTTGGACATATTAAATATAGTTGTTTCACTCTTGATGGTAAAAATACAAACTATTCTTGATCCTGTATGAGTTCCCAGGATTTTTCTGCTAATCCATCCGCTTGGGAAGTTCTTTCACCAGCCTGGGGTAGTTCCTCACACACATGCACTGATTAGTACTCAGCTGAAGGTTTGAGGGGAACCCGCTGTGGATCTCCAGGGCTCTCCCTGCACAGCTTCCTCCTCTCTAAGCAGTTCCCTCCTCTCTGTGCTTTGTGCTGTGACTTCCAGCCTCTGTGGCCTCACTGATTCTCATCCTATCACCTCACCACAGGGAGACTGCCAGGCTCTGTTTCTTTGGGTTTCTCTTTCCTGCACTGAAGCCCAAAAAGTCTCTCTAGGAACTAAGCTGAAACAATCATGGGGCTTACTTGGTTTGTTTCTCTCCTCTCAGGGACCACTGACCTGTGTTACCTGTTGTCTGATGTTTGAAAGTCTTTGTTTCATATATTTTGTCAGGCTTTGTACATAGTTAAGGGGAGAGAATAAATCTGATCCCTGTTACTCCATCGTGATTGGCAACAGAAGACCCTCTAGAAACTGGCTTTGAAATCAATATGCTACATAACTATTTGTATCAGATATCTATTGCTGTGCAAGAACCTCCCCAAAACTTGTGGTTTAATATTATAACCATTTGGGGTTTTTTTGTTTGTTTGTTTTTTTCACAATCCTATGTGTTGGCAATTTGGGTTGGGCTCAACTGGATAATTCTTCTTTTCCTTATGGTATCAGCTGTGCTAACTCATGCATTTCAAGTCAATTGATAATTTGGCTGTTTGCTGGTCCAGGAAAGCCTCACTCATCTGTCTGGCTGTTGGTGTATGGTTTCTGCTGGGTTGTTCCCTCTTCATGGTCACCTACCCTCTAGTAGGCTAGACTTGTTTTGCGTAATTGCAGAACATATCATTCTCTTTACTTCCTATCTTTGGCTATATGGGTTATACTTTTGTGTGTGTGTGTGTGTGTGTGTGTGTGTGTGTGTGTGTGTGTGATGGAGTTTTGCTCTTGTTGCCCAGGCTGGTGTGCAATGGCGCAATCTCGGCTCACCACAACCTCCGCCTCCCAGGTTCAAGTGATTCTCCTGCCTCAGCCTCCCGAGTAGCTGGGATTACAGGCATGTGTGCCAACACACCCAGCTAATTTCTGTATTTTTGTTTTGTTTTTTAGTAGAGACGGGGTTTCTCTATGTTGGTCAGGCTGGTCTTGAACACCTGACCTCAGATGATCTGCCCACCTTGGCCTCCCAAAGTGCTGGGATTACAGGCATGAGCCACCACGCCTGGCCAGGCCATACTTTCTTTACCTTTATCCTTCCAAGTATTTTAGAAGGCAAATATGTATGTATTGATTATTGTGACAAAGACAGCCACTATTCATCTCCTTCCTGGGCTCAAAAAGTAAGCTACCTTTCCCAGCAACTGGCTCTTCCCCACTTGGCATCCAATGGTGACCTCGTGACTGCCCAATAGAATGTCAGCCCTGGTCATGAAATAGCACAACCTTCCTCATGCAGAAGATTGGTCTTCTGTTGCCAATCACGATGGAGTAACAGGAATCAGATTTATTCTCCCCCCTTAACTATGTACAAAGCCTGACAAAATATATGAAACAAAGACTTTCAAACTTTCTTCCTCCGTATGGCTGGAAGTGAAAGTCTCCCAGATGGTGGAGCCATATGTTAGAAGAAGCAAAGTTCTTGAGAAGAATCATCCAACCAGAAGATCACACTGGACTTAAACCTCTGCTGTGCTAAGCCACTGTGATTTTGCTACCGCCACTTACTCTTTACTCAGGCTTACATTTACCTTCAAATTCAAAAGTGTTCTATCATCAGTTTCTCTATTGTGATAGTGAGAAGCGAATAGCATTACTTCAAGATGAAGAATCTATGGGCTTTCAACATTTTTTTCCTTCCCTTCCCATTTTATAATATAAATTGATTAACATATTATACAGTATAACTTATTAGTGATATGATATTATATAGATTAAATGGTTTTAGATATAAACCTAGGTTATTGCTAATATGTGAATTTTTTTTACCACATAGATTCTTTCTCAGGACTTTGGATCTGGGCATTCAGTTTTGTGCTCAGAACACAAAAACCACAGCTATGCAGGGCTAACTCGGCATTTCACTTATTTCAGTGGTATTTATCATTTGTCTTTTTAGAACATGACTTTCTCTGTATGAGTTCTGAATTCTGCTTTCTTTTTCCAGTAGCTACAGTACATCTTTTTTTTTTTTTTAGACAGAGTCTCACTCTGTTGCCCAGGCTGGAGTACAGTGGCATGATTTCGGCTCACTACAACCTCTGCCTCCTGGGTTCAAGTGTTTCTCCTGCCTCAGGCTCCCAAGTAGCTGGTATTACAAGTGCCCGCCACCATGCTCGGCTAATTTTTGTATTTTTAGTAGAGACGGGGTTTCACCATATTGGCCAGGCTGGTCTCGAACTCCTGACCTTGTGATCCGCCCGCCTTGGCCTCCCAAAGTGCTGGGATTACAGGCATGAGCCACCACACCTGGCCTACAATACATCTTAACTCCGATTTTTCAGAATCAGACATTTTTTTCTTCTGTTGCCTAGATGATTATTTTTATGATTCAGAGTTTTGGTTAGAAAGGGTCTAGATATATATCACTTTTGTTGATTGTTTTTCTTGAAACACTGTGTAGCTTTTCCTTCTGCATAATCTGATGTTTTGTCAGCTAAAGAAAGTTTTCTTAAATCATGCCTTTAATTTTTGCTGCTAAGTTCATTTGTCTGTTTCCTGCTTTAGAGAATCCATGATTCTTTGATTAGATCTCCATTCTGTGCATATCATGCATAGACTACAGTCTCTTGTAACTTTCATATTTTTGCCCTTTTGTCCTGGGAGACTTTTACACCCTAGGAGATTTAGCCAGGTTTGTTGCTCCTATCACTTACTCATTGGGGGCAAATTTTATTTGTCATTTTCTGCCATCATTTGTGTTTTAACTCTTCTGTTGTATTTTGGGTTTCCTTGTGTGACTTTCCTAATTTAGAAATCTCATTCTGCATCTTTAAAATTTTGTCAACCTGTTCTCTCCTTATGGATATTTATTCAAAGACCATGTCTGCAATTTGATTTGGGGATACAGAAGTTTAAAAAAAATTCTCCTGGTCTCACTAAAAGAGAGTTTCAGTCATCTGTTCCTCCTCTGAGACTTGGTGATCTCATTCCACTTCCCTGATTCTATCTACTTTTTCCTTAGGGCTCTGCCTCTGAGCCCATGATGTTTTGGACTCACCTTTGAGTAAGGGGCTATTTGCAAACTTGGTGTTTGTTAACCAATTCTTGCATTCTGGCCCTTTTTGCTGTCAATAGGTGTTACTGCCAGATTTTCAAATACAAATAATAAATGAAATATTTATATGGTTATACAATCTATTCTTGTGATTCACAGTAGTTAGAACAAAGTTACCCTGAACACAGAATTAGTGAAGATGGAACCATTGTTCCTAGAGAAAATACAGAGTTAGGTTCCTGCAAGCCCCTGGTGCACAACATTTTTGTCAACTGATTGATATATAACCTTGCATTATGTGTGTTTCTGTTTAAAGATACCTTATAATTGCTGATTCATTAACACTGAACTCATGGTCAACAGCACTACAACTCATGGATGAATGAAGCTTATCTAACATGTATTTTCTCCATAAGGCACAAAACAGCCTTCTCGTGCTTAGGAACACTAGACAGCATGTCAGTACTATCCCGGAGGGGCATTTTAAACAGAAAAATTACCATCAAAAGGCTGGGCACGGTGGCTCACGCCTGTAATCCCAGCACTTTGGGAGGCCGAGGTGGGTGGATCACCTGAGGTTAGGAGTTTGAGACCAGCCTGGCCAACACAGTGAAACCCTGTCTCTACTAAAAATACAAAGAACAAACAAAAAAACTAGCTGGGTGTGGTGGTGGGCACCTGCAATCCCAGCTACTTGGGAGGCTGAGGCAGAAGAATCACTTGAACCCAGGAGGTGGAGGTTGCAGTGAGCCGAGATCACGCCATTGTAGTCCAGCCTGGGCAACAAGAGTGAAACTCAGTCTCAAAAAAAAAAAAAAAAAAAAACCAAGAAATTACCATCAAAATGCATAAAGCCATAAAAAAATGTGGCATTAAGTAGCCTGTGAACAGGACACTCGTTTACAGTATGAGAGCTGAAACAAGAAGGCAGAGTGTTGGCTTGCTCAGCCTTGGTGGAGAACGTGCATGTTGAGTGACTCAAATTTTTTGCTGTTCTGTGCATGCCCACAAATGGCCTCAAAATGCTGCAAGTATTGATTTGGGGGCTGCATATAAATGTTAGCTAGAGGTAAAACTCATTTTTTTGGAATCTGCAAGTAATGAGGATTGACTATAAATGTTAAAAGATATTCTGGTCTTTCTGCTTCTACTATCTACCACATCAAGTCCCTCTGCCTGGTGAGTGATTTTGATGACGCACAGGTATAATCACATCATTTCCCTACATTTTTACCACCCATTGATGTCTACTTCCTACAGAATGTACACAGCAAATATGTATTCAGTGCTGACCAAGTGTCAAACATAATGTCATAGAGTGGGATCATATGAGATACTGTACCTGAAATGTACTTTTGGATCTGTTGATGTATTGATGTGCATTGATGTCTGCCCTGATGTACAGTCAGAGGTTGAGTGATGGGCTGCACCTGTGAGGAGCTGGATTAAGATGTAATTTCCCCAGTGTCTCTTGTTCTTAAGTTTTAAATCCACAGACAAGAATCTGGTAGAATGGCTTTTTATATAAAACTGTAATATAGGTAGCATACAATACTACCAAAGGGCATTTTTAACTTGTGGATACTACAGCCACCTAGATCCAACCTGCCATCATCACCATGCTTACTCTTATTCCCTGTACTGTGTTGTTTCTGGTGGTTGTAATCTCTGAATGCATGTAGTGTTTGAGGAATAGCACATAGGTTGGAAGGGGCTAATGTGGGAAGAGTGTCTCTAAAGAGGAGAAGAATGGGAGTGAGTTCTTTCCTTACAACATGAGCTGGAGAGAGGAGGGTTGCTCAGCCCTCAGAGGGGACTAGTATTCGGGGTGCTGGGGGGACTAATCAATATACACCAATGTGCCCAGTCTGTGGGAAGATGTTTTAGTGCTGTACCATTGACAAAAGATCATAGAGCTTTGAATAATAGCATATCTCTGGTTACTGGTGTGACTTAAAGATTATAATAACTATTTTGGAGCTATTTTTTAAAATTGGTTCATAATAATTGTAGATATTTATGGGGTACATATGTTATTTTGGTGTGTGCACACAGTGGGTAGTGACCAAATCAGGGTAATTGGGATATTTATTGACTCAAACATTTATCATTTCTTTGTGTTGAGAGCATCCCAAATCTTCTCTTCTAGCTAATTTGAAATATACAATAAGTTGTTGGTAACTATGGTCACTCTACCATGCTACTGAATGCTAGAATTTATTCCTTCCATCTAACTGTGTTTGCATACTCACTCAAACCTCTCTTCATTTCTCCCTCCCTTCTTCCCTTTCCAGCCTTTGGTGTCTATCATTTTACTCTCTACCTCCATGAGATCAACTTTTGTAGCTCTGATATTAGTGCTATTTTGAATGACATGATTCTCTTGAGACTTCTGTAGGAGCCTGGGCCAGTGAGGGAGCCCAAGCAGTGTCAGAGACTGAATCCTCTGCCAGCAATTCAATTAAACTTGATTTAGAAAGTAAGAACAGATTATATTTCTTACATCCTGTGTGATGGTGTAAAATTCATAAGACTTGCTATGAAGTCTTAGGTGTTTTACTTTGCCTTTTTAATTCTCGAATTTTCTCATCTGTAACAGAAGTATAGTAATTCTTACCTTGTAGTGTGTTTTTGGAGCTTAGTGATTGTACGTGTAACGTACCTGGGAGTCAATAGCAGGTCTCAGCACACGATGCTCATACAGTAGGGCTCTCTCCTTCCATCTGCTGAGTTCTGTTTTTTCAAGGTTATCACTAGCTGTCAAGTGTTTTGTTCTGTCCTCTTTTAGGTGATGGTCAGTCAGGTGCAGCCACAAGAGGGAACACAGGAGAGGCACAAGAGAACAAAGTATGTTATATTCCCAAGTTCTAGAGCAGGGGTCACAGCAAATCATCAGGGTCACAGGGGAAGTGCCGGGTTTTGGTCAACTGGCCGAGGAAAGTCAAAGCCAGTATTTTTATTCTGGATTTTGCAGAAACGGAAAGGCAAGGCAGGGGAGGCAGTGTAGAGTTGGCTAGTTTGAATCATTTCGGTGGGCTCTAAACCAAAAAGGTGGTCCCTAGTTGCCCGGAACCTGGCCTGGGGTAATAAGGCAGATAATGTTGCCTCCTCCTCGGATGGAAGAGGAGGTATGGCTCCGGCTGGTTAGTTTGCATATCAAAGGCATGCTCCTAGCTAAGTTCTCTGTTACCTCCAGGAACTGGCTAGCCCCAGGAGAGTCAGTCTGTACTCAGAAAGAGTATTTTAAGATGTCAAAACGTTGTAATACACAGAAAATGAAAAAATATGTACATGATACACATTTATATTTTCCTATGTTCATTTTTGTGAAAGTTTGCAGCCATGCATTTATGCAGGTACATCAATATTTTGATGGGGTTGTATCATCATTTTATACACCAGTCAGTCTAGGGTCCCATGGGTTGGCTGGTTTGCCATCCCATTTACTTCAACCACACCTGGGAATTTATTCCCACTCTGATCCAAGAATGAGCAGGAATCCCCTTTCCTTAGCTGAAATAATTGCCCACTTTAAATACTTTTAGTTTCTGATTTTAAAGATATATATTGATATAGGTATAGGTATATAGTGTAAACTAAAAATAAAATCCCAAGCTCCATACTGACTGAACGGACCCCCTCTTGGCCAAGAGTACCCCAGAGAAACTTTAAAAATTGAATCCCCAGACATGACGGGAAGGGAGGTGGAACACGCCTTGTTACACCCCCTCCCTTTTGGAGTTTAGGCACAACTGACTGGCATTAATGCTAAAATAGAGATCATAACATTAACAACAACAACAAAAAGAACATAACATTAACTGTTTGTGACAATAAGACACCAAATTATAAACAAAACCTAAGGCCATGCCAGACAATGGTTAAGTCACACACCCCTATACGTCACTCTGACCCATGTTAACAGAATTTCTTATCTTAAACATTCCTTTCTGCTGACTCCGAATTTTTACAGAGTATTCTTCCTTTAACCATTTGCAAATTGAAGAATCTCTGCATCTATCTATAACCTGGAAGCCCCTACTTGAAGATATCCCACCTTTTTGGGCTGAATCAGTGTATATCTTCCATGTATTTGAGACAGCCAGGGAGGATGGGGTTCCCAGAGAAACTCCAACTGGCCTGCACACTGGGGCGGAGCCACAGAAGTCTGCACCCTTTGCAGCGGGGTGGAGTTGGCTCCTCCTCTTCCTGTGTGGAACCTGCAATTCAAGCTGCCGGCCGGAAGCTCTCTAGCAGGGACTCTGACCTTGTAGAGGATCCCTGTTTCCCCTGTTTTTTCCCTTTTCACCCAATAAAACCCTGTCTTACTCACCCTTCAAACTGTCTATGAGACTAAGTTTTCATAGCTATGGGACGGACAAGGACCCTGTCTTTAGCTGAACTAAAAAAGTCCTGTAACATTTTTGGCTCCCAGTGTGGGGCTTGAGAAGCAGTGAGTGAAATGGGGACTCAAAAACTCTCACTGTTGCTTCTGAGCCTTTTCATCCTCACACTTCTGAGGATGGAGGAAACCATTTCGCTCCCTCCACCCCGCCCCGTCACTCCCGGGCCTTTTCATGGCCTTTTCTTTCCTTTTTTGGGAGGGACCCGTGAGCAGCAGCTCCCCTCCACCCGCTATTCCCTGCCTGTTCCCTGCTGGGCCTAGGACGCATGGCCCAAGGGTCCGGCACAGCTGGCTGGCTGGTTCCCAGCCACGCACTGCTGCTGCAGTCTTCCCCTTCCCTGGCCAAGGGGTTTAACTCTATTGGACAGTAATTAAGCTTAAGCTTTTTTCCCTGCTGGAGGAACCAGTTGCATAAGAATAAGAGGTTCTTCTCCAGGCATTTAAAAACTGTTTTTTGCTTCCACTTCTCTACCCCGTCAGCAGTTAACTTTTAAAGTTGTTTTTTTTTTTCTTTTGGAAGACTTTTTTTACTAGGCCAGGTCCCCCAACTATCACTGTTTGTACTCTGTAAAGTTTTGCTTGTGAAAAAGGATCTTGTGAAGACTGGGTTTTCTTCTGTCTCTCTGTGTGTGTATTGTGTGTAACGTCTGTAAAAAGAGCTCTACTTAATTTGCCCTAAAGAAAAACAAGTGCTTGGATCAAGTATTTTTTTAAGGAAAGTTAAAAGCTGTGGTACCTTTCAGTTCACGTGACTTTAATCTTTGAGAAATAAAAACAGCCTTAAAGATTATTGGTTAAATGCAGGTCAGATGTGAGACAAGAAGTCTTCTTCAGATCAAAGGTTTTTCTCGATTGAAGCGTTCGTGGTCTCACGGGCTTCAAGGAATGAAGCTGTGGACCGCAGCGGCGAGTGTTACAGCTTGATTAGAGAAACGCACAGACCCAATGAGTGTGCGGTAGCAAGACTTATTAAAGCGAAAATAAAGCTTCCACGTGGTGGAAGGGGACCCGGAAAGGTTGCCGATTTTGGCTTGGGTGTCTTATGCTTATATCCCATTATGACCCCTCCTCTTTTCCTTTTTCTGTCCTATAGAATTAGCTTATGTTCTATCCACTTGTGGGTTGGCAGGCCTGATTGGTTAAAAACATCAGGCTGCAGCTAGAGCTTAAACGCCCTATATGATTGGTTGAAGTTTCAATTCCTTAGCTTGCAGCTGTGACTCATTTTGGCTTAGGGGAAAGTCCCCTTTGATTGGTTGACGTTTCAAGCCCTTAGCTTGCAGCTGTGACTTATTTTGGCTTAGGGGAAAAAATCCCCTTAGGGAAGTCCCTAGGGACCCAGGAAGTCCAGCCAACTTAGCCACTTAGTCCCTCAAGATGCAAGGTTTGCTAAGTGTTTTGAGGTTGCAAACTGACTTCTGGGTTTTGAGAACTATTTGACTTTCTGGCTTCACAACTGGTAAGACCTGGGGACGTAAGGAACTAACCGCGTCCTTAACTAAGAGGGCAAAGCTTAGCTGCAGTTAGCACACAATTAAAGCAACTTACCAAGTTTTACCTTAAAGTTAAAAATAGCTAGGAGTTAATTGAAACTACTAGAAATAGATTTGCATGCAAGGTGTGTAAGAACAGTAAAATGTATTTTTTAGTAAAAGGTTATAAGAAGGCATGGAAATGTAAACTTTTGCCTAAAGTTTTTAAGGATTAAAGGATTAAAGGATTTTTTGAGTTAAATCAGGAAAAAGCTGAAGGTTCAAAGAAGGGGTAGAAGAATTACGGAAATCAATCTTGCAGAAGAGGTTCTGTGTGTGAACGTATTGACTAAATTCAAAAAAGGGTATTATATGGTTTTTTCTGTAAATTGAGCATTGAAATAAAAGCATAACAAGGTTTCCTAAGGCGTTAATCTGCTCTTTGGCAAAATTTTTAAAGGATTATAAAAGATTTTTGATTATTTAAAATTTCGAAGTCATCTTTTTGGCAAAATAAATAACTTATGGTAATCTGGAATTCTATTTCATAATATCAAGTGTTTTAAACATATTTAAAAGGCTGCCCAAAATCGACCTTAAGTTTTAAAATTGTCTTTCCTGACACCTGGCTTTTTGAATACTTCAGAGGGCCCATGAAGTGTCCAGAAAAGAGGTAAAAGGAATTATTTAACATGTTTAGGTACATGGGATTGCCAAAATGATGCTCAATCTTCTTTAGGTTATATTTTGGTGAATAATGCTAATATATGTTCCAAAATTGTATGGGATTATCTAAAATTCTAATGTGCAAGTATATGCTATCCATCGTAATTAGGGTTGTTATGTTAGGTTATTGTAAACCGTGGAAATAACCAAACTTCTTTGTCAATCGTTGTTTCTAACAGTAACTATCCTGGACATTTTGCTATTCACAGACAATTGTTGTCTTGTTTTAATCCTTTTCAAAAATGGTTTATAATGAGCTATAGAACTTTAACAGGTGCTCTCAAATGCAGGCTTCTGATAACTTTAGAGGTTGTATCACTGGAATAAAGGAAAATGTATAGGACTCATAAAGAGCTGAAATGTTCATGAATAGCAAGCAAAACAAGAATTAACTAACTGGACTGAACTCAGGAAGCTGAAGCAAATCTTTTTGACCTTTGCTTGGAATATTTCTGATCCTTGTTTTATTTTTTCAGAGTCAAGGAAACTTATTTTGAACTATTTACAGCCTTTAATAAGTAAGTTATACACTCCTGTGATAAAAATTTGGAGCACGTTTGTTTCTCTCTGCCTGAATCCTCTAGAATTTGGAAACTATTTGTGAATATTCTTATGGCAATATCATTGTTTGCATCAGTGCAATAAGAATCCATTTTTCTTTTGCAACAGAACACAATTGGAGAAAGTCGTTATTTTACCAAGGATTTGACTGGAAGGGTATGCTTCCCTTTAAGGAGTCAATTTTGACTTGCAGAGCCAATAAAAGCCCAGTGAGGAAACTGGTCTCATACCCTTGTCTATGCAGTCCGTGTACAGGGTTCTTGACCTGTGGTCAGTAAAGAATGTCACTTTCTAACAGGTCCAGGAGCTCCAAGTTTATTATGGGACCTTAAGAGGAAAGGATCACCCAACTCACAGGGTTTTGAGGATACAAACCCATGGTTGGGCTCAGTTTTAAAAGGTCTTATCTGAGATTCCTTGTGGAACAAACTTCCATCAAAGCCAATCTAAAAGGCCTAATTAGAAAGAATTATTCTTGCTGCACTTTATGCAAATAATCAGGCCAAGTATAAGACTAAAATTTATTTTGTAAACCATTCAGTCCTATGATGATTTTTTTTTAACAAAAATGAGGACTGGAGAGAGAAATCATGTTTCAAAACTTATACATTTGTCATTAAATTCTTTTTTTATTATACTTTAAGTTCTGGGGTACATGTGCAGAACATGCAGGTTTGTTACATAGGTATACATGTGCCATGGTGATTTTCTGCACCCATCAACCTGTCACCTACATTAGGTATTTCTCCTAATGCTATCCCTCCCCTAGCCCGCACCCCCTGACAGTCCCTGGTGTGTGATATTCCCCTCCCTGTGTCCATGTGTTCTCATTGTTCAGTTCCCACCTATGAGTGAGAACATGCGGTGTTTGGTTTTCTTCCCTTGTGTTAGTTTGCTGAGAATGATGGTTTCCAGCTTCATCCATGTCCCTGCAAAGGACATGAACTTATCCTTTTTTATGGCTGCATAGTATTCCATGGTGTATATGTGCCACATTTTCTTTATCCAGTCTATCGTTGATGGACATTTAGGTTGGTTCCAAGTCTTTGCTATTGTGAATAGTGCCGCAATAAACATACATGTGCATGTATCTTTATAGTAAAATGATTCATAATCCTTGGGGTATTTACCTAGTAATGGGATTGCTGGGTCAACATTTGTCATTAAATTCTAAACTCATTCGTTGTTTTTAAGTTTTTGCCTACATTTTAGACTAACCCTGCTTGCTCCTATGAACCAACCAGCAATCCCTGGCTGCAGCTCAGAAAGAACAAAGGGGATAGGTAATGTAGAAATTCAGATCAATATTCTAGTTCTGAGCAATTATCCTACAAATCCTGCCAGGTAATGGAATAAATAGGATGCCCATCACTCGGAGGTTTCCTTTTGGGAAAGTAAGACCAAGGGAGCTAACAAAAGCCAAGCACCATGCACCCAAATTCTGTCAAGCATAAATATAGCTACCAGTTATCTGGGTGTGTCACAAGACATCCTTTTCTCTCTTGTTGGAGGAGGACTCAGTTCCACAGCTTCACTTTTGCATTCGGCTTATGATAAGAAGTCCATGCAACCCCCGCTGAGACACATTTTTGTCCCAAACTCAATTCCAAGCATCGGGTCAAAGCCCTAGGAAAGAAAACTGGATCTGAGGGATCCAGAGGCAGACAATAACAGAAATTAAAAGGCACAACACAGGTAAGCGTGGCTGATTCCTGCCGATTAAGCCAACCCCAGGCTTCCTGTTTCATGGATAAAGACCACATTAATATCCGTGGCATAAATGAGGTCTAGGGAATCCAAGGCTGCTGGCAGCAGGGGAGATAGGGCATATGTGGATAAGAGCGGATGATTCTCACCCACTAGGCCCCCTGCTTCATGGGTGCAAGCCGCTCTTCCACCCAAGGTGGCACCTGCCAAGGTTGCTGGGACTTGGGGATGCAAAGATGGAAGAGGAAAGAGGATGCTTTTCCCTCTCTCCCTCATGTACCTCTGAAGAAGGAATTTATGAATTTTACAAGTATAATCAAAGACAACCAAAAATGTTTACTTTTTCCTTCCAAAGCTAACTGTAGTGTAGCCCCACCCCGTAGTGTAAGTTAGAGAAAAATACTAACTGCCTGTTTTTCCTTTTGTGCTCAGCGAGCCTTATCTGTACTTGCTAGTTTCACATTCCTTGAGGCTCAGCGAGTTCCTGCTTCACCTCCCTAGCACAGCTGCAAAGTTACAAGGTTGACACAGAAATGGTTTATACAGTTAATGGTTTCCCAAAGATGTGAAACATGTAATATAAATAAATGTAAAAGACTGATCAACTGCCTTTGCTCTCACTTCTGTAAGTACACTTCCTGCATCACATAGTTCCCGGCCACTGGCTGCTTAAAAAGTGGCTGTTTTCTTTGTCCGGGGCTCAGACTTTCCTGGACGCTAGTCCTACTGAGCCAGGTGATCACCTTTTAATAAAGACCTTTCCTGGACTCACTCTGTTCGGTCTCTCCCATCTTTGATTGTCCCACAATACCTTGGGTATCTTCTAGGAAGAGAAGGGAACCAGGGATGCCTGCCCCCCTCTTTCTAGATGGGTAGCCATTCGCCTTCAGTCTGTACCCCTTTTGAATGCATCCTGAACCTCTAGGACTCCTTTTAAAAAAAAAAAACACCTTCTTTTTTTCCTTTCTCCTCCTCTGTCCTCTTCACTGATAGGTAATTGTGTCTTCATACTATGGGACACTCCCCTCAGAAACATCCTCCAAACTGGAAAGAATTAATTTCCCAAACCTTAACCTGGCTGGCTTAGGAATGGGCTCAGGGGAAGGGAACCCAGAAGACTGACATGCTGGCAAAAGCGTAAAGTTTTTTCTTAACCAGTTGGGCTTTTGGCCTTGTGCAAACTGGTAAAAGGCCTTGGAATTTTTGAGCTGTTCTTACCCCTCTCCTTGTTTTGTTTTGATACATGTTTTCTAATAAGCTGGTTTGTCTATTCTTGCCTTCAGGCCATCAAACTACAGTCAGTCATGCAACAGGAGCCTCTGATGACGACCCTTTCTGCTGGGAACCCTTAAATAGGCCTCTGAGGGAGCTCTGACTGCGGCTTCCCCCAAAACAGCGCCCCCTGTCAGCAGGAGGCAGTTAAGATCGCTCTTCTTCCTTATCCTTATTCTAATGGCAGTTAGATGTACCTCTCTAGAGCGGGGAATGAGACAGCCAGGTGGGAGGGGGTCCCCAGAGAAACTCCAGCTGGCCTGCACACTGGGATGGAGCCACAATAGTTCACATCCTTTGCAGCAGGGAGGAGCCAGCTCCTCCTCTTCTGTGTGGAACCTGGAATTCAAGCCGCTGGCGGCAAGCACTCTAGCAGGGACTCTGACTTGTTGAGGATCCCTGTTTCCCCCTTTTTCTCCCCACTTTTCACCGAATAAAACTTTGTCTTACCCACCCTTCAAACCGTCTTTGAGCCTAAATTTTCATGGCCCGGGGACGGACAAGGACCCTGTCTTTAGCTGAACAGACCTGCAAAATATTGATGTCTTTGCCTGTAACTCTTGCCTCCCCGAAAGGTATAATACTCAACTGCAACCCAGCTCCCTCAATATTTTAAATCTTTATTGTAAAAACATCTTATTTTAAGAAATGGGATGTGCAAGGGAAATGGTAATTATGTTCCCAAAGCATCAATAATTTCAAAAAGAGAATGCAGGGGAAGATTGCTTTCCATAGTTTTAGCATAGAAAGTTTAATACTCTATCACAAACAAGGCACCTTCTCCCTGTAGCCCTCTGCAGCTTTCAGAGCACACTGTGATACAATTTCAAAAGGAAGCCACTTTTATAAATTCATACCCACCCTGGTGTGCAACTGAAAAAAGTGAAAAAGTAAAACCCACTTTCTCAGGACCTCTTGAGACTGTGTTCCCCCGCCATGGTCACTCATATTGGCTCAGAATAAACCTCTTTAAAATATTTTACAGAGCTGGTTTTTCTGTTAACAATGCCTATTTTATCAGTTATTTTATTCATTTACCCCTGAAATCTTAAAACAGACTTAAGGAAATTCACAAATACCAATAGATAAGATAAAGCTACGTTAACAATAAGTAAGGAAGGAAATATGGGCAAAAGAAAAATAAAGCAGAGAGCTGGGATGCCAGATGGCTTGAAAGTCAAACATATGTAAATAAAAAGCATTAATAATCATCTTAATTATATTCTATGTTATATTTTATTTCAGATAATGGAGCTATTTTTTTCTTTCGTTGTCCAAGTGGAAGATGTTAAAAAAGAAACCCTCAATGGTAATGCAGTTTATACCAACTTCACACAATCTGTTACACTCATTGATCCGTGGAATAATCATGACACTCAAATGAATTTGTATGCTGGTATTTACTATGGGAATGTAAAAAGAATATTACACTAGGTTTTGACAGATTTGGGCTAACAGGTAAATCTTTATTGTAAAAGATTTTATTTTAAGAAATGGGATGTACAAGGGAAATGGTAATTATGTTCCCAAAGCATCAATAATTTCAAAAAGAGAATGTAGAAGAAGATTGTTTTCCATAGTTTTAACACAGAAAATTTAATACTCTATCAAAAAGAAGGCACCTTCTCCCTGTAGCCTCTGAAGCTTTCAGAGCACACTGTAATACAATTTCAAAAGGAAGCCACTTCTATAAATTCATACCCACCCTGGTGTGCAACTGACAGCTTCAGAGGTAACATTATTGACTGCTTACACAAGAAAATCTTCATGCAATGCAAATTTAAATTTCCAAGCATTTAATATTTTTTCAAGATATTGTAGAACCAAAAATTAGTAAATATTTTTTAAAGTCCAGCACCCTTTTGAGAAAGAATAAATCTTCTTATTTATGGCCTTGCTTTTATCATATAATAGTTGAATCTGTGTAATATTTTCTTAAGTAATAAGCATAATAACAAAATTAATACCTGTGAATCTAGCACTCAAATTGTGAACTCAGATCTTCCTAGTCTCACTGGAGTTACCTGAGTCTTACAACCCCACCACCTGCCGCACCAGAGGTAGCCATAGCACAGAAATCCATAGCTTTTATGTATGCGTAGATCTTTAAACATTATGTTGTTCCCCTTTACTTGTGCTTGAGTCTTAGAAAAAGGCACAATACTTTATTTAGTTCTCTGTAATTTGATTTTATTTATTTACCATTTTAAACTGAATAATTACTTCTAAGATTCATCCATTTTGTTCCATTTAGCTACAATTTATTATACACTAGTGAAATGAGTATTTTGCATACTAAATAAATATTCTACATTAAATAATAATTCATTCTCTCATCAATCAATATCAGGTTTTTTCCAATATTTTGAAATACCAAATAATGCTACTATGAGTATATTTGTATATATGACTTCTGGAACACATATTCATGAAAATATACTTGAGAATGAGATTTCTGGATCACAGGAAACTCAAGTATTTAACTTTTTCAAGTAATGCCAAGTTGACGCTCCCATAGACAGCGTGCATTTTCTTCTTTTGCATTCTGACACTTGGTATTGTTAGAGTTCTTATGTATTTACCCATTTAACAAAATTATGTTCTCGTTTTGAATTTCCATGACTACTAAGCATCCACTAAGCATACTTCCCTATCACTCTATCTATCTATCTATCCATCCATCCAACTATCTACCTATCATCTACCAGTCATTTTTGTTTTGTTTTCTATAGAATGCCTGTTCATGTTTTACTCCTTTTCCCAGTGGATTGTCTTTTATGATTAAATCATAAGAATTTTTATATTTCTGGATATTAGTCTTTGTTGTAAGTTCTCTCAGATGATGGCTTATCTTTTTGTTTTCACTATGGTGTCTTTTGGAGAACAGTAAGTCTTAATTTTAGTTTCTTAACTTTTATGTTGGTGGCTTTTGGGTCTTATTTAAGAAAAAATTTCTTAAAGTCAGAAAGATAGTGTCCTATATTTTCCACCAAGTGTTTAAGTATGACTTTTATATACCTTTTAAGTCACTAATCCATTAAATTTTCTGTATGGTATGAGAGAGAAATTCAATTGCATTTTTTTCCATGTGGATAAGCCAATTACCCCTGCACCATTTATTGACAAATCTATCCTCCTCCCACTGATGGGCAATTGCACCACTGTCACATATCAAGTCTCCTTCTATGTATTTGTTTGTTTCTGGGTTCATTATTTTGTTGCCTTGGTCAGTATGTTTAATTCTGCATTAAAAACATATTTTAAAACTTACCATTTTCAAAAACTTAAAACTGTAGAGACAGAAGGAAGATCAGAGGTTGCTGGGGACAGGAGTGGGGAAAGGGATTGGCCACAAGAAGACACGAGGATATTTGAGGGAGGAGGTCACAGAAATAATTTATAACTTGATTGTGGGGAGGATTATATGGCTGCATACATTTGTCAACACTCAGAGCTGAACAAATTTTACTGTAACTTAGAAACATTTGCAAAACAGTAATTTTATATTTTGTTATTTTTCCTCATAAATGACTTCACTCTTCTTGGGGTTTTGCTTCTCTGTATAAATTTTAAAATCCTATTTTGACAAGTTTCACCAAAAATAAACCTGTGGGAATTTTGATTGAAACTGTGTTGAATATAGATAAATTTTTGGAATGTGGCATCTTATCCATGAAAACAGTATATTTCTCCTGTTAAGACTTTTTAAATGTCATTTAATAATTAAATATTAAAAATATTTTAGAGCCAGGTGTGGTGGCACATGCCTGTAGTCCCACCTATTCGGGAGGCTGAGGCAGGAGGATGGGTTAAGCCCAGGAGTTGGAATCTAGCCTGGCCAACAAAGTGAGACCCATCTCTAAAAAAAAAAAAAAATCTAAATATTAAACATTAAAATATTCTATATACATATGGCTGGATTATTAAACTGTTGTCTCTTGTTTCAAGCCCACCCTTCTATACCCTGCCATGGATACTGGACTAAGTCTCTGCAAACTGTATTTCTGCCAAATGGCTTCCTTTTAGGTTCCATAATGACGGATGCTGGGGAAGAATGGAAGGCAGGAAGGGAGAAGAGCCTTGTGTTCACTCAAGCAATGGATTTTTACCGTGGCAGGCACATTTGGTTCTGGAATAATTGGTTCCAGTTTCCAGCTCTTTTTTTCCATTCTCAGACCCGATTTAATCGACTTAATCATATCACCTTAAAGGTATAATCATTACCTTGGTAATTTCTGTTTCTCAGAAACCTAAGCCCTATTCTCTGGGTCCCCTCTTCAAAGATTGCGAAGCACCAACACATGTCAAGCAGTCCTTTCTGACTGGTGTACAAAAGTGCAGTTGACAGCTGGGAGTGGTGTCCAATGCCTGTAATCCCAGCACTTTGGGAGGCCTAGGCTGGTGGATCCCTTGAGCCCAGGAGTTCAAGATCAGCCTTGTCTACATGGTGAAACCTCATTTCTACAAAAATTGCAAAACTTAGCCTGGCATGGTGGTGTGTGACTGTAGTCCCAGCTACTCAGGATGCTGAGGCAGGAGGATCACCTGAGCCTGGGAGGTCGAGGCTGCAGTGAGCCCTGATCACACCACTGCATTCCAGTCTTGGTGACAAGAACGAGATCCTGTCTCTTAAAAAAATAGCAATTGACTTAAATCTAATAAGCTTACGTCTGGATACCTTGCTATACTCTCACATTTATCATGATTTGCATGCAGATTCTTTGAGATTTTCTATATGGACAATCATATTATATACAAATAATGACAGTTTTGTTTATTCTTTTCTATTCCTTATGCCTTTGTCTCTCTTTCTTCTTTCTTTCCTCTTACTCTGCTGAATAAGATCTCCAGTATAATGAGGGATACAGGATATCTATTATGGCCACAGTACATATCCTAGTTTTATTACTGGCTTTAAAGGGAAGACTTCTAATGTTAAATCATTAATAATATTTATTATTTCCTGTAAGTTTTTTTGTGGACATCATTTAACATGTTAAGGAAATACCAGCTTGGTCAACATGGCAAAAACCCGTCTCTACTAAAGATGCAAAAATTAGCTAGGTGTGGTGGTATGTGCCTATAATCCCAGCTACTCGGGAGGCTAAGGCAGGAGAATTGCCTGAACCCAGGGGGTGGAGGTTGCAGTGAGCCGAGATTGCACAACTGCACTCCAGCCTGGGCAAAACAGCGAGACTGTCTCAAAAAAAAAAAAAAAAAAAAAAAAAAGGAAATAATACACTTATATTCATGATTTGCCAAATTTTTTATCAGGTACAAGTGCTGAATTTTTCAAAAGCTTTTAAAAAATGTATTGAAATGATTACATTTTCTGAAATTTTGTTCTTCTTGAGGAGAACTATATTCATAGATTGCTTTAATGTTTATCCATCTTTGCATTTCTGGGGTTTGTTTATCTCTCTTGGCTGTGTTGTATTATCTATTCTTGTACATGACTAGATCATATTTACTATTATGTTGTTTAGGATTTTTAAATCTCATTTATGGATAATTAATTTTTTCCTTTCTCACAGTACCATTTTCTGATATTGGTATTAAAATAGAAAGTGTTCTCTCTTTTACATTTCCTGAAAAAAGTTTGCATAATATTGGAAAGATCTGTTCTTTGAAAATTTCCTAGAACTTGACTGTAAAACCATCTGAGCTTGATGTTTTTGTGGGAACACTATAGGTTTCTCTAATGGTTAGAGAAGCAGTCAAGCTATTTCACCCTGAGTTAGGTTTTTTATAAGCTATATTATTCTCAAATTTTATTTTTATTTTTTTTATTTTTGAGACAGCATCTTACTCTGTCACCCAGGCTGGAGTGCAGTGGTACTCTGCATTGAGTGAGTGCAGTGGCTCACTGCGGCCTTGACCTTCTGGCCTCAGCCTATCCTCCTGCCTCAGTCTCTCGAGTAGCTGGGACCACGGGCATTCACCACCATGGTTGGCCAATTATTTTTATTTGTAGAGATACGGTCTCCCTGTGTTGCCAAGGCTACTCTTGAACTCCTGGGCTCAAGTGATCTGCCCACCTTGGCCTCCCTAAGTGCTGGGATTACAGGTGCGAGCCACTGTGCCCTGCCTAGGATTTTATTTTGTACACATTTTAAATTGTGTTGGCATTAAGTTGTTCATGGTATTTTCACCTCTTATCTTTCATTCCTAATTTATTTATTTGTGCATCTCTCTCCCTCTCTTCCTTTTTTTTCTCTTTTCTTTATTCATCTTGGCAGAAATTTGTCATTTTATAGGGATGTTCTGAAATTCAGCTTCCACCTCCGTATTTGGCCAAAATATAACAGTAAATTTCTGCTTCAATCAAACTTTTAGAAATCCAAATAGCCAAATGGCTATTTCAATATCGTCTGTACAGCCCTGAATGGTGTGCCATCGGTGATTATTTAATGGCATGGATTAATTACCATAAGAATAATATAGCAAACATTTATAAAGTTTTCATTCTTTTATCACATCTTAGAAGACAGACATAATGAACCTAGGTCATCTTAGATCAGTAGAAGCCCAAAATGTACCAACTTCCAACAAACAAGACCGTTTACATTATTGTATTATCTCACTCCTGAGGCATGGGAGTCTAAAAGAACTGACATTTCAGAAAAATCCCCAGACCTCAGTCCATTTAGCAAGCAAATTTGACTTTCTAAAGCTTCTTGCTTCTACTTCTCTCATAGGTGGTTTGTTTTTACTTTTGGTTTTGGACATAGTAGCCAGATCTTCCTTTTCCCTAATCTGCATGTTAGATGCTTATATTCTGAAGCCTTCCCTCCCTCCCTCCTTCCCTCCTTCCTTCCCTCTCTCTCTCTCTTTCTTATCTTTTCTTTCTTTCTTCTTTCTTTTTTTTATTTTTTTATTTTTATTTTTATTTTTTATTATACTTTAAGTTTTAGGGTACATGTGCACATTGCGCAGGTTAGTTACATATGTATACATGTGCCATGCTGGTGTGCTGCACCCACTAACTCGTCATCTAGCATTAGGTATATCGCCCAATGCTATCCCTCCCCCCTCCCCCTACCCCACAACAGTCCCTAGAGTGTGATATTCCCCTTCCTGTGTCCATGTGATCTCATCGTTCAATTCCCACCTATGAGTGAGAATATGCGGTGTTTGGTTTTTTGTTTTTGCGATAGTTTACTGAGAATGATGATTTCCAATTTCATCCATGTCCCTACAAAGGACATGAACTCATCATTTTTATGGCTGCATAGTATTCCATGGTGTATATGTGCCACATTTTCTTAATCCAGTCTATCATTGTTGGGCATTTGGGTTGGTTCCAAGTCTTTGCTATTGTGAATAATGCCACAATAAACATACGTGTGCATGTGTCTTTATAGCAGCATGATTCATAGTCCTTTGGGTATATACCCAGTAATGGGATGGCTGGGTCAAATGGTATTTCCAGTTCTAGATCCCTGAGGAATCGCCACACTGACTTCCACAATGGTTGAACTAGTTTACAGTCCCACCAACAGTGTAAAAGTGTTCCTATTTCTCCACATCCTCTCCAGCACCTGTTGTTTCCTGACTTTTTAATGATTGCCATTCTAACTGGTGTGAGATGGTATCTCATTGTGGTTTTGATTTGCATTTCTCTGATGGCCAGTGATGATGAGCATTTTTTCATGTGTTTTTTGGCTGCATAAATGTCTTCTTTTGAGAAGTGTCTGTTCATGTCCTTCGCCCACTTTTTGATGGGGTTGTTTGTTTTTTTCTTATAAATTTGTTTGAGTTCATTGTAGATTCTGGATATTAGCCCTTTGTCAGATGAGTAGGTTGCGAAAATTTTCTCCCATTTTGTAGGTTGCCTGTTCACTCTGATGGTAGTTTGTTTTGCTGTGCAGAAGCTCTTTAGTTTAATTAGATCCCATTTGTCAATTTTGGCTTTTGTTGCCATTGCTTTTGGTGTTTTAGACATGAAGTCCTTGCCCATGCCTATGTCCTGAATGGTAATGCCTAGGTTTTCTTCTAGGGTTTTTATGGTTTTAGGTCTAACGTTTAAGTCTTTAATCCATCTTGAATTGATTTTTGTATAAGGTGTAAGGAAGGGATCCAGTTTCAGCTTTCTACATATGGCTAGCCAGTTTTCCCAGCACCATTTATTCAATAGGGAATCCTTTCCCCATTGCTTGTTTTTCTCAGGTTTGTCAAAGATCAGATAGTTGTAGATATGCGGCGTTATTTCTGAGGGCTCTGTTCTGTTCCATTGATCTATATCTCTGTTTTGGTACCAGTACCATGCTGTTTTGGTTACTGTAGCCTTGTAGTATAGTTTGAAGTCAGGTAGTGTGATGCCTCCAGCTTTGTTCTTTTGGCTTAGGATTGACTTGGTGATGAGGGCGTTCCATATGAACTTTAAAGTAGTTTTTTCCAATTCTGTGAAGAAAGTCATTGGTAGCTTGATGGGGATGGCATTGAATCTGTAAATTACCTTGGGCAGTATGGCCATTTTCACGATATTGATTCTTCCTACCCATGAGCATGGAATGTTCTTCCATTTGTTTGTATCCTCTTTTATTTCCTTGAGCAGTGGTTTGTAGTTCTCCTTGAAGAGGTCCTTCACATCCCTTGTAAGTTGGATTCCTAGGTATTTTATTCTCTTTGAAGCAATTGTGAATGGGAGTTCACTCATGATTTGGCTCTCTGTTTGTCTGTTGTTGGTGTATAAGAATGCTTGTGATTTTTGTACATTGATTTTGTATCCTGAGACTTTGCTGAAGTTGCTTATCAGCTTAAGGAGATTTTGGGCTGAGACGATGGGGTTTTCTAGATATACAATCATGTCGTCTGCAAACAGGGACAATTTAACTTCCTCTTTTCCTAATTGAATACCCTTTATTTCCTTCTCCTGCCTAATTGCCCTGGCCAGAACTTCCAACACTATGTTGAATAGGAGTGGTGAGAGAGGGCATCCCTGTCTTGTGCCAGTTTTCAAAGGGAATGCTTCCACTTTTTGCCCATTCAGTATGATATTGGCTGTGGGTTTGTCATAGATAGCACTTATTATTTTGAAATACGTCCCATCAATACCTAATTTATTGAGAGTTTTTAGCATGAAGGGTTGTTGAATTTTGTCAAAGGCTTTTTCTGCATCTATTGAGATAATCATGTGGTTTTTGTCTTTGGGTCTGTTTATATGCTGGATTACATTTATTGATTTGTGTATATTGAACCAGCCTTGCATCCCAGGGATGAAGCCCACTTGATCATGGTGGATAAGCTTTTTGATGTGCTGCTGGATTCGTTTTGCCAGTATTTTATTGAGGATTTTTGCATCAATGTTCATCAAGGATATTGGTCTAAAATTCTCTTTTTTTGTTGTGTCTCTGCCTGGCTTTGGTATCAGAATGATGCTGGCCTCATAAAAAGAGTTAGGGAGGATTCCCTCTTTTTCTATTGATTGGAATAATTTCAGAAGGAATGGTACCAGTTCCTCCTTGTACCTCTGGTAGAATTTGGCTGTGAATCCATCTGGTCCTGGACTCTTTTTGGTTGGTAAGCTATTGATTATTGCCACAATTTCAGGTCCTGTTATTGGTCTATTCAGAGATTCAACTTCTTCCTGGTTTAATCTTGGGAGAGTGTATGTGTCCAGGAATTTATCCATTTCTTCTAGATTTTCTAATTTATTTGTGTAGAGGTGTTTATAGTATTCTCTGATGGTATTTTGTATTTCTGTGGGATCGGTGGTGATATCCCCTTTATCATTTTTTATTGCGTCTATTTGATTCTTCTCTCTTTTTTTCTTTATTAGTCTTGCTAGCGGTCTATCAATTTTGTTGATCCTTTCAAAAAACCAGCTCCTGGATTCATTAATTTTTTGAAGGATTTTTTGTGTCTCTATTTCCTTCAGTTCTGCTCTGATTTTAGTTATTTCTTGCCTTCTGCTAGCTTTTGAATGTGTTTGCTCTTGCTTTTCTAGTTCTTTTAATTGTGATGTTAGGGTGTCAATTTTGGATCTTTCCTGCTTTCTCTTGTGGGCATTTAGTGCTATAAATTTCCCTCTACACACTGCTTTGAATGTGTCCCAGAGATTCTGGTATGTTGTGTCTTTGTTCTCGTTGGTTTCAAAGAACATCTTTATTTCTGCCTTCATTTCGTTATGCGCCCAGTAATCATTCAGGAGCTGGTTGTTCAGTTTCCATGTAGTTGAGCGGTTTTGAGTGAGATTCTTAATCCTGAGTTCTAGTTTGATTGCACTGTGGTCTGAGAGACAGTTTGTTATAATTTCTGTTCTTTTACATTTGCTGAGGAGAGCTTTACTTCCAACTATGTGGTCAGTTTTGGAATAGGTGTGGTGTGGTGCTGAAAAAAATGTATATTCTGTTGATTTGGGGTGGAGAGTTCTGTAGATGTCTATTAGGTCTGCTTGGTGCAGAGCTGAGTTCAATTCCTGGGTATCCTTGTTGACTTTCTGTCTCATTGATCTGTCTAATGTTGACAGTGGGGTGTTAAAGTCTCCCATTATTAATGTGTGGGAGTCGAAGTCTCTTTGTAGGTCACTCAGGACTTGCTTTATGAATCTTGGTGCTCCTGTATTGGGTGCATATATATTTAGGATAGATAGCTCTTCTTGTTGAATTGATCCCTTTACCATTATGTAATGGCCTTCTTTGTCTCTTTTGATCTTTGTTGGTTGAAAGTCTGTTTTATCAGAGACTAGGATTGCAACCCCTGCCTTTTTTTGTTTTCCATTTGCTTGGTAGATCTTCCTCCATTCTTTTATTTTGAGCCTATGTGTGTCTCTGCACGTGAGATGGGTTTCCTGAATACAGCACACTGATGGGTCTTGACTCTTTATCCAATTTGCCAGTCTGTGTCTTTTAATTGGAGCATTTAGTCCCTTGACATTTAAAGTTAATATTGTTATGTGTGAATTTGATCCTGTCATTATGATGTTAGCTGGTTATTTTGCTCGTTAGTTGATGCAGTTTCTTCCTAGTCTGGATGGTCTTTACATTTTATCACGATTTTGCAGCGGCTGGTACTGGTTGTTCCTTTCCATGTTTAGTGCTTCCTTCAGGAGCTCTTTTAGGGCAGGCCTGGTGGTGACAAAATCTCTCAGCATTTGCTTGTCTGTAAAGTATTTTATTTCTCCTTCACTTATGAAGCTTAGTTTGGCTGGATATGAAATTCTGGGTTGAAAATTCTTTTCTTTAAGAATGTTGAATATTGGCCCCCACTCTCTTCTGGCTTGTAGGGTTTCTGCCGAGAGATCCGCTGTTAGTCTGATGGGCTTCCCTTTGTGGGTAACCCGACCTTTCTCTCTGGCTGCCCTTAACATTTTTTCCTTCATTTCAACTTTGGTGAATCTGACAATTATGTGTCTTGGAGTTGCTCTTCTCGAGGAGTATCTTTGTGTTGTTCTCTGTATTTCCTGAATCTGAACATTGGCCTGCCTTGCTAGATTGGGGAAGTTCTCCTGGATAATATCCTGCAGAGTGTTTTCCAACTTGGTTCCATTCTCCCCATCACTTTCAGGTACACCAGTCAGACGTAGATTTGGTCTTTTCACATAGTCCCATATTTCTTGGAGGCTTTGCTCATTTCTTTTTATTCTTTTTTCTCTAAACTTCCCTTCTCACTTCATTTCATTCATTTCATCTTCCATCGCTGATACCCTTTCTTCCAGTTGATCGCATCAGCTCCTGAGGCTTCTGCATTCTTCACGTAGTTCTCGAGCCTTGGTTTTCAGCTCCATCAGCTCCTTTAAGCACTTCTCTGTATTGGTTATTCTAGTTATACATTCTTCTAAATTTTTTTCAAAGTTTTCAACTTCTTTGCCTTTGGTTTGAATGTCCTCCTGTAGCTCAGAGTAATTTGATCGTCTGAAGCCTTCTTCTCTCAGCTCGTCAAAGTCATTCTCCATCCAGCTTTATTCCATTGCTGGTGAGGAACTGCGTTTCTTTGGAGGAGGAGAGGCGCTCTGCTTTTTAGAGTTTCCAGTTTTTCTGTTCTGTTTTTTCCCCATCTTTGTGGTTTTAATCTACTTTTGGTCTTTGATGATGGTGATGTACAGATGGGTTTTTGGTGTGGATGTCCTTTCTGTTTGTTAGTTTTCCTTCTAACAGACAGGACCCTCAGCTGCAGGTCTGTTGGAATACCCTGCCGTGTGAGGTGTCAGTGTGCCCCTGCTGGGTGGTGCCTCCCAGTTAGGCTGTTCGGGGGTCAGGGGTCAGGGACCCACTTGAGGAGGCAGTCTGCCCGTTCTCAGATCTCCAGCTGCATGCTGGGAGAACCACTGCTCTCTTCAAAGCTGTCAGACAGGGACATTTAAGTCTACAGAGGTTACTGCTGTCTTTTTGTTTGTCTGTGCCCTGCCCCCAGAGGTGGAGCCTACAGAGGCAGGCAGGCCTCCTTGAGCTGTGGTGGGCTCCACCCAGTTCGAGCTTCCCGGCTGCTTTGTTTACCTAAGCAAGCCTGGGCAATGGCGGGCGCCCCTCCCCCAGCCTCGCTGCCGCCTTGCAGTTTGATCTCAGACTGCTGTGCTAGCAATCAGCAAGTCTCCGTGGGCGTAGGACCCTCCGAGCCAGGTGCAGGATTTAATCTCGTGGTGCGCCGTTTTTTTAAGCCGGTCGGAAAAGCGCAATATTCGGGTGGGAGTGACCCGATTTTCCAGGTGCGTCCGTCACCCCTTTCTTTGACTTGGAAAGGGAACTCCCTGACCCCTTGTGCTTCCCAAGTGAGGCAATGCCTTGCCCTGCTTCGGCTCGCGCACGGTGCGGGCACCCACTGACCTGCGCCCACTGTCTGGCACTCCCTAGTGAGGTGAACCCGGTACCTCAGATAGAAATGCAGAAATCACCCGTCTTCTGCGTCGCTCACGCTGGGAGCTGTAGACCGGAGCTGTTCCTATTCGGCCATCTTGGCTCCTCCGGGTAAATCATTTTATTGTTATAAAAATATATAAGGTAGTTGTCATTATTATTCCAATTTTTAGATTAGTAAACAGAGGCACAAAAAAAGTAAAATAACTGACTCAAAGGTGATATGGTGAATAAGTAGTGGAGTTGGCACTTGAACCCAGGCAGCCTTCTTCTGGAGTCCTTGTTCTTAACAGTGTTCCTTGATTTTTGTCACCTGGTACCTCTGACCCAGGCACTTGTGGCACCTGAGGCCAATGTGCTCAAAAAGGGTTGAGAATTGCTTGCAGTGATCACATGTTCATAAACCATATTCTTGGGCAAACGTGTGTATACTCTCAGTCAGAAATGGATTTTCACTGTTTCCAGGAGTCTGTGTTGGAGAAAGGGAAGGGCGGGTTACTCTGCTGTATGTTCAGTACATCTGTAAATGGCCCATCTGCAGATGAGCTCAAGGTGAATGGGGGTTTCAGAGGACCATTTGCATCAAAGAATGTAAGACAGAAGTGAAACTCTACTGAGAGCTCAACTCTTGAAATCTCCCTGTAGAACAGACTAAGGAGTGGTAAGGAATGCCCACACACTGAGTCCCAAAAGAACCCCACGTGTCACTAAAATGCTGGCTACTCCAATGGAGCCAATAACCTTCCAGGGTTCTTCAGGGGCACAGCAGTCTGCATAGGAGCCTGAAGGTCAACATGGGTGGGCTGCCAAGTTTCCTTCCCACAGCCAGCTATAAGGTAGGCGGATTAACCATGAGACGAGGTCTATGACTTCATGAGGTGCTAGAAGGGGTTGGATGTCTTGTAATTCTTATCTGAAATGTTTTGGGAGGGGCAGAGGGAGGAGACAGATGAGATGTCGGGAAAGTGTAAGGATAACACCCAGTTGTTAAGGTTCTAGTCTTTTAGGAACTCTGGGACCATTCATATACAGACCTTCTTGAGAAACAACTTTTTCCTAGTCTCACATGTCCCCTCCCTTTAAATATGGAGAGAAATAGCTGGGATAGCTGGTCTGGCCTAAACAGACTCCTATCTACAAGAATGTGGAGATGTGTGCACACACACATGCACACGCACACACTTACTGCTTTCCTTACTTTTAGCCAGGGAGGAGTCACTGAGGGCACTCCATTGACACTCCTTCCTTCTATTAAACACCTAAGTCTTAGGCCAGGTGTGGTGGCTCACACCTGTAAGCCCAGCACTTTGGGAGGCTGAGGCGGGTGGATAACCTGAGGTCAGGAGTTTGAGACCAGCCTGGCCAACAATGGTGAAACCTCATCTCTACTAAAAATACAAAAATTAGCCGGGCGTGGTGGCATGTGCCTATAATCCCAGCTATTTGGGTGGCTGAGGCAGGAGAATTGCTTGAACCCAAGAGGTGGAGGTTGCAGGGAGCCAAGATCGAGCCACTGCACTCCAGCCTGGGCAACAAGAGCGAGACTCTGTCTCAAAACAAAACACAAAAACAAAAAAGTAAGTCTTCGGGTTGAGATTTTTATATAAGTAGGACAGGTGAGGTAGCATGGCTCATGCCTGTTACCACAGAGCTTTGGGAAGTCGAAGTGGGAGGATCACTTGAGGCAGGAATTCAGGACCATCCTGCACAACATAATGAGACCCCCATCTGTACCAAAAAAAAAAAATTTATCTGGATGAAGTTTGTGTGTGCTTGTAGTTCCAGCTACTCGGGAGGCCAAGGTGGTAGGATTGCTTGAGCTCAGTAGGTCAAGGCTGCAGTGAGCCAAGATTGCACCATGCACTCCAGCCTGGGTGACAGAGTGAGGCCCTGTGCCAAGACAACAACAAAAAAGACAAATAGAAAGCAGGGAAAAGTGGTATTGCAGAAGCCAAGGAAATATAGAACTTTATAATTTATAAGAGGCTGTCCGAAATTCAATGTAGCCAAGTTTCTGCTGGATGGGACCTGAAAACGAGGTGCTGATTTTGGGGGAGAACATTGCTGGTAACTTCTGACCCAGGGATACTAACAGCAAAACCAAATGGTAATGGATTGAAGAGCAAAACCAATGGATCTACTGAATGTAGATTTTGTTTAGTTCGGTCAAAACCTTGAGTAAGATTTTAATAGGAAACCAATAAGAAAGAATGGAATTCCGGCACATGAACAAAGACAGGCATAAAGGCATAGGAAGGGCTTTTTCATCTTTTCATTTTTTAAAGTGAAGTTTTATGTCATGTACTCAATGTGAATGTAATATTCTTTCTCTTTTGAAAATAATTGTTTTTTAAACTTTGTCTTTAATTGTGGAATGAAGGGTAATAGTACAGGAAAAGAATTAGAGCCCCTGAAGTTAATCCTTCATTGCCAGTCACTTATTTGGCTAACCCTGACCTTAGGGGGCACAGTTATGAATTATTTTAGCATGGCATAGAGAAACAACATTTTGCAGTAAAGAAATGCTTGAATCATTAACATTTAATATAAATAAGTGCACATTCTACATAGTCCTTTTTGCTTTCGAGAGCATTTGGGGTTAGGCTGCACTCGTGAGCTATAGTCCATCTTTGTCCAAATAGCAATAAAGAGGATAAAAAAGAAAAATGGGATGAAGCATTAACTCCCTTCCCCTGGCCACCTGTTCTAAACCCTTCTGGAAGCAGCAAAGGACAGAAGGAGTTATCAAAGTATCAGGCTTTGTAAATTGCTAGCAAAGACAGTTCACAACATCATCTCACCAGAAGAGCTCCAGCATCTTCCCATCCTAGGTTTTCTGCAGTGAAGCAGCAACCACCAGGGGAAGCATCTGGAGCATGGCTGTGGGGTACACAGCAGGTCTGCGTTTTTCAAGGCTTGCTCCACTGTTTTTATTTATTTATTTATTTTAAACAGGGTCTCACTCTGTCACCCAGGCTGGAGTGCAGTGGCATGTTCTGGGCTCACTGCAACCTCCACCTCCCAGGATCAAGTGATTCTCATGCCTCAGCCTCCTGAGTAGCTGGGAACACAGGCTTGCACCACCATGCTCAGCTAATGTTTGTATTTTTATTAGGTTGGTGCAAAAGCAATTGCATTTTTTTGCCATTACTTTAATGGCAAAAAAAACGCAATTGCTTTTGCACCAACCTAATAGTGGAGACAGGGTTTTGCCATGCTGGCCAGGCTGGTCTTGAACTCCTGGCCTCAAGCGATCTGCCCACCCCGGCCTCCCAAAGTGCTGGGATTACAGGCATGAGCCACCGCGCCCAGCCCATTGTTTTTATTTATAACCCTAAGACTATCCCTCAAACCCTTCCCAAGCTCTGCCACTATCCTATTTAGAATCTCTTTATTTCTGTGTGGCTTTCTTAATGAGGCTAGAATCTGTAACGAAGACATTTGTGAGGGAAACAGGCAGAGCTTAAATATTATGGAGACTTTCCATCATTTGAATGCATTCTAGCCATATCTTTAATTACTTGTAAATATAATTGGGAGTTATTTTTTTCCCCTGATTCTGTCAGTCAGCCATATAGCTCCTATTTATCTTGTTAACCAAGATGCTTAAAACTTTTCGGGTATGGCTGGGCGCGGTGGCTCATGCCTGTAATCCCAGCACTTTGGGAGGCCAAGGTGGGTGGATCACCTGAGTTCAGGAGTTCGTGACCAGCCTGGCAAACATGGTGAAACCCTGTCTCTACTGAAAATACAAAAATTAGCCGGGTGTGGTGGCATGCGCCTGTAGTCCCAGCTACTTGGGAGGCTGAGGCAGGAGAATCACTTGAACCCGGGAGGTGGAGGTTGCAGTGAGCCGAGATTGCGCCATTGCACTCCAGCCTGGTGACAGAGCAAGACTCTATCTCAAACAACAATAACAAAAAGAAAACCAACCAACCAAAAACAAAAAAAGCGTTTTGAGTATGTATGGCATAGACCTTCTTCCTGTTTTTAAAGCTTCTTAATACATACAGGTGTAGCTTTCATGAGTATATATACATTTCGCTACAAATGACTATTGGTTTTATTCTAACACAATAGATTGCCTTTTAAAAGACGCCTACCTTTTCATTTCCTTACAGTCTTTCCTCATTTTTCAGACCCAGAATCTCCACAAAATGCCTTACTCTACTATTCAGTGGGAAAGTAGTAATGTTTAACCCTTATGAAACATCTCTCGGTCAGGTTTCAGTCCCAGTGATACCAGAACCAGGGAGCGAAGGTGGTTACAACTGAGTGATGTAATTCCCTAGAGACATGGGTTTCCTTTGTCTCAAGCCTGGCAGCCTAATTAATATGCTGAAAACACCTTAACTCTAACTGGGCTTGAGACATTTGCAGAAGATGACTTTCAGCTGCCTGCAGGAGCGGCCAAAGGAGCCTGGGCCTTGCTTTTTACCAATCTTAACATCATCTCTCAGTCTGCAGACCAGCTTTCCATTTTACCACATTGTTGACATCCTCCTTCAAGAGCTTCACTTCACAAAAAAATGTGGTGCTCTCTTTTGTCTTCTTAGTCTCATGAAGCATTGGGATAAAAGCCTGAAAGCTTTGCATCTAAAGAGTTAAAATAATTTGCATGGCAGAATCTCAAATCTCGCTGCTTCTCCCTGCCAAAGAGGGAGAAAAAAAGAAAGCAATAAGGAGGAAGGGAAAGCGGGAACATCACTATTAGAAAATCAATCAGTTCCTGGAAAATAATCCTCTTAAATCCTTTCCTAAAGGTGGGGAGAGCCCTCTTATCAGGGTTTTCAGTGAAATCTATAGCAAGGTCTGGCAACTCTGTCATGGTTGATAGTCTGCATTTAGTCCTATTTATCTGGATTTCAGGATCATCCTATGGAAATGATCCACGAGTACAATTATAGGAGTACTTAGTAATTTTATCCTTTTACTCATTAATATTAATTAGTGCTTGGAGGGGAAAGAGGACAGGGAACAGCTTCTCATATCCAAACTAATTAACTTCGTCTAGCTTGTATGAAAGTGAGAAAGCACTTTATTAAAAACCATAAGGTAAGCTCTCAAGGGACTTTTATTTTCTGCTTAGGCTAAACTATGATAACATTTGGCTCTTAGTGAGCTCCCTAAAATTGCCAGAAAGAATAAAAAAAATTGTGGCCAGGAGATTAAAGACTCCTGCATGGTTTCCAAGACACCCACTGTATTGGTGGTAACGTACGTTTGATGTTTTTATGCTATTCTGGAAAATGAAGGGTAGTTTCCAAGCCACCTATTTAGGACATAATAATGCTAGAAATGAAAAGGAAGATTAAGGCAATGGTAGTCATTGTTACTTCTTTTTAGTAATATATGTTGATACGTCATCTATTGACACTGAAGCGGTGAGTTAAAATCCTTTTTAATCTAATGCCTAAAAAATGTATTCGTCTCCCAGTTAGAATTGGGAACATTTTAAATTATTTATTTATTTTTTGAGACTGAGTCTCACTCTGTCACCCAGGCTGGAGTGCAGTGGTACAATCTCAGCTCACTGCAACTTCTGCCTCCCAGGTTCAAGCGATTCTCCTGCCTCAGCCTCCCTAGTAGCTGGGATTACAGTTGCGGGCTACCATGCCCGGCTAATTTTGTATTTTTAGTAGAGACGGAGTTTCACCATGTTGGCCAGGCTGGTCTCAAACTCCTGACCTCAGGTGATCCACCCACCTCGTCCTCCCAAAGTGCTGAGATTACAGGCATGAGCCACCACACCTGGCTGGAACATTTTTTTAAACCAAAGATTTCATTAGACATATATTCCCCCTGCTGAATCCCACATTCTTTGACTTTTTTCCAGTTTTTCTTTTTTTTTTTTTTTTGAGACAGGGCCTCATCTGTCACCCAGGCTGAAGTGCAGTGGTGCAATCATGGGCTCACTGCAGCCTCGACTTCCCAGGCTCCAGTGATTCTCCCACCTCAGCCTCCCAAGTATCTGGGACCACAGGCATGCACCACCATTAGCCTGGCTAATTTTTTTTTTTTTTTTTTTAAGATGGAGTTTCCCTCTTGTTGCCTAGGCTGGAATGCAATGGTGCGATCTTGGCTCACTGCAACCTCTGCCTCCTGAGTTCAAGTGATGCTCCTGCCTCAGCCTCCTGAGTAGCTGGGATTACAGGCATGTGCCATCATGCCTGGCTAATTTTTTGTATTTTTAGTAGAGATGGGGTTTCACCATGTTGGCCAGGCTGGTTGCAAACTCCTGACCTCAGGTGGTCCACCCACCTTGGCCTCCCAAAGTGCTGGGATTACAGGTGTGAGCCACCACACCTGGCCATGCCTGGCTAATTTTTGCATTTTGGGTAGAGATGGGGTTTCACCATGTATCCCAGGCTGGTCTCGAACTCCTGAGCTCAAGTGATACACCTGTCTTGGCCTTCCAAAGTGCTGGCATTACAGGCATGAACCACTGTGTCTGCCCAATTTTTAATTTTTGTGCGTACATAGTAGGTGTATATATTTATGGGGTATGTGTTAGGCCATTCTTGCATTGCTATAAAGGAATACCTGAGACTGGCTAATTTATAAAGAAAAAATATTCAATTGGCTCATGCTTCTGCAGGCTAACAGGAAGCATAGCACCAACATCTGCTTCTGGTAGGGCCTTAGGTAGCTTACAATCATGGTGGAAGGCCAAGGGGAAACAAGTATTTCACATGGCAGGAGTGGGAACGAGAGAGAGTTGTGGAGATAGGACACACTTTAAACAACCAAATCTCCCGAGAACTCACTCACTCAGTACTTTGAGGACAGCACCAAGCCATCAGGGATCCACCCTCATGACCCAGACACATCCCACCAGGGACCACCTCCAACACTGGGGATTATATTCCAACATGAGATTTGGGCAGGGACATATATCCAAACTATATCGGGGTACATGAGATATTTTGATACAGGTGTACAATGCATAATAATCACATCAGGGTAAATGGGGTATTTATCTACCTCAAGCATTTATCCTTTCTTTGTATTACAAACAATGCAATTATACTCTTTCAGTTATTTTTAAATGTATAATAAATTATTGTAGACTATAGTCACTCTGTTGTACTATCAAATACTATATCTTATTCATCTATTTATATTTTTGTGCCCATTAACCATCCTCCCTTCACCCCACTACACTCTCCAGCCTTTGATAACCATCATTCTACTCTCTATCTCCATGAGTTCAATTGTTTTAATTTTTAGCTCCTACAAATGAGTAAGGACATATGAAGTTTGTCTTTCTGTACCTGGCTTATTTTACTTAACATAATGACCTTCAGTTCCATCCACGTTATTGCAAATGACAAGTTCTCATTGTTTTCTATGGCTGAATAGTGCTCCATTGTGTGTATGTAACACATTTTCGTTATCCACTCATCTGTTGATGGACACTTAGGTTGCTTCCAAATCTTGGATATTGTGAATAGTGCTGCAATAAACATGAAAGTGCAAGTATCTCTTTGATATACTGATCTCCTTTCTTTTGGGTATATACCTAGCAATGGGATTGCTGGATAGCTGGTAGCTCTATTTTTAGGTTTTTGAGGAACCTCCAAACTGGTCTCCTAGGGTTGTACTAATTTACATTCCCACCAACAGTGTATGAGGGTTCCCTTTTCTCCATATCCTCAGCAGTGTTTGTTATTGCCTGTCTTTTGGATAAAGACCATTTTAACTGGGATGTGATAATATCTCATTGTAGTTTTTATTTGTATTTCTCTGATGATCAGTGATGTTATGCACCTTTTCATATGTCTGTTTGCTATTTGTATGTCTTCTTTTGAGAAATGTCTATTCAGATCTTTTGCCCATTTTTAAATCAGATTATTAGATTTTTTCCTATGGAGTTGTTTGAGCTCCTTATATATTCTGTTCATTAATCCCTTGTCAGATGAATAGTTTGCAAATATTTTCTTCCATTCTGTGGGTTGTCTCTTCACTTTGCTCATTGTTTACTTTGCTGTGCAGAAGGTGTTTAATTTGATGTAATCCTATTTATCCATTTTTCCTTTGGTTTCCCGTGCTTATGGGGTATTATTCAAGAAATCTTTGCCCTATCCAATGTCCTGGAGAGTTTCCCTGATGTTTTCATAGTTTGAATTTAGTAGTTTCATAGTTTGTAGTCCTAGATTTAAGTCTTTAATCCATTTTGATTTGATCTTTGTATATGGTGAGAGACAGACGTCTAGTTTCATTCTCTTGCCTGTGGATGTCTAATTTTCCCAGCACCATTTATTGAAGAAAGAGTCCTTTCCCTATTGTATGCCCTTGGCGCCTTTGTTGAAAATGAATTCACTGTAGATGTATGGATTTATTTTGGTGTTCTCTTTTCTGTTCTGTTGGTCTATGTGTCTGTTTTTATGCCAGTACCAGGCTGTTTTGCTTATGATAGCTCTGTAGTATAATTTGAAGTCAGGCAATGTGATTCCTCCCGTTTTTTTTTTTTTTTTTTTTCCTCAATATAGCTTTGATTATTCTGGGTCTTTTGTGTCTCCATATAAATTTTAGGATTGTTTTTTATATTTCTGTGAAGAATGTCATTTTTTTGATAGGGGTTGCATTGAATCTATAGATTGCTTTGGACATTTTAACAATCTTTCAAACCATGAAAATGGAATACCTTTCAAATTTTTTGTGTGTCCTTTTTAATTTCTTTCATCAATGTTTTATAGTTTTCATTGTAGAGCTCTTTCACTTCTTTGGTTAATTTCTAGGTATTTAATTTTATTTGTAGCAATTGTAAATGGAATTACTTTTTAAGTTTCTTTTTCAGATTGTTTGCTGTTGACATACAGAAATGCTACAGATTTTTCTTTGTTAATTGTGTATCCTGCAAATTTACTTAATTTATCAGTTCTAATAGTTTTTTGGTGGATCCTTTAGGTTTTTCCAAATATAAGATCATATCATCAGCAAACAAGGATAATTTGACTTTTTCCTTTCCAAGTGAGATAAATGCCCTTTATCTCTTTCTCCTGTCTGATTGCTCTAGCTAGGACTTTCAGTACCATGTTAAATAACAGTGATGAAAGTGGGCATCCTTGTAATGGTCCAGACCTTAGAGGAAAGACTTGTTTTTCCCCACTCAGTATGATACTAACTGTGGGTCTGTTGCAAATGGCTTTTTTTATGTTGAGGTATACTCCTTCTATAACCAGTTTTTTGAGGGCTTTTATCATGAAGCGTTACTGAATTTTAATCAAACACTTCTTTGCGTCAATTGAAATGATCATATGTTTTTTGCCATTCATTCTGTTGATATGATGTGATCATTGATTGATCTGTATATGTTGAACCATCCTTGCATCCCACAAATAAATCCCAGTTGCCCATGATGAATGATCTTTCTAATGTGTTGTTAAATTTGGTTTGCTAGTATTTTGTTGAGGATTTTTGCATTAGCCCTCATCAGGGGTATTGGCCTGTAGTATTTTGTTTTTTGTTTTTGTTTTTTTGATGTGTCTTTAGTTTTGATATCAGGGTAAAACTGGCCTCATAGAATGAGTTTGGAAGTATTCCCTCCTCCTCTATTTTTCAGAACAGTTTGAGTAGGATTGGTATTAGTTCTTCCTTAAATGTTTGGTAAAATTCAGCAGTGAAGCTATCAGGTCCTAGGCTTTTCTTTGCTGGGAATCTTTATTGTGGCTTCCATCTCATTTCTTGTTATTGGTCTGTTCAGGTTTTGGATTTCTTCATGGTTTAATCTTGGTAGGTTGCATATATCTAGGAACTTATCCATTTCTTCTAGTTTTCCAATTTATTAGCATATAGTTGCTTGTAGTAACCTCTAATGATCCTTTGAATTTCTGCAGCATTGGTTGTAATGTCTCCTTTTTCATATCTGATTTTATTTGGGTGTTCTCTATTTTTTTCCTTAGTCTGGCTAAATATTTGTCAATTGTGTTTATCTTTTCAAAAACCAACTTTTCACTTTATTGATCTTTTGAATTGTTTTCTTTGTTTCAATTTCATGTATTTCTGCTCTAATCATTATTATTTCTTTTCTTTTATTAATTTTGGCCCATTTGGTCTATAGTGCAGATTAAGTCCAAAGTTTCTTTGTTGATTTTCTGTCTGGATGATCTGTCCAATGCTGAAAGTAGGGTGTTGAAGTCTTTAGCTATTATTGTATTGGGGTCTAGAGCTCTCTTCAGCTCTAATAATATTTGCTTAATATGTCTGGGTCCTCCAGTGTTGAGTGCATATATACTTATAATTGTTATATTCTCTTCCTGAATTGACCTCTTTACTATTATAAAGAGACCTCCTTGTCTCTTTTTATGGTTTTTGTCTTGAGATCTATTTTGTCTGATGTAAGTATAACTACTACTGTTGTTTTTTGGTTTCTATTTGCATGGAATATGTTTTTCCATCCCTTTATTTTCAGTCTATGTGTGTCTTTATAGGTGAAGTATGTTTCTTGTAGGCAACAGATCATTGGGTTTTTTTTTTTAATCCATTCAGAAACTGTGTCTTTTGAATGGAGAGTTTAGTCCATTTACATACAATGTTATTATTAATAAGTAAGAATTTACTCCTGCCATTGTGTTGTTTTCTAGTTGTTTTGTGGTCTTCTCTTACTTCTTTCCTCCCTTCCTGTCTTCCTTTTAATGAAAGTAATTTTCTCTGGTGATGTATTTTAATTTCTTTTTTTTTAGTTTTTGTGTATTCATTGTATGTTTTTTTAAATTTGAGGTTACTATGAGGCTTGCAAATAATATCTTATAACCCATTATTTTAAACTGATGACAATTTAACTGTGTATTTTCAAATAACCTATCTTCAAGCTCACTAATTCTTTCTTCTGCTTGATCAGTTCTCTGATGCATTCTTCAGTATATCAATTGCATTTTTCAACCCCAGAATTTTTGCTTGATTCTTTTAAATTATTTCAATCTCTTTATTAAATTTATCAATAGGATTTTGAATTCCTTCTCTGTGTTATCTTAAATTTCATTGAGTTTCCTTAAAACAGCTATTTCGAATTCTCTGTCTAAAAGGTCACATATCACTGTCTCTCCAGGATTGGTTTCTGGTGCCTTATTTAGTTTATTTGGTGAGATTTTGTTTTCCCAGATGGTTTTGATGCTTGTGGATATTTATCAGTGTCTGAGTACTGAAGAGTTAGGTATTGTAGTCTTCACAGTCTGAGTTTGTTTGTACCTGTCCTTCTTGGAAAGGCTCTCCAGGTATTTGAAGGTACTTGGGTGTTGTGATCTACGTTTTTGGTCACTGCAGTCATATCTGCATTAAGGGGCACCCCAAGCCCAGTAATGCTGTGGGTCTTTTAGACTCATAGGAGTACTGCCTTAGTGGTCTTGGATAAGATCCAGAGGAATTCTCTGGATGCCCAGGCAAAGACTCTCATTCTCTTCCCTTACTTTGTCTCAAATAGATGGGGTCTCTCTTTCTGTGCTGAGCTGCCTGGAGCTAGGGGAATGGTGACACAAGCACCCCTGTGGCCACCACTGCTGGAACTGCATTGGTTTGGACCTGAAACCAGCATAGCACTGGGTCTCACACAAGGCCCACTGTAACCACTACCTCACTCCTGCCTATGTTTGCTCAAGGCCCTAGGGCTCTACAGTCAGCTTCAGGTAAAGCCAGCCAGGCTTGCATCCTTTCCTTTGGGGTGGTGAGTTCCTCCTAGTCCTGGGCAGGTTTAGAGATGCCATCTGGGAACAAGGGCCTGGAGTCGGAAACCTTAGGAATCTACCTGATGCTTTATTTTACTGTGGCTGAGCTGGCACCAAAACCACAAGACAAAGTCCTTCCCACTCTTCCCTTCCCTTGCGACAAGCAGAGGAGTATCTTCCCATGGCCACCACCACCACACACCCATGAGGAGTCCTGCTAGGCTACTACCAGTGTTCACTCAAGGCCCAAGGGCTCTTCAGTCAGCTTGTGGTGAATGCTTCCAGGCCTGGGACTCACCTTTCAGAATAGTGGACTCCCTTTTGGCCCAGGGCAGTCCAAAAATGCCACCCAAGAGCCAAGGACTAGAATCAATGATTCCAAGAGCCTGCTTAGTACTCTACCTTACTGTGACCAAACTGGTACCTAAACTGCAAGAAAAAGTCCCCTTTACTCTTCCCTCTTCTTTTCTCTAGAAGAAGGAGTATTTCTCCATAGCCATCACAACTAGGAATGTACTGGGTCACATCTGAAGCCAGCACGTCTCAGAGTCTCTCTCAAGGCCCATGGTGTGTACTATCTCATTATTGCTGCTGATTATTTAGGGTCCAAGGGCTCTTCAGTCAGCAGGTTATGAGTTCTGTCAGTACTGGGTTCTTTCCTTCAAGGCAGAAGGCTCCCTTCTGGCCTGGGGAATGTCTAGAAATGTATCTGGGAGTTAGGGCCTGGAATGAGTGCCTCAGGTCCCTGTCCAGTGCCAGATCCTACTGTGGCTGAGCTGGAATCCAAGTTGCAAGACAAAGCCCTCTTTACTCTTCCTTCTCATTAAGCAGAAGGAAGGAGTGTCTTTTGAAGCTGCAAGCTGTGCTACCTGGGGTTGGGGGTGGGGAGGCACAAGCACTCCCTTGGCCACCCCGGCTTGGTGTCTCACTAGGTCACATGCCCCACAAGTTCACTGGGTCTGAGCCCAGCACAGCACTAGGACCTGCCTAGGAGTTGCAGTCCTCGTGGCCTAGACTGCCTTTCAAATTTATTTATGTCCCCACAGCACTTTAGCCTGTGGTGGCGAGGCTCACCGAAACTCAAGTTCAGACTGTTGGGATGGACTATTCCCCTTTGGTTGGGGCTGGTCTAAATGCTACCTCCGAGAGTGTTGGCTGAGTTCTGCCTGGTGTTGTTTTCTGCTGTGACTGGGCAGCACTGAGTTCCAAAGCAAAGTCCCACAATCACTGTGCTGTCACTTCCCCAAGCACACAGATTCTGTTTCTGTACCATGCAGCCACTGCTGGGGGATGGGGAGGGGTAGTGCCAGTGATTCAAGACTGTCTTTCCTACCCTCTTCAATGCCTCTTTCTGTGATATGAAATTAAAACCAGGTACTGTGATCACTCACCTGATTTTTGGTTCTTATGAAGGTACTTTTTTTGTGTGTGAATAGTTGATCAATTTGGTGTTCCTGTGGGGGGAATGACTAGCGAAGGCTTCTATTCAGCCATCTCCCATCCTAGAGGTATATCTTATCCTCCATGAATAAAATGTCATAAAAAAGGAAGATCACAAATATGTAAAATTTGGTGTGTGATTGGAAGCTACATATTTCACACATTTTTTACTATGATATTCATTGATAAAATGAATATCCTTTTTTTACCAATTCGATTAAGTACTATGTAAAAGGTACTAAATTAAGCTCTAAAACTTCAGAAATAAATACAAAATTCAAGAAAATAAGTTATCACAGTTTTTACTTTTGTTTGATGTGAATGTATGTCTTTTGAGAAGCAGACACCAAGAAAGGATTAAACATGCAAGGATTTTATTGAGTTATAAAATAGGAAGTGGAGAGAGAGCTGGGAAAAGCTGAAAGAGCTGTCAGACTGCATTGCAATCCTGGCCCTGAATGAAGGAGAGAGAGAAGAATGACTGGATGGGAGACATCCTAGACCCCATGTGGCAATAATGAAGGTTCAGCAAGACTCAAGGGGTCCTTGAGGCACAGTTGGCTGTCAAAGAGTGTTATGTCTCCCCAGAATGGGGCTGTCCCTGCTGTACTCAGCTGCTGGCTGGGAACAGCCCATGGGAAGTGTTGCTTTGGGTCAAACATGGCAATGAATTTAAAAATGAGTGGCTGGGCTCTTGCTCAAATGTGTTCCATGTACTTAGAGGCTGCAAAATGAATTTTCATGGCTGCCATATACTTTGTTCACTTTTTAATTGAAACATTACCCAGTTTAATTCATCCTCCTTGCTAATAATAAAAATTAAACCTTATTTATGCCCAAATCATAAGATAAAATGTTGATTTTCTGTTTTATAAAATTAGATTCGGGGAATGTGACTGTGAAATCCCTGAAATATCAAATTCTTCAGTCCAACGTCTAAACATATCTGTGGTTTGTATATTTGGTGCTTGATTCCAACCTGAAGGCAATAAAATGTGTTTGTAAAACAAGAGCAAAGCTTTAAAATCATTCACGGGAAAATAACCTGCAAAATACAGGCTACAGAGCAAAACTTTGGTGATATCCTATTACCTTTATTTCTTTTACATTCTGAGTCGGTATCTTTGAATTGGTAACAAAGTTGGTGTCTTTCCATTGTTGAAATCAAGGTTATTGTGAATGCAAAGCATTTTCAAGCATCTTTAGTATCTTTTACTTTGTGTATCAGTCTAGTTTGAGGCCATTGAGTTTTATTGACTTCTTGACAGTTTGGTGCTCAATTTTTTTGTTGTTGTTCTTTGCTTGCAAGAATTCTCAAGTCTCAGATGCCTTTGCTAGCTTAAGTATTTGTTTATGTTTTAAATACTTTTGAAATAGAAGTTTTGAAGGCTGTGTCATTTGGTGGAAAGACCACGGTCTTTGAGGTCAAACAGATTGTATTGGGTTCTCATTTCAACAACTTATTTTTTTTTCTTTTTAAAGATCAGATTTATTTGGAGAAGACAAAAAACCCACAACCCAAAGGATGGGATTTTACATCTCAAGACATCTCCTAGGTAATAAGTCTACAGATTACAAATCATTTTCACAGAAGATATTTTTGTACAAATTTTACATGTATTCAGGAGTAGGATATTAATCCCAATTTCTATTTTAACAGGAGGGCAAGGTAGGGGAGAGGGAAAAACGGTTTTGGATATAACTATTTGGAAGGCAAGTAGACATGAAGAGGGCAAACCCTAGCTTTTCATTATCTACAATCAATATTTTTTTCTTTCTTAAAAAAATTTTTTTCAATCTTTAGTATCTCTTTAAAAACCCACTTCTTAGCTACTAGTCAATCCACACCAATTATTTAAATTCACTTGGTACACACCTTTGTCTACTGGGTAAATTATATTCATTATGCCCACTGCTGCAGCATGCATAAACCAACACCCCTGCATGGCCTAATCTGGGACTGATGGGAGAAGTGCTTGCAAACCAAGATCAAGGTGTCATTTCTCTGCTAATACTGTCTAACAAGCTGACCCTTACAAAAACGCACGTAAAATCAGGCAGGTTTAGCTACTGTGTTGCAAGAGAAACCAGGACCTTTCTAAATAGTTCTCTCCATTACCATTTATTCTCTCAAGGGAAACTTAAAAAAAAAAAAAAGAAGAAAAAGAAAAAACAACACATTAGTCTGGCCACCTCATAAATCGAACAAGCATTGCTGTGGCATTTCAGTGGAAAAGGAAACTTGAGGGGGAAAAAAACCATCAACGTTGTAAGAAAGGCTTCCAATTTAACCGTCCCTGTCCCTATTTATCCACTTTAACTCACCACCCAAGACCATCCATTATTCTAGAGCACCCTGATCTATAAAAGGGGTCAAAGCATCAGGAACAGGCAAGGAGTGAGAACCAAAAGACATCAAGAAACCGATTTGCTTGAGAAAAGCAGTGATTCTTCCTCTTATAGCCTCCATGGCTGAGAGAGAAAATGCCCAAGAGATTATCCATGTGACTTGGAGACTGCTTATTTATTGCATTACTTTAGACAAGCTGACAAATCTTTCTGAACTTGCTTGCTTCATCCTCTGTAATTTAGGGACAGCAATTCCTATCTTGTAGGTTGCTGTGGGACAGAGGCGAGGCAGCATACACAAGTTAATCCTGAGGCTCCCCATCTGGACTGTTGTGTTACCCAGTGTTTTTGCCTTCCTCTCACTTGGGGTCACTGGAAACATGCAGGTTCCAAGCTTGGCCAGAAGAATTGCCCAAGCGCCAAGCACAGCCCCTTAGCAGCTTGCCGCACAATGCCTGAGCTGAGAGGGCCATAGCCCATTGGCCTCCTGGGGTCTTGCTGTGCTCTTGTAATCCCTCCTTCAGCCCATGTGTCAAATGCTACCCAATGCTCTCATTTCCACCATGATCCAATAATTATAGTGGTGGGAGGGAATATTGTCCAGAAAGGACCAGGAGGGTGGGAAGCAAGGTCCTCAATGACTGCATTCACCTGGACCTTTGGCAGTCAGTGGTCTACTGTCAGTGGGTTCCAGCCATCAGGTGTCTACCACGAGGCATGCCCCTCTTCTTGTCTTACTGCCAATTCATCTCCTCCTATAAGTGCTCCCTCAGTCAAGGCTCTCATATCCATCAAATTCTGCTCTTACAATCTTGCCCACTCAGCTCTATTAACCATGCATTCTGAAATTTCCACTTCCCCCATTCCCTCAATTACATACCCTCAGAGGCAGAGGGTCCTGACAGTGCTGGACACATGCAGCTCAGAAGCTGAGTAAATGCCCCTTCTCTTGTCCCCTTGTGTCCCAGAAGCTAGGTGGTCTATGTGGCTGGAGCTCCATGTCAGCTCTGTGGTGTTCATCACACTGCCCTGTGTGAGATTCTCCTGCAAGTTGGTCTCTGAGAGACTAGCTGAGTTGGATATTCCTTCAAGACTCTAAAAAATAGGACATTTACTGAAATCATTTTTTAATCCTTTTTACTGAATATGTAGAGGTGCAGTATTTGTTTGTGTGCTTAGTCCTCAATCTGTTTGCATTTTCATGAATAAAGTCGTCGAAAGAAATACATAGCTGAGCCATGCAATGCTTCCGGGTTGTGGGAATTATGCATTCTTTAGACCATGGGGAATCTGAGGGGAGAGGCATTTGTTACTTGTCTGCTGCTGGTTTGGCTCCCTCAGTGTCTGTGTCTAACAGGACACAGTTTTAGTTGCAACAAGGGGCCCTGGTGGGTAGAGGGGCTCTCAAAGGGCTGTTAACATATCCAAGTACATGATGATCTGAAGAACCCAAAGGTTATTTCTGATGTAAGTGTCCAGGGATGGAGATTGTGTGTTGAGAACTAGGGCCAGGACGACGGTGAGGTGAGTAGGCACCTGGCTTGGGTGCAAAATTTGTAAATAATATTTTAATGCAATATTTTTAAAAAACTCAAATAAAAAAATTCATGTTGGACAAAATATAAAAATTCTAAATAAAGAGAGGATCAGTAATGGTGCTGTGTTGAGCCATATTTGAGCTTGTAGTAAAAGGAAAAATCAGTAACCTATCCAGTTTTCATTTAAAATTTTTATATTTGATTCATCATGAATTTTTTGCATTCATTTGATTTTCCAGATCAGATTAAAATATTATTTTTCTTGAAAATAAAAAAATAAAATTAAAATTAAAAAACCAAAAAAAAGCAAATAAAAAAAGGAAAATATATAATAATAATATTAAATTATTAGTTCTGACCCTGCTGAGAGCCATTGGATTTAAAAAGCATTCCTTTTGCTTCCTTTAAATCTTTTCTTTAGAAAAGATTTTCTTTAGAAAAGATTTAAGACTAAAGAAAGACTAAAGAAAATTTTGTTTTCTTTAGTCTCCTGCTGACTGGTAAAAGGCATTTATGGCCCAAGGGCCACAAAACTTCTATATATCAGAAACCATACTGACAATATTTAATATTAATTTGCATGTGATTTATTTTTGGTTTTGTAAATCAATCTTTTTCTGTACCAGAAATCCTTCAGGGGAAATTCGAATACTACTAGAGTAGATTAATAATGAAAACAATAAATGATTTTTAAAAATAGAATTTTAAGTACTGTAAACCTTCAGGGTATTTTTAAATAATGGCCTTATTTTTCACTTCAACACATTTTCCTCAACACATTTTCCAAGTGGAGTGGTACTCACCTTGTCTATGAGATTATTGCCTGGCATATTTCAAACTCCTACCATTGGAAGCCATCATGAGTCTGTGACCTATGGGGGTGTGGCAGCTGTTAGGAAGAGCTATCTTCACCCCACGCCTCGTATCTTAAGGAGGGGGTGATATGTTGGGAAGTGCACAGGATTCATGAGCAGAAGACATCAATTCCTCCCTCATTTTTAACTCATTACCTGGCTGGGCTTCAACTTCTCTAAGCTTGATTAGCCACATCCTTGCAATGGGAATAACAATAGATTTTTTTCCAGGGTTGTTGGAAGGGGAAAAAAAGGAATCATAGGAGAAAGAGCTTTGCAAACTGCCAAAAGGCTCTCCAAATTAAGCAAGCTCTTTCTTGATCAATGCCCACCCACAGGGATGGCTCCTCTTGGCTGGAAACTAAAGTTGACTTCTCTGCTAGAGAGATTATCTGTCATCTAGGTTGCATTATCAGCTGTAGTATGTTATTCTAAAACACACTAAACATATAAAGGAAAGAAAAGGAAATCCTGAGAGGTCTTCATGGAAAAGTTCTTGCTTATAAAGTGCAAAGTAATCATAGAGTGTGGCCTCCAACAAAGCTTCCTGAGAAAGGTAAAATGACTTCAAATGAACTCTAGTTAATTCCACAAAACTTTCCTTGATCAGCAGTGTGAAAAAATGAACAAAGAAGTGGATTATGCCCCATGAAGAAGATAATTGCTTCTTCAGGAAATGCAAAAGTTGTACCAATTCCTGGAACTAAGCCAATGCATCTTCAACTAATTGGACTTGCAGTTGGTCATCTCAACTTTAAGTGTCCTAGCTTTTGGATACTGAAATAATCCCTTAATATGTCTAACTGAAGCACAAAAAGAGGTAAAATTATCCTTTAAGATTTTCATCTGTCATAGTCTGGACATGATGGCTCACTCTTATAATCCCAATACTTTGGGAGGCCAAGGCAGAAAGATCGCTTGAGGCCAGGAGTTTGAGACCAGCCTGGGCAATATAGAGACACTGTCTCTACATAAATCATTTATTTTTTAAAAAAAGATTTTTATCTGTCATACATATAGACATCATTTTTGAAGAGTGATTATTTTTCAAAACAAAAACAGCTGAATTCAGAGACCGCCAGTTTCATTGATTTCACAGCCCTTACCTGGTCAGTGAGCAGGTGGTATAAGAAGATCTGGTCTTTGGTTAAGCTGATGGCAATGCCATGTGGCAAGGGAAAAATATTCATTCTTCACTGACTGCACTATAGGACGTGCTATGTTTGAATCTGAAGCTAGAGGTGGATCAACTCCTATCTGACAATGCTGTGGATTGTCATTAGTTTGATCTTTGGAAAACCTTGAAGCCTTTGAGGAACTCTCTAAGGAATATACCTCTACCACTAAGGAGAAAATAGCCAAGGGGCTTATTTCCACTATACACTTAACCCAGATCCCAAAAATGCAGTTCCCTGAAGTGAAGGATTTACTTGGTCTTACATAGTATAGTAATCAGGTCTCCTAAAATACTTGCTGATAGTAAACTAAGATATCTTGGTGGGATGAGGCTATTTTTCAGTAAACACCAATGGCATTTGGCATCCCACCAAATGCCATTGCTTATCCAACAACATTTAAAAACTTGAGTTTTGTGTAGAACTTATTAAAGGAAAGTAACAAACATCTGTTACTGATTTAAATGATTTTTATTATACTGTTATTTAAAATATGTCAAACACAGTGATACACCAAGTAGAATCATCATGCTTGCATGCTGTGTTGCCTGGGCAATGAGCAAACAGGGACCAGGGATCCCCCTTTCCCTTGGGACCAGCAACTTCCTTCTTTTGATGGCAGGGCCTGAACTATCCTTTCCAGACCACTCCTGCAAATAGCTGGCATCCATATCCCAGCTGCTGGCACCCTGCTGGGGTTATCTCCCCATTGACAAGACAACATTTGCATACTTGCTCTTTAAGGAGGAACTTCCGCATGGGAAAGGGCCCCTGCACTGGGACACAAGCCCCATCGTGTATCCATCACGTTCTGGCTGGCCCTGGGCTTCCTCTCTATGGAGTGATGGGAACATGGGTGATCTCTTTGCCTTTTCTTTTCTTAATCCAACCTTGTTACTTTTTTTTTCTTCTCAGTAATGCCTATTCCTTATGACTTTCCTTGTGGAATTTGTCCCAAATTCTGGTAAATAACAGATAGAGACCTGCTAGGACTCAGTTTTTATGACAAACATGAAACTAGGTATAAATGCTCTTATAAGCATGGCTCTTAACCACAAAACTAAAACAAAACTTAAATATAAGTATAAAAAAATCACATTAATGACCATAATGTAATATAATAATTGATGTTATATTGGTGAAATTAAATCATTCAATTTGGGCTTAATGAAATAAATGAGATAGCCTTAGTTCAACTCTTTATTTAATCCATTTCTATATTTTAACTTGAACGAAATTTTTAGAGAATGCTTGTTTGGATAAGTTTGATGGGCAAAGTGATATGAATAACTACAAGGCTTTTTCAGTTCAGGATAAACAGACTTCATATTTAACCCAAATTCTGCTAGCAAGCAATCATTGAATGCCTGTTTTGAAGAGGCGTCATATAGTAACTTGTAATGACTAGTTCATCTGAAAATAAGATCGGCATTGTGATATTATTAAATCTATAATAAATGGGTATTTAATCCAATTATTTCTGGAATTGAAAACAAAAAGAAATCTTCATTGTAATTCCAATAGTTGCTGCTTTTGAATTTTTGCAAGTGACTACGGAGCAGGAGGGGCTGGCTGGACAGGGTGCCATGTGCCTGCCTGAAATGGAAACCTGGCTCGATTGTTGTCTGGTGCAGACCTTTGAGTTTTATAAACCTTGGCTCCATGCACTGTGTGAGAACTCACATGGCCCACAACTGTTATCTATTTAAAGCATGATGAAAGTTTCCTTGAAGCAGAAAGCTATGCATGATTCATTCTATTCTGCATTCTATTCAGTCGCTCACTCACTTGCACACTCATTCAAACATGTGCCATGTGCCAGACAGGCTCTAGGCAATTGCATACACTGGTGGACAAAATGAAAAACCTAATCTTCATGAAATTCCTATTCCAGCAGGAAGAGACAGAAAACAAGTTATTTTAATAAGTAAATTTTATAGTGTGTTTAAAAACAATTTTTTTAAAAAGGGAAAAAGTAGGACAGGGCTTTAGGGACTGCTGGGGCTGGAGTGGGGCAGGTTGCAATTTGAAATAGGGTTCAGGGTAGGCTTCACTGGAAAAGTGTGATGAGAGAAAACATTTGTGAAAGGTGAGGGTGTGAGCCAAGGGGCTGTTGAGGAGAAGTGAGCAGTTCAGGCTGAAGGACCGGGTAGGGCAGATTCTTGAGGTGGGGATATACCTGATGTGTTCAGGAAAGAGCTGAGAAGTCAATGTGGCTGTACATCAGTGAGCTGGGAGTGGAGGAGTAAGAGAGGAGGTTGAAGAAGTAAAGGTTATCTTAGTCTGTTTTCTGTTGCTTATAACAGAATACCTAAAACTAGGTAATTTATAAAGGAAAGAAAGTTATTTCTTATAGTTCTGGAGGCTGGGACCAGCTCCAAGGTCGAGGCAGCATCTGGTGCGGGCCTTCTTGCTGTTGGCGACTCTGCAGAGTCCCAGGGTTGCTCTAGGCAACACATGGTGAGGGAGCTGAGCGTGCTAGCTCATTTCTCTCTTTGTCTTCTTATAAAGCCACCAGCCCCACTCTTGTGATAACCCATTAATCCATTAATCCATGAAAGCTTTCATGACCCAATCCCTTCTTAAAGGCCCCACCTCCCAATACTGCCACATTGGAGCTAAGTTTCTACATGATTTTCAGAAGGGACAAAACATTCAAAGCATAGCAGCGGGGAAGAATGTGAAAACTCCAAGAAATCACGGTAAGCACTTTGGCTTTTTCTTTGAGTGAAATGGGGAGCTATTTCAGTGCTTTGAGCAGAGTTGTGGCATGATCTCACTCACAGTTTAGAAGTGTCACTCAGGTGGCTGGGCTCAGTGGCTCACCCCTGTAATCCTTTGGGAAGCTGAGTCAGGTGGATCACCTGAGGTCAGGAGTTGGAGACCAGCCTGGCCAACATGGCGAAACCCCGTCTCTACTAAAAATACAAAAATTAGCCAGGCATGGTGGAGGATGCCTATAATCCCAGCTACTCAGGAGGCTGAGGCAGGATAATTGCTTGAACCTGGGGGGTGGAGGTTGCAGTGAGCCGAGATCGCACCACTTCACTCCAGCCTGGGTGAAAGAGTGAAACTCCATCTCAAAAAAAAAAAAAAGGAAATGTCACTCAGGAAGGATGGAGCTGCCTTCACCAGTGTTGGGGAAGCTGCAGGTAGAGCAGGTTCCAAAGTGGAAAGAAATAACAAGCTCAGTTCTGACTCGATTAACTTTGGCACATCTGGTAGGCATCCAAGTGGGGTATAAGTTGGGTTCTAGCATCTGAAGTTTGGGAGAGAGGTCTGAGCTGGAGATTTATAGTTAAAAGTCAGGGAGTAGATGGATGGCATTGAAGCCAAGGCACTGAATGAAAGATGCAAGGGAGTAAATGTGGCTGAAGAAACAAAGAGGACCAAGGATTCAGGCCTGGGGCCCCCATAACACAGAGGATACCAAAATCCTACAGGAGGTCTCGAGATAGTTTTCATCTGGATGCTCCAGTCTACACTATAGTTACATTGTTTCCAAGTTATCATTACAGTGAAAGCATCACTTATAGGTTATGTGGAGAACTCACAGACCTTGGTGATGCATCTGGAACCCTCCTTTGAGAAATCCTGCTTCACAGGCCTCAATCATAGGCAAGATAGTTCTTCAAGTTGAGACAGAATGATATGATTCTAAAATCATGTTCATCACTGTCTTGCTCCACAGGGGAGATTTTCACATTTACACCCTTGTTCTACTTTATCAATGTATTAGAAATTATACCCAAAATATTCTTCACCACAGAAAAGGTAGAAAATTTAGAAGTGAGTGTTTAAAAAGTAAAGTTTTAATGGTTTCATTTCACCCCACACTGGGATATACCCCACTTGCCCTTAGAGACTGTTTTCCTTGAGCAGTGATGTACATTGAAGTTCACTTCCCTGGGCTTGGACAAAGGCTTCCTAGGGCAATTGGTTTTCAGGCCCTCAAGGTTCATATGTACTCTTTTCTCACACGGAACCACATGGGAACTCATCTGCCACATTAATGCTTTCTCAAATTTCCTACCAGTACTTCCTTTCATGTACCTTACAAAAGATTCACCCAACTGAAATCCAACTCTGGTGCAGTGACTCAAGTTGCAAAAGTGTCTGGTGCTCTAAGCAGAAGAACAATTGTCAATATCACTCAGGAAAGTCACCTTCAGCAAAGACCTCATAGAATTCCTCCCCTAGTCTATTTTAGTAACAGCTTCATTTCCAATAAAATTTTCTTTTTATGGTTAAAAATAATTTATCAAAATTTATTATATGTTTAAGGTGTTTTGATTTATAATAATTAAACTAAAATGAAAATTTTAAGTTTAGAGAGTTTTAACCAGAAAAAAATAAAAAATAAATTTTAATTTATGGACATGTTTTTCTTTCAAAGAAATTTGACAGCATAAAGAATAAAAGTTGCACTAAGACAACTCGATGGAGGAAGTGTGATGGAAATGTGATTTAAGTCAGAAGTGAATGATGTAAATTTTCTCCCTGTTAAATAAGAAATGTTCATATATTTAAAAAATGGATGTTGCCTATCAAATTGCAATAGTGTTTATATTCCATTTTCAGAACACATTTTATAATTATCAGAGCAATGTAACCGTTTCATTTGAAAATGTTAACATTTACAATATGCCAGAAATCACATATTTTGCCTCTATTTTAGAGAAAAAAGTTTTAGATATCATCTTTAAAATATAGAAGGGAATACCTCATTTTCCAAACTCCATTCAATGAGCAACATAGGTTTCAAATTCCACAATGACTTAAACTACACCAAAGACAATCTCAGCAAGATATGTATCAAAAGATCTCAACGGCAATGGAAAACTTCACTTTTCCGAAGCAGACCAATCAATTTTGAGCCATCAATTTCTTTCTTTTGTAAGATTCATTCCTACTGCACTGACCCCAAAACCTTATCTTATTTCTTGACCATGGATTATACCAGTACATATTGATCATGTTAAACTGTTAACACCCACAATGATATGCCCCAGACACATTTCTTACAATGAGCAGAGGGTTCTGTGTATTGGATATAGGTCAATCACTGAAGGTAGCAGTAACTCAGTGGCTCTCTGCACTTTACCTTCTTAAGGCCACCACACTCACGTACTAGGTGTTGTCCCAGTGGAGGACAGTTGGATACAAAGTCTCTTCCATCTTGACATCTTGGTACTGCAGTGGCCTCCTGTTCCATTTCTCACTTCTCCCACCCTTAGTTTTCTAGCTTTGGGGAACATGGCTGCCTCAGCAACCATCTTATCTGCTCCCTCTACCCCACCGTTTTGCAAGGAGGAACGGGCATTGGTTTCTTTCTCACACTGTCACTACCTTCTCCCCTTTCCTTTACCATTTTTTCATTTGCTCTTCACTTCCAGTCTCCCTTGCGATCTTCTTCCTTTCTTTCTGGCCAGCCTCTGACTTCTGCAGAGTGGTTCCCTCCACCCAGACAAAACCCTGGACTGATGCCAGGCACAGGGTATGTGACCTATGCTTCCATCTCCTCTTCCGTCCCTGGGACTGTGGCCATAGATATTCACCTCCATCAGGTTCCACTGATAAAGGAGAAGGAGAGGACACAGTTCATAGAAAAGGAAGCTCTGGCCAAACTGGAAGCCACCAAACCCAGGGTGTGGCTCCTAGAGTATTGCCATCTCTCAGGAGCCTTCCAAGGCTTATCCCGTAACACCTTCCACTCTTCTTAGCATCTCTCTTCTTACCCTTTATTATTTTTTATGTGAAAAAATATACATAACCATAAAATTTACTATTTTAATCATTTTTAAGTGTACAGTTCAGTGGCATGAATTACATTTATATGTTGTACAAACATTACCACTATCAATTTCCAGAACTTTCTCATCATCCCAAACAGAAATTCTTTACCCATTAAACATTATTTCCTTTTCCTTTCTCACTCCAGCCCTTGGCAACTGCCATTCTACTTTCTGTCTCTATGAACTTGACAATTCTAGGTACCTCATATAAATACAAATAAAAATACAGCATTTGTCCTTTTGTGACTGGTTTATTTCATTTGACATAATGTCTTCAGGGTCCATCCATGTTGTGGCATGTGACAAAATTGCCTTCCTTTTTAAGGCTGAATGATATTCCATTGTGTATATATCCACATTTTGTGTATATATTTATCCCTGCGTGGGCACATGGGTTTCTTCCTACTCTCAGCTATTGTGAATAATGCTGCTAAGAACATGAGTTTATAAATATATGTTCAAGTCCCTTCTTTTACTTCTTTTCAGTATAAACCCAGAAGTGAAATTGCTGTATCATATAGTAATTCTATATTTAATTTTTTGAGGAACCACCATACTGTTTTTTATAGTGGCTACACCATTTTACATTTCTACCAGGAATGCACAAGAGTTCCAATTTCTTTACATTCTCACTGATGTAGTTTGAATACATGAGCCCGCCAAATCTCATGTGGAATTGTAATCCTCAATGTTAGAGGTGGGGCCTGGTGGGAGGTGATTGGGCCATGGGGGCAGATCCCTCATGGCTTGGTGCTGTCATCAAGATACTGAGTGAGTTCTCACAAGATCTGGTTGTTTAAGTATATGGCACTTCCCCTCTACTCTCTCTCTCTTGCTCTCCCTCCCACCATGTGAGATGTCTGCTCCCCCTTTGCCTTCTTTCATGATTGTAAGCTCCTCGAGGCTTCCTAGAGGCAGAAGAGCAGGTATGCTTCCTGTACAGCCTGCAGAAGCACAAGCCAATTAAACCTCTTTTCTTTATAAATTACCCAGCCTCAGGTATTTCTTTATAGCAATGCAAGGATGGACTACCACACTCACCAACACTTGTTATTTGTTTATTTATTGATTTTCATAGTAGCCATCCTAATGGGTGAGAAGGGATATCTTCTTGTGGTTTTGCTTTGCATTTTGCTAGTGACCAGTGACACTAAACACACTTTCATGTGTTTATTGGCCATTTGTGTATCTTCTTCAGAGAAATACCTATTCGAGTCATTTGGTCATTTTAAATTGGGTTGTTGGTTTTGTCGTTGTTGTTATTGAGTTTATTTTTATTAATTGTAATTATTTTTTCTCTTAAAAATTCTAATGCTTATTTTAGAAAATTAAATTAAGAATTGAAAAAACATTGAGACAAAAATGATTCATATTACAAATAAAGAATATATTTTCTCAATTTATTTTAAGTGTTTATAAATTTTATTTAGGCCACATTCTTTGAGTGCAATATGAAGAAGCTAGGATTCATTACTTAGGAATTAAAAGTAGACATTACTAAATAAGTCTTGGGTAAAAGAGAAAATTTAAATTTAAAGCAGGTCACAGATTATAAGACTAGTAGGTAACACACTACTACCCAAACTAATGAAATATGTTCAGAGCCATACTTAAAAGAGAATTCCTGACTTTAAATATTCTTATTACAAATCCAAAAGAATTTTAGTTAAGCATTCAATAAAATACAAATTCTTGAAAATACAAATGCATAAAAGAGGCTATAATAGCTGGTAAAGAATTATTTCTGGATGTGTCTGTCACGGTGGTCTGGAAGAGATTAGCGTTTGAATCTGTAGACTGAGAGAAAATCACCACCTCCGGTGTAAGTAGGCATCATCCATTCTCTCAAGGGTTCTGAATAGGGCAAAAAAGCAAAGGAAGGGGGAATTTGCTCCCTCTGAACTAGTGTATCTGTCTTCTTCTTCTTCTTCTTCTTCTTCTTCTTCTTTTTTTTTTTTTTTTTTTTTTTGAGACAAAGTCTTGCTCTGTTGCCCAGGCTGCAGCACAGTGGCGTGATCTCAGTGCACTGCAACCTCTGCCTCCCAGGTTTAAGCAATTCCCGTCTCAGCCTCCCCAGTAGCTGGGACTACAGGTGCAAACCACCACACCCAGCTAATTTTTGTATTTTTAGTAGAGACAGGGTTTCACCATATTGGTCAGGCTGGTCTCAAACTCCTGAGCTCAGGTGATCCACCTGCCTCAGCCTCCCAAAGTGCTGGGATTACAGGCATGAAGCCACCACACCCAGCCCACATCTGTCTTCTGATGTTAGACGTGGGCACTCCTGGTTCTCAGGCCATTGGACTGAATCATACCACTGGCTTTTCATGGTTCACCAGCTTGCAGACAGATCATGCAACTTAGCCTCCATGAGCCAATTTCTATAATACATCAATCTCTTTCTCTAAGTATATGTAAATGTAGAGAAAGCGATATATATGTTCCATATGTATACTGTTTCTGCGAAGAACCCTAATACAAACATTAATAAATTGTTTTAAAACTCACAAAATAATATAATTAAAGAGCAGGTAACCCCCAACTGTGTTTTCAGTTTGCATATTCTAAGATAATTACTAAGAACATTGGTTTCATATCTCTGGATGCTGTGCTTCTGTTAGTCCCGTAATTATTCATGACCATTATATCTTCATTTTGGATTATGTATTTTATTTATAAAGTCTCCATTGTTCAAGTGATTTTTCCTTAATTCTATTTGGTCTATATTAATATTCTTATTTGTTTTCTATTTGCATTCATCTGGTGTGTCTTTGTCCACCTCTTCAAAAAATATTTCTGCTTCAATTTGTTTTACATATTTTTTTGAAAATAATGTTTAGCTAGATTTTGTTTTGCTGACCCAATTTAAAAATTATCTTTTAAAGATGAAATTTGATCAACTTACATTTATCTTAGTTGATGCAGTTGTGTTTCATGCTTTTCTATTGCTTTGTTCTTTACTTTTGCTGGTTTTTTGTTTGTTTATTTTAGTATATTGTATTTTATATTTCTACTGATTTGGAAAATATACATTCTACTCATAGTCTGTTAGAGAACATCTTTCATTAAAAGCATGTAAGCCTTTATTTCTCTGTTATAACAATAAAACCTCAATGCCTCAAATAAGATGAGGAATTCAGCTTGCTTTTAAAAGTTTCCTCTTTTTTCTCTATCTCCCAGATTACATTAGAATTATCTCAGATTTTAAAACCAGAATATTACAAGTAGGTTTTTTACTCTGCAATTTCTCTTTAAAAACCATTTGGACATTTTAAGTGTATCTCATAACCACAGAAACAGCAATTATTCACTGGGATACTTTGTTTCATTGGTATCACTATTGTTTACCTCTTTCACTTTCTTCCTGGATATTTTTACTGTAACATGGATAATTCCCTCTTGGAATACTTGCCTATCTCAAACTACGTTTGTCATTTTCTGATGCTATGATGATAAATTGTCCTGGTTTACAAGTCCTGAGCCACATCCTTTCCCCTCTAAACTCTGTGGATCTTATTCCATGATCTTTGGCATGACTATATTGCAGAGAAGCCTGGAGACAAATCCTATAGTTAACCTGGTTTTACTGTCTATGTCCTTTGGGAATTTTCCTTTATCTTTGAAAATCTGAAATTTCATTGGAATAAATACAGGTGTGTCTTCTCATTTTCTAAGGTAAAAAGACAAAACAAAACACAACCTAATACACTGAGAGCATCTTCAACCTGAAGTGTCAAGCATTTCTGTGATTTATTTAATTTTGTGTTTGTTCCTCCACTTGCTCTTTTTCTTCACTCTTAATCTTCATCTTCCATGACCTCAACCTTACTCTTCATGGGTATTCTAGTTTCCATCAAAATCTCTTTTTCCAGCACATTGGAGAAGATAAAAAGGCTGGGAAGGAAGTGAGGAGAATTGTGCGTGCCATTAGCTGCCTTGCAAATTATCTCTTCCCTGGGGCTGGTGTGGCTTCTTGGCCCTGCAGGGTGCTAAGATGGTGCTCAGTGGCTCCAGTGGAATCTGTCTTCATCACTGGCACACGTGGGCCGCCTGCAGACTCCCCAGACAGATTTCTCTGTGGCACCTGAGCTCCTCTCTCATGGATAAGATCTCCTTTGTGACTGAGATTAAGCTGCTGAAATTTGCCTGCTGGAAACAGTCCTCTCATCACAGCCAAGCCTTTTTCTTTCTGCAGCCCATGAAGAAGTCTATTCCGACTTTCTTTCCATCCAGGTTCCAGGGACTTCTCCTGCCTGCATGTTCCTTCTCCACCAATGGCTTCTGCCATTCTAGCTTTCACTTTCTCTTGGAGGTGTCAGCCAGAACATTTCACTTGGAAGCTTTTGGTATGGACATTTCCCTCCCTACTTCCCACCAAACATCCCAGTGAAATATTAATACTTGTAGTTTCTTGACCAGAGATTCCAACGGGTGATAGGAAAATTGGCAGAGGTCATGTTGTTGATTTTAGGTTTGTTGTTGTTGTTTATTTTAATCATTTAGCTAAGAACTCCAGAAATGGCCTTTGGATATAGCCTCCAAAATACTCCAAATAGCTTCAAGAAACATGAATCGTAACCGCACGCATAGCCTGTGATCAGAAATAGTCCCAGCAGGAAAGAAAATGAGTTACAGAATGAGTTTGCATTCCCTTTGGCTGGGAACCTCAGCACCGGCCCTGGGCTCCTTCATGAAGCAAGAGCCTTTCCCAGGTCCAGGAGTCCTTGATTCTTGTGGTTCTCTGTTCTTCTTCTTCTTTCTTCTTCTTTTTTTTTTTTTTGAGAGGGAGTCTAGCTCTGTAGCCAGGCTGGAGTACAGTGGTGTGATCTCAGCTCACTGCAACCTCCGCCTCCTGGGTTCAAGTGATTCTCCTGCCTCAGCCTCCTAAGTAGCTGGGAACACAGGCATGCACCACCACACCCAGCTAAGTTTTGTATTTTTAGTAGAGGCAGGATTTCACCATGTTGGTCAGGATGGTCTTGATCTCTTGACTTTCCGATCCACCCATCTCAGCCTTCAAAAGTGCTGGGATTACAGGTGTGAGCCACCGCACCCGGCCAGTTGTCTGTTCTTTTAGACACCTCTGGGATCACACTGTGAGAAGCAAAATCTTAAGAGACTATCATGCATTCATTAATTCACATGGGGATGAAAGGGCTGGTGCCCAAGCTCCAGCTCTCAAATCCCGCTTTTGATTCCCCCACCTCATTCTCCACCTCAGCCACACTTTCTTTGAAGGATTTGACAAGTTTGGCCCCCAATCCATGTAGTGAAGTGCCTCTCTTCTGCCCATCTACTGAGCTTTCTGCTGTTGATGGATAATTTCTCTGGAATGTCTTGATTGAGCCCCTTCTCCTTTTTGCCTGTGTTTTACACATGGGTTTCCAACCATTGCCCCAAGAGATGAAGATTCACCTGGGATGACTAAATTCCACTGTAGAATCTAGAAACCCTCTCACAGCTCCTGGCCTTCCAACAGGTGTTACAGTTTACAGCTGTGTCCTACCTCCTAGACTTGCAAAAGTGGTGTCTGGTGTTTTTTTTTGGAGATGGAGTCTTGCTCTGTTGCCAGGCTGGAGTGCAGTGGCACCATCTTGGCTCACTGCAACCTCCACCTCCCAGGTTTAAGTGATTCCCCTGCCTCAGCCTCCTGAGTAGCTAAGACTGCAGGTACACGCCACCATGCCCAGATAATTTTTTGTATTTTGGTAGAGTTGGGGTTTCACCATGTTGGCCAGGATTGTCTCGATCTCCTGACCTCATGATCCCTGGACACCCACCCCGGCCTCCCAAAGTGCTGGGATTACAGGCATGAGCCACCGCACCCGGCCTGGTGTCTGGTTTATATGAACGAAAGATCTGGCTGGAATAGCAAATGTCTGCAAGGGAGGCTGGGCTAGATATCACCAGGGCCTGGAACACTTCTCACATTCTTTCCTCCACTAACCTCCAGTTATCTAAGAGGATTATGACTCTTCTTTCTCTCTTGTCCTCAGAATGTCTCTCTGGCTTCCTCTCCCTCTCAGAGACCCAATTTGGAACTGAAACCCTGAGGTGAGATAACTGAGGTGAGATAATTGCAATAATGGAATAATTCTTTACCAAGTCACTGCGGTAACTCAGTAACTCCCCCTTTTGTGTTGGTGCTACACAAGGCTAAGTTCTGAATCTACAGCTATTCGTGATGCTATTTCTTTAAAAACCTAGATATCAACAAACGAAACTACATTAATCCAATGTGGCAATCAGGCGCCGTGAACTAATCCTAGTACTTTAATTCTAAAAGCTGAACCCTCTTGGCAAAAGAAAATGATAGTCAGAATTTCTCTTCCCAAGACATTTCATTTAGCCACCTCTATTTGTCTTCTATTTTCTTCCAAGATTTCCCACTACCAAGCATAGTAGTTTTTCTTCAAACTACTCTCAATAGCCTAAGGTAGTCTAATTAAAGCAATGGATCATTCACTCTGCTTTTCAGTAATCCTACAGTGACTTAATGAACAGAGTGCAGCAATTCAACACATGGATTCTTACTCATTGTATCCTAATTGTATGTAAGTACCACACAATTCTATTGAGACTCACAGACATTTCTTTCTTCTCCTCTTCAATGAAAAAGCAAACATTAATTGAACCATACCACGATTTGGGAAATAAACATTTCATGTAAATTGAAAAAAATACTTCTCTACTTGTAACATGCACCATTCTTGTTTATCTGAGTTTTCTTAATTTTCTACAATGAGCATGTACTAGTTTTGTTAAGGGAAAAAAATACGTTTTTTTTATCTTTAAGTCAGGAGTCTGCCTATTGAAAATAGCAGTGTGGTACCTTTATCTTTAGAAATAAGTGTCTTTACTTTTGATAGAAAAGATTAGAAGTGTTTCAACAAAAGAAATAGTACATTATGGTTTCAAACCTCAAAGCATGGAGACAACCTGGGATGTTAATGAAGGAAACCTGAATTCCGAGATCCATCTGCAAAAGGGAGGCTGGAAGTCTTGGAAGAAGATTCTGATTGTGTAATCAAGTTATTAATATCAGAAATGCTTTTCCATAGGCCTTTACTTTGAATTCATTTTTCGAATGAGATAGCTGGTCTTTAAAAACAACTTACTTTTTACTGTTACAGCACTACACATGTATGGTGAAAATAATTCAAATGGTAAAAAGAAAGAGGTGCTGTGAAAAAGATGAAAAACTCCTGACATCCCAACTCTGCAGTCCTCAGAGATAATGATCATTTCTTGTGCCCCTTTTTAGAAATTTTCTCTGGGCATACACTCCCTCTATGCGTCTATTCCTTTAAATCTATATTCTATTGCTTTATATCTCCATATCTATGTATTAATATGTAGATATTACAGTTGCTATATACTTATATCATTAAAACAGTTATTTGACTCTTTGTATTTCACATTCTGGGGCTTCCAGCTGGCACCATGACTCCAAGCACCCCTCTGCTAGGACATGAGAGAGAAGGCATCAGTCAGGATGATAGAGCTTGACTGATGCACGTGCCCGAGCCACACTAGTGATCTTTGAGTGCAGGCTGGAATCCAGGTAATCTGGCCGGGCCTCCTCATTCATGGCAATCTCTGGGCAGAGATCTTAGGAAATTCTCCTCCCCTCTCAAGACTGAGCCATCTCATTGGTAGGATGAAGGGCTGGGAATACCCGAGATACAGTCTAATGTTCTATGTCTCTTGTCTGTGATGTCATAACTGTGGCACCTAGGGACACTTCCAAATGACCAATATTCCGCAAAGATCCACATCACGTTCTTTAAGACCCACGCCTGTCAGAGCTGTCAGACACTGGCCAGGGCCCTGCAGACGTGCACATTTTCTCATAGCCTCGCCTGGTGCTTTGAGTTCCTGCCACACTCAGTGGGTAGCTGTAGCTCACTGATGTGCATTTAACTGGCAGGAAGTGGGAGAGAGAAACAGAGGAGTGGGAGAGTGGAGTTCTTAAGGTTCAGACAGAAGCTTCATTTTCCGCCTCACTCCTGGCCTAAGTGCTACCCTGTCCTCATGCCACTTTGTCCTCTACTCTCCAGGGGACTGCTATCACCACAGAATATCTATATTTCCTGACTTGGCCTTGTGAGAATCAAATGATTTACTAAATACTGTCTATACTCCTGCAATTTGCCACACAAATGCAGGGTGAAAATCTGAGGATAGCAAAATGAGTCCTTAAACTGTGTGCTAAAAGAGGTCTAAGTTCAGGTGGGGAAACAGAAATGTACATAGATAAACTGGAACGCAGCACTGACAATGTCAGATGAAAACGGGGAAGCTCTGCAGAGAAGAGGGACCTTGGGCAAAGAAATGGAGGCCAAAGTGGGGTCTGCCAGGTTCAGGAGGTAGAAAGCACTCCAGGAAGTAGCGAAGTGGAGTAGCAAGGCACAGAGACATATATGAGAGTGGCATGTTCAGGGGATGACAAGCTATTCTGGATGCCTTGTGTGTAGGGTGCACATGGGGAAGGACCAGGTGAATGAGCCTAGAAAAGTAGGCCTCTGCCTGACCATACAGGGTTTGGATAATGAGCTAAAAAGTTTAGAATTTGTTCTGAATAGCAGCAGCTCCCAACCCTACCACATCCAATGGCCCTTTTTATAACAAGTATTTTGTAATGTCGTCTATATGTCCTGAAATGAAATTCATATTGCTATATATCCTACCTACATATACAGTGAAAAATTAAATGAAAAATGAAAATCACTATAATGGCTTGACATGAAGAACACCAAAGGAAAATATGTATTTCATGTAAATGCTTGAATCTGACTAAAAAAAAAACAGAAAACATACTGTAGTGGTTGGTTGTTTATGACTATACACAGAAGCACCAAGATGTGACAGCTACAAATACAAACAATACAGGGGCATGGAACTAGCGAGTCATGGACCTTGTCATTTGATGTGATTTTCTGAAATGTTAACTTTGGAGAAATGCTGAACACAAAAAAGTACAATCATCTCTTGATTCACTTAGTGTTTTCACTTGTAGATCATTGAATATATTAAAATGATGCAAAAATACTTTGTGTGTCTATGCAAATTGGAATTCATTCTAGGTTTATACAATTATAAAAAGCATTTTCAATTATTGGCATGTTTAATAAAACATTCAGAGTCACATTAAAAGTGGGACCGTTTCTCCTTTGAAAGGATAGTTTTGTGTGTGTCTGGATGACCTAGACATATATGTTTGGTTGCAAAGGTCAGGGACGTGGAAGTGGCTGTGAAGATGAGGCACTGCCACATGGCCATGGGAGTTGCAGCTGCAGGTGCCCAACAAGGGAATTCCTGAGAAGCCCATAGAAGTGCCCTAGAGAAAGAGTCAGTCTGAAGCCACTGCTGTGGTCAGAGGAAACCAACAACAGATTATGTCAATTGTATCTTGTATCAGAACCAGCCACGTAAGGGTTCTCTTGACTCTTAACTCTCACTTAAGGCCCTGCTTCAACTCTGGGAAGCCAGCAGCAACACAGTGAGTAGGGAAAAAGAAATAGAAATTTTAGTTGAAGTGTTAGAAAAATTCATTGTTCACTCGGGGAAAAAAACCTAAACTGTTAGATCACTTCATAACACTGTACATAAAATTAACTACAAGAGGATTAACCATCTAACAATAAAAAATAAAATTGTAAAGAACCAATAGAATATATTGTTAAACATCTTTAGAATCATGAGTTAGGTAAGACCCTCTTAGATGGAGAAAATCAATTTCTTAGAAAAATCTGAAAAAATGAATGGGCAATCCCCAGAGAAGAAATACAAGCAGTCCAAAATCATGAGCAGATACTCGACTCAACTTCACCAGTAACTGGGGAAATGCAAATCACACCAAGTATCTATTACCAGAGTGGCAGCATACCAAATTGATAATATTCAGTGTTGTCAAGGAATATGGTAGTATCTATCAACATTTTAAAAGTGTGTACCATAAGTCTGGCTAGTCTATGCATAGAGATCTATCCTTGGGAATAAGTATATACAAAGTGTGTGCAAAAATTTTCACTATGGCATTGTTTTAATTGTGAAAACATGAAACATTACATATGTTTATCAATAGGAGTATGCTTGAATGGATTATGGTGCCTCTATACTGTAGGATAATCTGTACAAGTTAAAGAAAAAAGACATGAATTTATACATATTGACATGAAGAAAAACCACTCCATGACACATTCTTAAGTATAGAAAGAAATTTCGCACACTATGAACAAATGATCCCATTTATATAAAGAGTAAAAATTATGCACACACAAATATATCTATCTATCTATCTATATATATACACAAAAATACATGAATATGTATGCATCCCCCCATACACACAAACAAACACATGCACATAAAATTGAGGAGATTGACTGGAAGATATATACAATGAATAGTTAAAAAAGGTTTACTTCTATGCTAGAAAATAAGATTGGGCCATGATGAGGACCTTTACTTTGTGCTCTTTCTGTATGTTTATTTTTTAAGTGTTATGTGAGAACATACTGATGTATTTCTGATGCAGACTTTTACCAAATGTTTAAAACTTGGCAATCACAGATTTTATATGGAAGCTATACTGACTTCAGGAACACCACACTCTTGGTTTTGCTGTCCTCATTGGCTGCCTCTTCTTTGGGTTGTACAGTGTCCTTCTCATCTCGCTGACCTCTAAATATTAGAGTGCCCCAGGGCCCAGTCTTGCAAGCTATGCTTTCTCAGCCAACAATTATTTCCTACACATTGACAACCAATTCCATGACTTTTTGGCAGGTTAAATTTTAGCTCCAACCTCCAGCTTTGCCGCTTTGCCCTGACTTGCGGAGTCTTATAAACAACTGTGTACTCAATATCTGCAATGGGATATCTGAGAATATCTACACCTTAACTTGTCAAAACCAAAACTGCCTGTTTAACTTTTTTTCTTCAAACCTGCTCCTCCCACAGTCTTCCCCACTCAGGAAGTGGCATCTCCATTCAAGTTGCTTGGACAAAAGTCCTTAGGGCCATTTTTTAACCTTATGACTAGACCCAAATAGAGCTGTTTCTCACTGCTCCAATCGCTTTGACTCTAGTCCAAGCCACATCATCTCTCACCTTGACTATTAGAATAGCTTCCAAAAACCCATCTTTGTGCTTCCATCCCTGCCCAGTCTGCAGTCCATTTTTCACTCTGCAGTCAAGGGATCCTTCTAAAATCTGAATTTCAGCCTGGCACATGCCTGTAATCCCAGTGCTTTGGGAGCTGGAGGTGGGAGCATGGCTTGAGGCCAGGAGTTTAAGGCCAGCCCGGACAACATAGTGAGACCACATCTCTAAAAAAAATTAAAAATAAATAAATAAAAGCTGAATTAGGGCCCCGGCACAGTGGCTCATGCCTGTAATCCCAGCACTTTGGGAGGCTGAGGCGGGCAGATCACGAGGTCAGGAGATCGAAATCATCCTGGCTAACATGGTGAAACCCCATCTCTACTAAAAATACAAAAAATTAGCCAGGCGTGGTGGCACATGCCTGTAATCCCAGCTACTTGGGAGGCTGCGGCAGGAGAATCACTTGAACTGGGGAGGCAGAGGTTGCAGTGAGCCGAGATGGTGCTACTGCACTCCAGCCTGTGCGACAGAGCGAGACTCCATCTCAAAAAAAAAAAAAAAAAGCTGAACTAGGTCATGTATTATGCCACTTTTCTACTCAAAACCCTGCAATTACTTTACATCACAATAACAATTTCACATCACACTAACAATTTCAAATCTCTTATCACAGCTGATCACATCTACCAAGGTCCATTCCCCCCAAGGGGCCTCCCCCATTGACCTCAGCTTCCACCACTCTCCTCTTACTTATTACCTGTGAATCCACCTGCATTGGCAAGCTAGCTGGTCCTCATGTACCCTAGACAGTACGCTGTCTTAGCACACCTGTTCTGCTCTTGGCCTGACGCTCTTCCCCCAGATATTTGCATGCATCCTTTTCTTGCTTCATTCAAGAGTTTGCTCTAAACTCAACTCCTCAGAGTGCATTTTAACACCCTCCTAACTACGAAACTATCCCCCATCCTTCTGTTTGCCTGTCCTCCACATAAGGGGCTTTCCTCATATGTATGGCCATTCTTGATGGCATGGTCAAGATAAAGAGTGGGAGGAAAGAAAGCCACGTGGAAATTCTAAACCCATGCTGGTGTGGTGGGGCTTGTCAACTCTGAGCTTCACTTTAAGATATTTTGTGTGGGCCACTGGTCGGGCTGCCTTGACGTCAGTATTTTCAGATCTGTTCGTTTGGTCTGGGCACATTCCCCAGAGAGGCATCTTGCCTGTTAGGTTAAGGTCTGACTGCTGGTTTTCCGAGAGCAAAGAAAAGGCGTGAGGCTGGGAGGAGGTGTCTTGGGAGTCAGCATTCTGTATGCCGGCAGTCTACTTAATTCCCCGGATTTTGATAAGATCCAAAGGCTCTCAACTGTACTCCCAGTCCAGAGAACCTGTTTTTACAGTCTCTAGGGGAAAAAAACCTTCAGAAATCTAGGAGAGAGGATGAGGGAGCAGCAGTGAGGAGCAGCTGCCTCATGTATGGAGTAAGGAGTCGGGAGATGTAGGTGCTTCCCAAACAACTTATGTGATTCTCCTTAATTTAGCAGGTTTCTATGCCCCATGAGCCAGAGATTTAGAGATTTAGTGCTGACAGTTCTCAAGCATTTTGAGGATTCTGAGTGTATACTGGGTTGAACTCTCAGGAGAGCCCCGGCTGAGGTATATGAGTATGTGGATAAGAATGCTCTTCTAGACAAAGGCAGTTGCTGAGCCCACGATGGCTTTGAATGAATTAGCAAAGGCACCCCTTCTTCAGGGCAGACATAGCCCCATGTCAGGGTGCATGCTTGGCTGGAGAAATGTGTGGCCAGGATTTCAGCTCCAACTCAGCCTCCAGAGTGGGAGCCTTTTTACCATGACCAAGCCACACACAGCTGCGGGCTCTCAGCTTCCTCCATGACTGCCCTGTTTACACCTTGTCTGTTTCCTTGCATCCATTTTCAAGAATGTGTTGCTGTTGTCTTCTCCCATGTTCTCAATGTTCTTGTGGATTTATGTGCTCTTTGTAAATGCCTTTTTTTATGGGATTTTAGCAGGGTTTTGGGAAATAATAAAATTAAATGAATGAATTTAATCTATTAACTCAGAACGGTGCTCCCTCTTCTGAACTCCTGCCTTTTCCCATGTTGTCCTATTTCCTGTTTGTTCATCATTATGTGGAAGACATTTGTGTTTGTTCCATACACAATTTGTATGAATTTTGTTTGTTCCATATACAATTTGACAGAATGGTCAAAAAATGGTCTCATCTTGGTCCCTTACTTTAAGCCAAGATGAAGGAATAGGTGGAAATTTATGCTTCTAGCTATTAAGAGGAATGCTCCAATGACCATCTTTGAAGCTGTCTATTTTAGTCCACTTTAGCCTTCACCTAATCTTTTAATAAGAGAATTAAATATGTTTATACTTTTTTGGTGTAAATTGCACATCCAACTTAATGTTGTTACCTTAGATTTGCTTTCCCTTTTTTTATTCCCTTCCCCCCTTTTTATTGTGTTATATATTCTGTATACTTTAATTTCCCTAAAGACTTTTTACTTAGAATGATTTTTGATATGTGCACTAGTTTTAAATTCTACTTTTAGGTGTTAACGTTAACCTGCAATTTATTTATATGATAATTTTCTTTTTCTTTTTATTAATTAACTGGAAATGCTTTTGATACATTTTATAGAAAGACTGTATATGAGGTTTATTTTGGAATTATTTAATATGGAATAGTATTTCTTTTGCCTTTATGATAATATATCGTTTAATATTGTGAAGGTGAGATCTGAAGTCTGATCTTTTTTTCTTTAGAATTAACTTAGGTGAAATTTTTCCTATGGTTGAGACAGAACAGGGAGCCCTCTTAGCAACCTGTGACCAACCCCCAACCCCTGGCAAGCATGAAAATAAAGAAAAATCTCGAGTTCTGTCAAAGGAAATTCCAGGCACCTAGGTAGGCCTGAGAAGTAAATAAGCAACTTGATAAATAAGAAGGTAATAGCAACCTAAAACAATAGCCAAGGAAGCTACAGTCAGGAGAATCATTCCCTATAGAAACTAAAGATAACATCTTAACAGGTGTTTCATATCTTAAGATATACATACATTCTTCAGAAACCCAGACCCCCACCAAACGAATCTGCTGGCACAGACCTCAAATGAGGGGGGAGCTGAGGACTGAACCTTGACTGCCATGTTTTGTTCTAAATTTCTTCCTGGGGGCCTAGAGGAGGTCACGTTCATGAGCCAGAGCTAGCATTCTTTTCTGATAACCCAAAATTTTTAGACAAAGCTTCTCCTCCTTAACCAATCACAAATCAGAAAAGCTTTGAATCCACCTATGACTCATGGCCCCTGCTTTGAGATGTCCTACCTTTTAAAGTCAAACCAATGTAGAGCCTCCATTACTGATTTATGACTTTGCCTGCAGCTTCCACCTTCCCACCTTTAAAAACCCTTACCTGTAAGCCATTGGAGAAGTCAGGGCTGAAGCAAGAGCTGCCCAAGTCTCCATGTTTGGTGCCCTGCAAATAAACACCCTCGTTTCTCCTGCTGCAAATCTCAGTGTGGTTGTTTGCCTTATTGCACCAGCCAGTGGACCCCAATTTGGTTTGATAACATGGTGAAGTAGACTTTGTACTCTATTTATATGTAAGATATGTGTGTGTGTGTGCGTGTGTGTGTCTGTGTGTATGCCTTGCTGAATTCTTTAACTTTGAAAATCTAAATTTTACTATGATAGGTTGAAGTCTCTTTTCATCTATGTATGGAATGGAAATACTGATGACCAACAAAATAAAAAAGATGCACAGACACAGAAGTAATCAGGGAAACTCAAAGTATCTGTAACAAGATACTTTATTTGAATTGTCAAGCATTTTTTATTGAAGTCTAGTATGTATACAGAGAAAAACACATATCATAATTGTATAGCTTGATGAATTTCCACAAACTGAACCCCTGTAACCAGCAGCCAGACCAAGAGCAGAACTGTGCCAGCTCCCAGGAATCCTCCGCTGGGCTTCTGTCCAGCTATTGCCTACCCCCAGAGCAACCGTGATCCTGACTTCTAAAAGCCTAGTTTAATTTCGAGTTTGGCAAACAATTTAAAGTTTTGATGATATGCAAGTCATGACCAGATTGAGGGAAGAGTATATAAATACTCTTTATATTTATATATAAATTATATATAAATTTTGCAGGTGTTTGGAGAACAGCTAGGCAATGCCCATATTCTTATTTTTTTTTTTTTTAAGATGGAGTCTCACTGTGTTGCCCAGGCTGAAGTGCAGTGGCATGGTTTTGGCTCACAGCAACCTCTGCCTCCCAGGTTCAAGCGATTCTCGTGCCTCAGCCTCCTGAGTGGCAGGGATTACAGGCATGTGCTACCACGCCCGGCTAATTTTTGTATTTTTAGTAGAGACCAGGTTTCGCCATGTTAGCCAGGCTGGTCTCAAACTCTTGACCTCAGGTGATCCACCCACCTCGGCCTCCCAAAGTGCTCGGATTACAGGCGTGAGCCACCGTGCCCACTCATATTCTTAATTTCTCAGTTTTCCTTTCAGCTCATTCATTGCTTACTCTCCTTGTCCTCTTTAATACAGGTTTAATTGTTTCCTCTTACCTAATTATGATTCATCCAACCAACATTTGCCATTGTACTTCCTCAGAAAACAGCCTTGCTCTTAGAGATGACTAAGAATGTTTTGGCCTATGGTGTCTCTCAGACTCCTCAATTCCATGCTGCCTGCCAAATGTACCTTGGCTTAAAATATCTCTTTCAATGCCACCTTGTCCTTCCAGTCATCCTCAATTCCTTTTATTATTTCCCTAATGAAAATTGAAATTTCTGCCAATTGCAAATATAATTAAAGCTTCTCATAAATGAAATAAAATGGAAATAATGTCTATGAAGCATCTACTACAGCAACTAACACGTAGTATGTTGTTTGAAATGTTAGTTTCCTTCCTTTTCTTCCTTGTCCTTTTTTAGAAAGCCTCATTTACCCTCAAAACAGCTGTATACAGCATGAAAACCACTCTGAAGCACTTGCACCGTGTATAAAGAATCCTTTTCTCTTTCAGAGAAATGTTCATTCATGCGTCAAGTTTTTTAAAATAATATTTTTGCTTATTCTTTTAACAGTGATAAATGCCATCTGTAAACTTGGAGTTTCCTACAGACCAATTATATTGGGGTGTTTTCCAATTAGTAAAATCCTCATGGTGTTTTATACTCTGGGACAAGAATAGTATAGATGAGAAATGAACCTGTAGGGACTGGAAGCAGGCAACATGAAGCATTTAGACACAGGACACAGCGTACAGCACTCACGTGCATGGAGCACACAATTATATACATAGAAGTCAGAACAGGCTTCCCGTGCAGAGTCTCCTGGGCTACACCCAGCATTTAAATGTAGTGGCATTTAGCCTCATTCTTCCCATTTCCGTATTCCTCTGATATGGCTTCCCTGCGGGATGCTGTGACTTAATTTGTCTGACAACCAAAATTTTGCCACGGTGCCCCCAAAAATATTTACTCTGTTAGTGGCCTAATTTTCTGGGATCTAGAGAAGTAGGCAAGAAGACTAAAAAACTGACATAATTCTTCAAAACTGAGCTGCAAAAGGATTTAAAGAAATAGTTGTGGATTCCAGGAAGATCATTAGTAGCTTAGACACCAAAATAAAATACCATCTTGCACTCAGAGCAGGCTCTTTACTCTCTGTAGTTTAAGGAGACATGCTGAATATCCATGCACAGACATACACGTTGAGGTGTCTTCTTATTTTCTTATTGAAATGGATTTATACTAAACTCCTTCATCTACCTCTCGCTGTAGTATTCCACATGACTTTTAATTTGTGTATTTGTTTATTTATTTATTACCTAAAGCTTGGAAAATAATCTACAAATAAATATCCCTTCCGAGATCAATTCCCTAACTAGGGTTTCATTAGTACCTCTGCCCCCCATTTTCTTCGCAGGAATGCAAGGCTTTATATGATAAAATTAGTAACTGACAAGCTCTTGGTCTTCCAGTTTCAACAGCCTTTATTTGTTTTACCATCATCACTAATGTCAATTGAACGCCTTCTTGGCTCTTGATCTTCTGAGCCTCTCAGACACTTTGTGACTTTAGAGATAGTAGTAGTACTCTATGACTATTTAGAAGGTAAGGGAAATTAGAAGCTCAGCTTGGAAACAACTATTTTTGTTTTTCCAACTTCTCTCCTGTGTTTTCCTTTCTTTCCAATTACCTAACCACAGTCCTGATCTGCTGCTCTATTCCAGGGCATCTGTTTGTCTATCACTACACTTGGCTGCTCAGGAACCTTGTTCATTTCCTCGTTTTCTTTGATCACTCTATCCTGATATAGTACATACACACTTGTGATCTCCAAACTTCTATTTTCAGCTGTTTCTGGGATATTACCATTCAAATGTTCCCACTCTCTCACTTCAAAATAAGCACACCTGGAACTCAACTGCTTATCTCCTCCTGTCTCCTAAAACCAGCTTCTTGTTCCCATTTCCAGCATTATTCTGGTTAAATTTCCCAAAAGACTGGTGATCTGACCTGGAATCAGAAAAGGACTGAGTATTAATTTTCTTTTTCATTGGTTAGAACAACAGATTATTAGTTTCTTGAAGGTGGGGATTACTTTTTATGATGTGTATCCCTACAGTGCCTTGTAAAGTATCTCAGTGAATATCTGTTAAGCGGGTGATACATTAAAATGCTGTGCTAAGTGAGGCAAAATATAACGCTCCCCGATTGCAATCATCTGTTAGCTAACAATCCATAAGATAATGTGAATATATGAAGACCTACCCATGCCAGGTGCGGTGCCTCATACCTGTAATACCAGCACTTTGGGAGGCTGAGGCGGGCAGATCATGAGATCAGGAGATTGAGACCATCCTGGCCAAGATGGTGAAATCTCATCTCTACTAAAAGTACAAAAATTAGCTTGGCATGGTGGCGCACCCCTGTAATCCCAGCTACGCAGGAGGCTAACACAGGATAATCGATTGAACCAGGGAGTCAGAGGTTACAGTGAGCCAAGATAGAGCCACTGCACTCCAGCCTGGTGACAGAGTGAGACTCTGTCTCAAAAAAAAAAAAAAAAGATGTACCCATTTCTGCTACTACCAAAATAATTCCATGTACCCGCCTTACTAATGGTGGGTGGGTAGCAGAATTCCTGGTTTCTAATTACTAGCTTTGGTCCTATTTAACCAAACTTGTTGGGTGGACAGAGATGGAAATAAATTAGGCTTTACTAACCTAATTGTAACTGGCTCTTTGGGAGTAAAAAATTAAAAAATTAACCCTAAGACTATCTTCAATCATGGGATGAACATAATAGTACCGGAAGCTACCAAGAACAAAATAAAACAAAGCAAAACAAAAACCAACAGCCCTCATTTCAAAAGTGTTCAAACTTCCTTATGAATATAATGATTCTGTGTGCATAATTACTTTGTGCAATACACCATTAATGGGACTATGTATCACCTAAATTCTTCAAAGGCATTTTTTTCTGAGATGGAATAGATCTTCAGAGACTGTACCCTATAATGATACATGAACTTTTTACTTTGATGCAAGAAAAACATCAGCAGAGGCTTGCTGAGGGGTGCCTGGGAATTAACACTCTCTCCTTTAAGAATTACCCTGGAGTCCTAAATAATTAGTCAACTATGCATGTTTTTCTCTAGCCTTACAAACTAACTATATTGCATATAAGATTAGAAGGTAGGCGGGCAGGATTAAGGGCTTTGCTATTAGATGACAATGGCTTGAATACCTCCGGTGCCTTTGTTAGAAAGATACCATGGTTCCCTTGTGTGAAGTCCTTAATGGAGGTGATCAAATGTGAACTGCTTGGGAAAATGACTGCCTTTTCAAATGATTGTTGTAAAATGTATGGCGATATTCCCGTTTACTGTATCTTCTTCTTCTAAGCCCAGAATTAACAATTAAATGTGTTTTACTGGCTATCATCTAACATTTTTTTCATTAAAAGAAGTTCTTTCTCTAACAATAATAAAAAATCTGTAAATGAATCTACTTTATGAAAACAGCTTGGTGTTAAGGCTATTTTTACCTGATAGTACTCCTGTGTGGATCTATATCATTCATTCATTTAATTAACCATTTGTTGCCATAATTGTTATTATTCAGCAATTATCACCCACAGAACAAAGAACAATGCTTGTGCTAAGTTGCGGGGGTGGGGGGGGGGCGGTAAAACAATAAATAAGAAAGTATAAAAGGAGTTCAGAATGTAATAGCACAGCAATTTAGTACATGTAGCTAGTCACCAAAATAAAAGCAGAGTATTAGAAATCTCACTCCCGCCCCCACCCACACACCTTACAGCAGTTTACTCCATCCACATTGGCCACAGCCACACCATACATGAGGGAAGTTTTTCACTTCCCCAGACTACCTGGCACCTGCATCTGGGCCTCATTTTTAGCCTTGAAGAGCGCCGTTCAAAGTCTTTGTCTCTAAGTGCACATGCCCTCATTCTTCTCTTTCATACTCTTCACCAATGGATAGATCTTACAGATGGGTCTTTCTAATAAATCACCTTTATTGCCGCACATCTGACAGGCTTTATTTATAATGGGTCCACCTACCCTTCCATTGCACAGAATGGTGTTTAACAACTCATTGTACTCTTTACCCACAGCACCATTTCATAGCAACTATGACCCCTCCCACTGCTTTTAACATTCCTGATCACCACCATGACACCCTCTGGCATGCCAAGTATAGCAAAACACAAATGCAAACAGGCAAAGAATTGAGGGAGACAATCTGAATTGAACAGCTGGCTGGTTTTCCTCCTGACAACTGAGCCTAACCCACTCTTTCTTTCGGAAATCAGGAAAACTACTACTAGGGAAAATATAACTTCATGGAAAGCATAAAAGATATCAAATTTGCAGCATTCTACCTTCGACTGTCAGCACCATGGGATTCTGTCCTTTTTTCTACAGCTTTCTTCAGGGCTCCTCCACAAAGAGCCCAATGTGAAACCCCAACACCCCATTCCAACTTCCCACACCAACCATGTGAAAGGAAGAAATAATTGGGCATGTGGGAGAGAAAGATGGGACTTTGGCCAGCACTGCACTCAGTTCTACTGCCAGTGGTGATTGAAAGGATATGGGGTGGAAAACTGTTAATGAATCTTCTTGCCACCTTAAGAGTGGCTTAAAGTGCATGAAAGCAACCCACTGGGATATCCCAACACTGGGCAGAATGTGAGGGGATCTGGGTAGAGGTGATTTCTGCTCCATCAAGGACGTTTAATGTGAACTTAACAAAGTAATCAGGATTCACTTTCCCACCCTATACCATTCCCAGATCAGCCAGGTTTATTTCTCCTACCCTTAGTAGTTTTGAGCCCTAGGTCCTAAATTCTTGGCTCCTTGCTTCATGTATGATCTGGACCTTTACAAGTTTGTTGCTGTTTCTGTCTTTCCTCCAGCTTTTGTAGTCAGTGTTGTTTCTACTGTTTCTGAGTCTTCTGGCACTACGGTCTTTGAACTCATGCTGTCTCAGGGGTGGACTCTCAGCCCTGGCTCCTTCTTCCCCAGATCCTCTTGCCCCTTCTCCCCCTTGGGGTTAGGAGATTCAGACAGGCAGCAGGTAATAAGGTCCTTGTCATTTAAAAGTATGAGATTAGAATTGTCAAATCAAGGCAATGCTAGGCCAAGATGAACTAAGATGCTTTAGTTTTTGCAACAGTGAGAAACAGCTCCAAGAAATCTGGATGGCTTACAACAAGAACAGTATTTCTTGCTAAAGATACATGAGGGTTGTAGATGTCTGGCACCCAGATTGAACAAAAAGTTTCTATAGGAGAACTGCTATTCTCATGGCAGCGGGCAGGAATGCAGAAGACCCTGGGCTATCTTTACATCACATTTACCATATGATGTAAAGCTTCTGGTAAAATAAAGCTGATGTTATGGACATTTATAACCCATTGGCTAAAGCACAGTGGGCTAAGTTCATCAATGAGGTGATCTCATGTGCTCCTTCCCTAGGATGTGGACAGATCACAACACAGGGTGGGGATGTATAATCCCACCATAGAGAAAGAGCAAATATTTGGAAACAATATTATGGCAAATGGATTAAGGGAGGGCAAGAGGAATAAACAACCCCAGTTACTAGATTAAGGTACCAGCTGGGTTTTGTCCACACAGAATAAGCAGTAACTTGATTATTGACTTTCTGTTAATATTTTTTTTTATTACAAGCAATAGGCAGTAACTCAAATTAGCTTCAATGAAGAAGGAGCTAATGGGTTCACATAACTAAAAGTCCAAACAGAGTTCAAGCATGAAAGATCTATGCTCGAAAATGCTGTCCCTATGAATTGCTTTCTCTCTGTTTCAGGCAGCCTCTTTCATATAGTTTCAAAATGGCCTCGGGAAGCTCCTGGCTTAGCAACCCCAGTGGAAAGAAAAATGCCTATTCACCAGTAGCTCTAGAACTATCCTCAGGTTGATGCTCATTGCTTCTGATCATCTGGCTTGATTCATGTGCCCAGCACTGGTTCATCTGTCAAGAGGGATGTGATAGTTGCATAGGCCAGAGCCACGTGTTCACACTTAGAAATGAGAGCAAAGTCAGTAATGCCTGGAAACATGTGCATCGAGACTATGGATGAGTTCTCCCAAGAGAATTTGAGGTGCTTTTACCAGAAGGAAATGCCAAAAGTCCCACAAGCCCATTAGGGATAATTGGTTGGTTAAATTAAATTTATTCTTGCTGGGCAAGGGAAAACACTCACAAATGCAGTCTCATCAACAAGGAAAGTATGGCAGGATTTTTACAGGACTAGTGCTGAGAAGGTCAGGTAGAACTCCAATGATATCAGAGTGGGATTTTGGAAGTGGAGAATGAGTGGGCAGGTGGAAGGAGCTTTCAAAAGGTTGATAGTGAAAGACAGTGTAGGGATTGCTCAAATACCTAAAGAGAGAAATACCATTCAACCCAGCAATCCCAATACTGGGTATATACTAAAAGGAATATGAATTGCACTATTATGAAGACACATGCACATGTTTGTTCATTGCAACACTATTCACAATAGTGAAGACATGGAATCAGCCTAAATGCCCATCAGTGATAGGCTGGATAACAAAAATGTGGTACATATACACCATGGAATACTATACAGCCATAAAAAAGAATAAAATCATGTCCTTTGCCAGGGACATGGACGGAGCTGGAGGTCATTATCCTTAGCAAACTAACACGGGAACAGAAACCAAATAATGCATGTTCTCACTTATAAGTGGGAGCTAAATGTTGAGAACACATGGACACAGGGAGGGAAGCAAAACACACTGGGGCCTCTTGAAGGGTGGATGGTGGGAGGAGGGAGAGGATCAGGAAAAATAATGAATGGGTACTAGGCTTCATACCTGGGTGATGAAATAATCTATCCAACAATCGCCCATAAATTTACTATGTAACAAACCTGCACTTGTACCCCTGAACTTAAAATAAAAGTTAAAAAAAAAAGGTTGGAAAACATGAAGTGGAACTTGTGCAGTACATCTTCAGTGAAACATCTCAGTCGTCCCCAGAGACTAATTTTCGCAAATCAACAGTAGCAGTTTCCCCTAGTTTGGCACTTGCTTGTTGCAGTGACAGTCTTAGTAAATATCTATTTCTTAGTAGGGGATAGATGTCTGGCTGATAAAAAGGGCAGATGTCTACCGTAGCTATCAAGTGACCTGTTTGACTAAACCCTTAATACCCTTTATACCTGAGGATGGCTTAGCTTAGGAACTGGGTCATTACTGGGGGAGTTGACAGGCAGCCTCTGAGTGGGTTATTTCTCAGAGCTGCTCCATTGGTCACTGCAATCTCCTCACAAGCTTCCAATTTCGTATTTTTTCTCTGGACACTGTAGACAGGCATAGACAGAATTGCATTTCAGAGGGACCAGGAAGAAGGTTCAGAATGTTAGAGAATCAGACAGACAATGGATGGTGGTAGACAGGAAATATAAGACGAGAATGTGATTAAGGAGCGAGCCAAATATTTCCTTTTAAAATAACCTGGGTTGGGCATGGTGGCTCATGCCTGTAATCCCAGCATTTTGGGAGGCCGAGGCGGGCAGATCACTGGAGCCCAGGAATTTGAAACCAGCCTGGTCAACATGGTGAAACCCCGTCTTTAATAAAAATACAAAAATGAGCCAAGCGTGGTGGCAAGTGCCTGTAATCCCAGCTACTTGGGAGGCTGAGGCAGGATAATCGCTTGAACCGGGGAGGCAGATGTTGCAGTGAACTGAGATTGTGCCACTGCACTCCAGCCTGGGTGACAAAGCAAGACGCCATCTCAAAACAAACAAACAAAAAAACAAAAAAACCCCTGAGACTACTATATGAAGAAGGCTAGGAGCCAGCAGGTTTGAATGATAAAACAAACAAACAAACAAAACAAATAAAATACCACACCCATTTCTTCCAGTGAGCATCACATAATTTCTTCCTTTTTTGCTTATGTTAATGACTCTTTTCCCTTAAGCAGACTCACAAATTTTGAGAAACTTGAAAAGGTCTCATTAATTACTGTGAGCTCAGAAAAATTCTCAATTTTAATGTTCAGTGTTGCTGCCCCAAATAATTTTTGCATGATGGAAAAAAATTATTTTTATTTTTTCTCTGACTAGCATAAAATCTTACCAAACAGTGCTAAGAAATAGGACTCAGGCCACTCCTGTGAGGTAGGTAAGACTGAGGACCTTGACAGCCAGCAAATGATGTGAGCAACCTCTAAAGGGTGCCCTTTCCTGTCTGCGGGGTCTTGCACCTCACTTCCAAACCCCTCTGTTTCTTAAATCATTCCTTACTTTCCCATGCTTTTGGAAAACAATCAACACAATTAAACTAAGGGGCTATTGGCAGAAGAAAGGAGAGTCTTTTCTCTATTTTTCCAATGTCTCTCTGGAAGAGGCCCCATGTGGGCCATTGCATGCCTTGACTGTTAACAGTTATGATTTAGTGAATTCCACCAGCAAGGCCAATCCAGATTGAAAGCATTCTTCTAAAGACAGACAAATTCTTAGTGTTTTTTTCTGGTGTTTAATGATAGGGTTATGTATGTTTGAATAAATGAAGTTCAAATGTGCAAAACTAAAATATATATATATGTAGCACATAGTGCTTCACAGTCCTCCTCATGCTCTGGGTCTAGGAGTCTTTATAATGGTCCTGCTCTCACTTTGCCTCCATCAGCACAATAGCCTGAGCCAGCAACTTGCGTTCAGTGTATTCTGCTAATGCGTACACAGTGTGGCACCTGCTCACTTTCTAATAAGGGCACAGTGAGAAGCCTAACAGCTCCCCTGAGCACTGTGTGCAGTATATCTTGCTTGGTGAGGCAGAGTTTGGGCGCTACTGCCCTTTTCCACATCTACAATTGACCAGAGAAATAATATTCCCATTCCACTGCGGGCGTCAATGACACTGACTGACTGTTTTTTAAAGCTTAAAGATGAATGGACATCTGTTGAAAGAATTAGCAAGATTCCTGATTTTATTTTTCAAATAAAAATAGAGACATAGATGTTGAAGACACATATTTGGTTTGGAGTGTTATTAGGCTGGGCTTTTTGTCTTGTGACCTCTCAACCGATACCTATTGCACAGCCAACCTTCCAATTCTGCATGTGTCTCTTCTGCCATTTTGAGGATGCATTGGAGCACAAATTGCCTAGACTCTGCTGGACAAAGGAAATAGGAAAAAATAGAGGGAAAAATCAGTGAAAATAATAGAATTACCACCTACCAGGTACATTTTATATATGATAGATACTTCTCATAATAAGTCCACTTTTTATTACTGTTGGAAACTACTTTTATTAACTATGGGTGAAATGAGAGGAAGGTTTGCAAGACTGAATTGGAAGATCTTGAAGTTGACAAGGAGTCTACAGCCCTAGAAGGGAGCCATGATGCTTCTGTCCTCCCACATCAGGCAGAGGAAAAAATGCCCTAAGGTGGTGGTTGTGGAAAAGAGTCAGGACCACCCTGCAATTAACTCATTGTCAGAACATGGACAAGTCTTTTTCTTTAAGCCTGGGTCTCTTCCTCTGTTGAATGAGCAGGTTCTCCTGTGTGATCTCTAAAAGCTCCTCTAGTTCTAAAATTTGATTTTTATTTTATCTAGAGACTTGCCCTCTAAAATAACTCATGAAATTTATTATTTTTAAATACCCCATGAGAAATCAGGGAGAATTATTTTTAACCCCACACCCCAAGGATGATTAATAAAGGAGAAGAAATTAATTTTGTACTTTACACATAATAACATAACATTAATGAAACAACCAGAAATATCTGGGAGAATTTGCTTTTTTGAAAAAAAGAAAGATCCAGAAATAGAATAGAATACAAATTCACAGATGACCTGACTTCCAGTCACTTCAGTATCCGACTTCAGCAAAGTGCATGTTGTAAAAATGAGAGTAGACTGGAGTCTGGCAAATAGGAATCCAAATTCCACTTCCACATCCATGTGGCCTCAACTTACTTTCCTCCTTGTTTGGGAAATGGGTGACCCCACACAACCCCGGGAGTTGTTGCAGGATGAAAGTGATTAAGCTATATAATTACTGTAGCTTGATGCTTGATATGAAGTAGGCCTTCAACAAATCTTTGTTTCTCTCATACCCACCCTCTCTTCTTTCTGTTTATTTCCATTTCATTCACTTTTCTAGGGGCCTTCCCAGTAAAACTTCTGAACAAATGTAGGGTAATAGCCCCTGCCCATTACTATGCTCTGATTATGTGCCTGACACCATGCTAAACCCTTTACCTGCATTTCCTCTTTTTATTACTTATTTATTTATTTATTTATTTATTATTTATGAGACAGAGTCTTGCTCTGTCACCCAGGCTGGAGTGCAGTGGCTCAATTTCAGCTCACTGCAACCTCCACCTCCTGGGTTCAAGTGATTCTCGTACCTCAGCCTTCTGAGTAGCTGAGTAGCATGAGGGCGCCTGCCATCATGCCTGGCTGATTTTCGTATTTTTAGTAGAGATGGGGTTTCACCATGATGGCCAGGCTGGTCTCAAAATCCTGATCTCAAGTGATCCACCCACCTTGGCTTCCCAAAGTGCTGGGATTACAGGCGTTAGACACTACACTAACCTCTATTTCCTCTTTTAATATTTACAAAAACTCTATGAAGTAGACACTGTTCTTATCGTCCTCATTTTCCAAGGAACCTCTGTGTTTAGAGATGCAGACTTCCTCAAGGTCATGCAACTAGTAGGCCCTAGATTTGAACAAAGCTCAGTCAAGTCCTAAAGTCCATGCAATCAGCCACCACTGTATAATTTCTTCTTTGCTATCTTAAGAGGCATAGCATAAGAAATGATCAGTCTTTTTCTTAGTGTAAAAAGTAATCAAATTAATATTCAATCAACTGTACTGCCAGACATGTAACCTAAAACCAAGAAGATATAGTTTTGACTGTGAGTCTTCATGGATGACAAATGTTCAGATAATTCTCTGGTATTTGACTTTTAGGTGATATTTCCAGGGGCTTCTGCCAAAGCACATGAATTCTAAGGGTTATGTACCACTACTGTGCTTTCTCAGATGACTTTTACTAAAAGAAATGTACATCAAAGAAAGAGAGAGAGAAAGAGATTGCAGTGTAATTAGTTATTTTGTAAGCTGTAGACTCTTTGAAAACTGCATGAATATTGCATTTAATAAACATATATACTTCCTTTTATTGCTATTATTAATATTTTGATTGCTAAATTCTTACATGGCACAGTGAATGTGTGCAACACAAGAGTTGAAAGATTACTTCCTGAGATGTGCATAATTACTTAAGAACTTTGAAGTAAGTTTCCTTCTTTACTAGAAAAAAAATTAAAATGTTTTTATTTTGCCTAGGACTTCTCTACATTAAATTAATAGATTTTTTTTTAAGCATAAGCTTTGTTTAGCTACGGCAGAAGGCATAACATGAGAGTGAGCATATGATGGTATAGCATGAGAGCACATGCTCCAGCATCAGACAGATTTGTGCTCCAAACCCAGCCTCTCCACCTCCTAACTGAGTGACCATGACACTTTATCTTTAAAATTAGCACAAGTAGCCGGGTGTGGTGGCTCACGCCTGTAATCCCAGCATTTTGGGAGGCCGAAGTGGGAGGATCACCTGAGGTCAGGAGTTTGAAACTACCCTGGCCAAGATGGTGAAACCCTGCCTCTACTAAAAATACAAAAATTAACCAGTCATGGTGGTGGGCGTCTGTAACCCCAGCAACCTGGGAAGCTGAGGCACAAGAATCACTTGAACCTGGAGGCTGTGGTTGCAGTGAGCCAAGATCCTGCCACTGTACTCCAGCTTGGGTGACAGAGCAAGACTCCGTCTCAAAAAAATAAAAATAAATAAATAAATAAATAAAATTAGCACAAGTATTCTTAGTGTTGTTGAGAGAATTGTGAGAGGAAATTAAATTTTGGGACCCCAAACTCAGTTAGCCAAAGGGAAAAGTCAAGCTGGAAACTGGGTCATGCACACCTGCCTCCACCTTTTGGTTCCTAAATGAAATGGCTACAAGATGAAAAGCTACCCAACTTCCCCTTCCTTTGCCAACAAGGAAATACCTGGTGCTGTTAAAACTTCACCATGGCAATGCTAATTGATAGCTTTACAGGCAGTCACCCCGGCCTGCCAGACACAAATGCATATCCGATTGTTCCTCTACCCCGTTTTGTCTGTGTTATCTTATGTAAAATGCAGATTCCCCACGTTTTTCTTTGCCCTTTTGTTTAAGTGAAAACTGTGTGCTTCTCAATATCCCGCCCTTTCCCCTTTAAATTTGGAGCCCCCAAAATCATCCTGGGGAAAAGGCATAGACCTGTCTCCTGGGCAGGTGTTAACTTTGTCCTTAACTTTGGCAAATAAATCTCCAAAAATGATTGAGATTTGTCTCGTCATTTTCTTGACTGACAGAATTAAATAGGCTTCCGGTAGACCTGGGGGCTTAAACATGTATTATCACCACTCCCTCCTGCAACCCCATCAAAGTGGCAGCATTGAGATAAAAGCATATACAATCTTCAGGGAAAACAGAATAGGAAAGAAAAGGACAGCTGATGGCAGATATCAGCACATGTTTTGGAAGATGAAAGGTGAAATAAAAGTGGAAACTGACCTAGCAGAGAAAGTAAAATCTCATGTGTTCAAAGAAAGGATGACTGACAAGAAGCAAGGACTGTGTCACAGAATTCCAGAAAGGCCCAGGAGCTGGAGGCATGGCTGGGGAGCACACTAAGTACAGGAAGTTCTGAGAAGAGCCTTTATAAGGAATGCCTAGGTCTGTAAATCTCCTTCTATGCCCACGCAGCCAAGTGACTAGCCCTCTCCTACCCCAGCAAGAAAAGGGAAATGTATTATTTGTGGGAACTGAGCACACATAGCACAGAACTCAGAGCAGCAGGTGTGGCAGAGGGGACATGCTGAGGCAGAAGAGTAAGTGAAAGTCTACTAGCTGAAGGGTGATGCCTCTGTGATTGATATGAAGATGGACAGAATGGAGGAAAATATTGGCAAATCACGTATCTATAAGAAATTAATATCCAGAATATATAAAGAGCTCCTGACACTCAACAACAAAAACCCAAACAATCCAATTCAAAAATGGACAAAGGATTTGAATAGACATTTCTCCAAAGAAGATACACGAATGGCCAATAAGCACATGAGAATGTACTCAACATCTCTAACCATTAGGGAAATGCAAATAAAAACCATAACGAGATACCACCTCATACTCATTAGGATGGTTATTATTAAAACAAAGATCCCAGACAAATGGAGCCCTTGTGCATTGCTGATGGGAATGCAAAATTGTGCAGATGCTGTGGAAAATAATATGGTGGGTTCCTCAAAAAATTAACACAAAAGTACCATATGTTCCAGCAATTCTACTTCTGAGTACATACCTAAAAGAATTGAAAGAAAGGACTTCAGGGCCAGGCATGGCGGCTCATACCTGTAATCCCAGCACTTTAGGAGGCTGAGGCGGGTGGATCAGGAGATCAGGAGTTCAAGACCAGCCTGGCCAAGATGGTGAAACCCCATATCTACTAAAAATACAAAAAAAAGTAGCTGGGCGTGGTGGTGGGTGCCTGTAATTCCAGCTACTCAGGAGGATGAGGCAGAGAATTGCTTGAACCTGGGAGGCACAGGTTGCAGTGAGCTGAGATCACGCCACTGCACTCCAGCGTGGGCAACAGAGTGAGACTCTGTCTCAACAACAACAAAAAAAAAAAAAAAAAGAAAGGATTCAGCAGATATTTGTACACCCATGTTCATAGCAGCATTACTCACAATAGCCAAAAGGTGGAAGAAACACATGCGTTTATCCAGGGATGAATAGGTAAACAAAATATGGTATTTGTGTGTGTATATATATGTGTGTGTGTGTGTTTGTATATGTGTGTGTGTATATATATGTGTGTATATATGTATATATAAATATATATGTGTATATATGTATATATAAATATATATGTGTATATATGTATATATAAATATATATGTGTATATATGTATATATAAATATATATGTGTATATATGTATATATAAATATATATGTGTATATATGTATATATAAATATATATGTGTATATATGTATATATAAATATATATGTGTATATATGTATACATAAATATATGTGTGTGTATATATGTATGTATATATAATTCAGCCTTAAAAGGAAGAGAATTCTGACACATGTTATAATATGGATGGACCTTAAAGACACTATGCTAAGTGAAATAAGTCAGACACACAAGGACAAATATAGAATGATTCCAATTACATGAGCCACATACCTAGAATAGTCAGATTCATGAAGACAGGAAGTAGAATAGTGGTTATCAGAGAGTGAAGGGGAGGAGAAGCTGGGGGAGGGGGATGGGAAGTGCTTGTCTAATGGGTACAGAGTTTCAGTTTGAGATGGTGAAAAAGTTATGCAGATGGATAGTGGTGATGGTTATATAACAATGTGAATGTACTTAATGCCACTGAGCTGTACAGTTAAAAATGGTCATAATAGTACATTTTATGCTATGTATACTACTACAACTAAATAAATCTGCTTTGGTGGCTAGGAGGTAAAAATTACTAAGACAAAGCTGAGAGAAGGGAACAACAACAACAACAACAAAACAAGGCAAAACAAAAAGCAAAACCAAAAAAAATGGAAAGAGAAGCCTAACATTTGAGACATCTTTCTGTCCAGGAACAGTTGCCAACCCAAAAGAGGTGGCTGAGAGAAATCGGCATTTGTCAGAGTGTGGAGTCCTGGAGAAGAGAGGAAGAGCTGAAGAGCACCAAGGGTAAGGTCCCTGGAAAACCCTGTGTGCTCCAGGTGTGGTTCTAAAGGATGGTGCCTTAGGAGTGGAGGAGAATTGGAAGTAAGCTAGTGCTCATTCCCACTGAATCCCAGCTTACCATCACCAGAGCAGCCCTGGAAATGGCAAAAGCTGAAAAGGAATCAACATGAGCCCGGATGTCTCAGACCCCACAGGGATGTGGCAAGAGGAGATGAAAAGCATCTTTGGAGGAAAATGTCACAATTCTAGGCTTCGAGTTACATCTATAATTTTCATTTACATTTATAAATTTCATTTCATTTACTAAATGTGTTTATGACATAAACACATTTTCAAATACAATTCCTGGAAGCTGATACAAAATAAATCAGTCAGAATAGAAGTCAATACTACACGGAAGAGAACCAGCAGAAAGATTACATGGCTCCAGACATTGGAATTATTAGATCTAAACTTTAAAATAACTCCTTTTATTATGGTCAAGTAGCTAAAAACACAGGATTGAATATTTCCCCATAGAGTACAAAACATAAAAAATAATATGTGTTGAAAAAGAACAACATTCAAAGAATAGAAATAAAAATACAGTGAAATTAAGAACTCAACGATCAGGTTTTATGGCAGATTAGAGAAATTTGAAGAGAAAATTAGTGAATTTCATAAAGAAAGTTCAGAAGAAAAACATTCAAAAGATCAAAAAATATTTAAGATAAAGGAAGAGGAAACACAGAAGAGGGTAGGAGATACAGTTAAAAATCCTAACATAAATCATGGCTTTGAACTCTCTAAGACTAATGAAAAACATCAATTACAACAGATACAAGAATTTAAAAACAAAAAACAAAAAACCCAAGCCAGAAAAATAGAAATGCACATCTAAAAACATCAGAGTAAACCTGTGGTGGTGGAGGAGGGGAAACTAAAAAGAAAATCATAAGAGCAGAAAGAAAGATTACTTCCAAAAGAATAACAAGGCAAACTAGGCACTATGGCTCATGCCTGCAATCCCAGCACTTTGGGAGGCCAAAGCGAACAGATCACTTGTGCCCAGGAGTTCGAGACCAGCCTGGCCAACATGGCGAGACTTTATCTCTACAAAAAATGAAAAATAATTAGTTGTGCATGGTGGTGTGTGCCTGTAGTCCCAGGTACCAGGGAGGCTGAGGCAGGAGGATTGCTTGAGCTCAGGAAGTTGATGCTGCAGTGAGCTGTGATTGCACCACTGCATTCCAGCCGGGCAATAGAGTGACATTGTCTCAAAAAAAAAAAAGCCAAAAATCAATGGCATAATATCTTCAGTGTTCTGACTTCTAGTTCCCAGCAAATATATTCTAGAAAAAAATGGTGAATTAAATATATTTTCCAGCAAACAAAACCTGAAGTAATTCACTAGCAGACCTGATCGTCAAGGAAAACTATAGGATATATTTCAAGCAGAAGAGACCTTATCCCAGATAAAAAGTTTGATAAACAGGAAAGAATAAAAATGAAATATAGATTAATCAAAATGAATATTGACTGTATATTATTTTTATAAGGTTTATGTTGTTGTTAGAACTAAAATTATATAACAGGAAGTGATTAAACTTAATTAAAATGTTCCAATATCCTTGCATTGCCCAGGAAGAAAGTAGAAGTGCAAAGTAACGTCAAACTCTGGTGAGTCAGATGCATGCTGTGATCTCAGGAATAAACTGCTGAAAAATATTAAAGAGTACATATCTTCTAAACTGCCAAAAAAAGAATAATTTTTTTAATTCAAAAAAGTTAAGAAAAGAGAGTATAGAATAAAAAATTAGAAATTATGTAGTAAAATTATAACTTCATATTAAAATATACACATATAGTATTCAATAGAATTACAAAACAGAAGAATTATAACTCAAAATAAAAAACTTATAAGACTGATAAAAACCTATATGCAATTTAAGAAAGACTTATCTTAAACAAAGATACAGAAAGATTGAAAACAAAAGGATTGACACTTTGGGAAGCCAAGGCAGGAGGATTGCTTGAGTGAAGGAGTTCAAGACCAACCTGGGCAAGATTGGGAGAAAAAAATTAAAAATTAGCTGGGCATGGTGGTGCATGCCTGTAGTCTCAGCCACTGGGAAGGCTGAGGAAGGAGGATCGCTTGAGCCTGAGAGATTGAGGCTGCAGTGAGCCTTGATTGTGCCACTGCACTCCAGCTTGGGCAACAGAGTGAGACCCTGTCTCAATTAATTAAATAATAGCGGAATTTAAAAAATGTATCATACAAACACCAAAAAAAAAAAAAAGTTGAAATAGCAATATTAATATTAAAGTGGATTTTAAGGCAACAAAAATTACTAAGTAAGGGAAGAGACACATCAAAATTGTAAAATATTTCATTACCACAGATGATACAATAATTCTAAATGTGTATACATTTAATAGCATAGTCTTACATACAATAAAAAATTTGACAAATATAAGGATAAATACACAATTAGTAGCAAATAATAAAACAAATAGGCAAAATATCAGTAAGGATTTAGGTTTCAGTAACATAATTACAAATTAGACCTAAAAGACATATACAGAATGCTGCATCCAACAGCTGCAGAATGAGCACTATTTTCAAAAGTAAATGGACCACTTATAAATATTGATCATATACTGAATCATTAAGCAAGTCTCTACCAATTACAAAAGATTAAAAGCATACAAGATCTTCTCTGACCACAATGCAATAAAGAGAGAAATATAGTTCATAAAACATCTTATGTTTTAAAGTTAAGAAAATGTTTATAAGTCATCTAAAGGTGAAAAGAAAAGCAGTAAGAAATTAAAGTTAAACCAAAATTAAAATTAAATTGAAATGAAAAAGAAAAATGGAAATTAGAAAATATTTCAAGCTAAATGATAATGAAATATTCCATATCAAAACTTGTGAGATATACCTAAAGCTGTGTATAAAAAGAAGTATTTTAGCTTTCAATGCTAAAAAGCATAAATATCCATCTCAATAAATCAGAAAAATAACAATAAAATACCAAAGTAGAAGAAAGTGAATAATAAAGACAAGAACAAAAATAAATGAAATAGAAAGGAAATATACAAATAGAATTGACAACCCAACAGTTGTCTTTCAAATTGATTTTTACTGAAGTGTATCATACGTACTAAAAAAGTCACACATCACTTAGCATATAGCTCAACAAATTTTCACAAAGTGAACATTTTTGTAAGCAACATCCAGATCAAGAAAAAGAGCACCCCAAGCATTCCTGGTGCCCCACCCTCATCCCTGCCTGATACTATGACTCTCACAATGAAACTACTAGCCTGACTTCTAATTCCATAGACTGATTTGTCTTATTTTTATTTTTATTAATGAACAAAAATTCATTTTTAAAAGATGAATGAAATTGATAAACTCCTGGTGGGAGTTTCTTATCAAATTGAAAAAGAGAGCAAGCACAGGCATGCTTCACTTTATTGCACTATGCAGATATTGCCTTTTTTTACCAAATGAAGGTTTGTGGCAACCCTGTGTTCAGCAAGTCTATTGGTGCCATTTTTCCAACAGTGTGAGCTCACTTTGTGTCTCTGTGTCACATTTTGGTAATGCTCAAAATATTCAAATTTTTCATTATTATTATATCTGTTATGATGATCTGTAGTCAGTGATCTTTGATGTTACTATGGTAATTGTTTTGGAATGGAATGCTATGAACCACACCCATATAAGATGAAAAACTTATTCAATAAATGTGTGTGTTTGACTCCTCCACAGGTTGGCAATTCCTCCATCTCTCTCCCTCTTCTTGGGCCTCCCTATTTCCTGAGACACAACAATATGGAAATCAGTCCTATTAATAACCCTACACGACCTCTAAATATTCAAGTGAAAGGAGGTATCACACATCTCTCACTTGAGATCAAAAGCTAGAAATGGTTAAGCTTAGAAAGGAAGGCATGTCAAAAGCCAAGCTAGGCTTCTTGTGCCTAACAGTTAGCCAAGCTGTGAATGCAAAGTTCTTAAAGGAAATTAGAAGTGCTACTCCAGTGACCACATGGATGATAAGAAAGCAAGAGAGCCTGATTGTTGATATGAAGAAAGTTTTAGTTGTCTGGATACAAGATCAAAGCTGCCAAAACACTCCCTTAAAGCCCAATCCAGAGCAAGCCCCTAACACTCTTTAATTCCATGAAAGCTGAGAGAGGTGAGGAAGAAGGGCTGGAAGCTAGCAGAGGTTGGTGTGTGAGGCTTAAGGAAAGAAGCCAGCTCCAAAACATAATGGCGCAAGGTGAAGCGGCAAGTGGTGAAGTAGAAGCTACAGCAAGTTTTCTAGAAGAACTAGCTAAGATCATTAATGAAGGTGGCTACACTAAACAACAGATTTTCAGTGCAGACAAAACAGCCTTCTACTGGAAGAAGATACTATCTAGGACTTTCATAGCTAAAGAGAAGAAGTCAATGACTGGCTTCAAAGCTTCAGAGGACAGGATGACTCTTTTGTAAGGGGCTAATGCAGCTGATGACTTTAAGATGAAGCCAAGGCTCATTTACCATTCTGAAAATCCTAGCCCCTTAAGAATTATGCTAAATCTACTCTGTGTGTGCTCCATAAATGGAACAATAAAGCCTGGATGACAGCACATCTGTTTATAGCATGAGTTACTAAATATTTTAAGCCCACTGTTTAGATCTACTGCTCAGAACAAAGATTACCTTCAAAATATTGCTGCTTATTAGCAATACACCTGGTCACCAAGAGCTCTGATGGAGATGTACAAGAAGAGGAATGTCACTTTTATGCCTGCTAACACAACATCCATTCTGTAGCCCATGGATCAAGGAGTAATTTTGACTTTCAAGTCTTACTATTTAAGGAGTACATTTCCTAAGGCTATATAGCTGCCATCAATAGTGATCCCTCTGATGGATCTGAGCAGAGTACATGAAAACCTTCTGGAAAGGAGTCACCATTCTAGATGCCATTAAGGACATTCATGATTCATAGGAAGAGGTCACGATATCAACATTAATAGAAGCTTGGAAGAAGTTGATTTCACCCTCATGGATGACTTTGATGAGTTTAAGACTTTAATGGAGGAAATTACTGTAGATGTGGTGGAAATAGCAAGAGAACTGGAATTAGAAGTGGACCCTGGAAATATGACTGACTTGCTTCCATCTCAATATCAAACTTGAATGGATGAGGAGTTGCTTCTTATGGATGAGCAAAGAAGTGGTTTCTTGAGGTGGGATCTACTCCTGGTGAAGATGCCGTGAGCATTATTGAAATAACAGGATTTAAAATACTACATAATTTTAGTTGATAAAGCAGTGGCAGGTTTTGCGAAGATTGACTCCAATTTTGAAAGAAGTTCTACTATGGGTACAATGCTATCAAAGAGCATTGCATGCTACAGGGGAATCTTTCACAAAAGAAAGAGTCAATCAGTGCAGCAAGTGATGCTTGTTATTGTTATTTTAAGAAATTTCCAAAGCCACCCCTATGTTCAGAACCACCACCCTGATCAGTCAGCAACCATTGACATTAAGGAAGACTCTCCAACCAGCAAAAATATTGCAACTCACTGAAGCCTCAGATGATTAATAGCATTTTATTTTTTTAGCAGAAAGTGTTTATTAATTAAAGTTTGTACATTGTTTAGAATGCTATTGCACACTTAGACTACAGTATAGTGTAAATAGAACTTTTTAATGCACTGGAAAACTGAAAATCTGTGATTTGATTTATTGCAATACTCACTTTATTGTGGTGATCTGGAACCAAACCTGCAATACCCCTGAGGTATGCCTGTATATAGATTTAATGCAAACCCAATAAAAACTCCCAGATATTGCGCTTTTTTTTTTTTTTTTTTCAGAGACAGGTTCTTACTCTGTTTCCCAGGCCGGAATGTAGTGGCAAAATCATAGCTCACTGCAGCCTCGAACTCCTGGGCTCAGGCAATTCTCACACTTCAGCCTCCCAAGTAGCTGGGACTGCAGGTACACACAACAATGCCCAGCTAAATTTAAATTTTTTTTTGTAGAAAAGGGGTCTCACTATGTTGCCCAGGCTGGCAAACTCCTGGACTCAAGTGATCCTTGTGCCTTGCCCTCCCAAAGTGTTGGGATTACAGGCATGAGCCACCAAGCATGCCTGGCCCTACTTTTGTGTGTACATATGAGTGGGCGAAACTTGACAAGCTGATTTCAAAATTGATATGAAATTGCAAGAAGAATTTAGGAATACTTGCTCTACTGAATTTCTTTTTTTCTTTTCTTTTTTTTTTCTCTCTTTTTTCTTTTTTCTTTTTTTTTGAGACGGAGTGTCGCTCTGTTGCCCAGGCTAGAGTTCAGTGGCGCGATCTCGGCTCACTGCAAGCTCCGCCTCCCGGGTTCACGACATTCTCCCGCCTCAGCCTCCTGAGTAGCTGGGACTACAGGCTCTCGCCACCACGTCCGGCTAATTTTGTTTTTGTATTTTTAGTAGAGACGGGGTTTCACCATGTTAGCCAGGATGGTCTCAATCTCCTGACCTCGTGATCCGCCCGCCTCGGCCTCCCAAAGTGCTGGGATTACAGGCGTGAGCCACCACACCCGGCCTACTGAATTTCATAACAAAATAAAGTTATGGTAATTAAGAGAGTGTGAAATTGGTGGATAGAAAAACAAATAGACCAATGTAACAGGATGAAAATCCCAGAAACAGAAGCACGTGTGCATGAACACTTGATTTATAGTGAAAGCAGCAACACAAAGCAGAAAACCATAGATTTCATTGAATTGTGCTGGGACAATCTATATGAACCATATCAATTCTTGGTGGATTTTAAGTCTAAATAAATAAATAAATAAGCATCTTTGTTCATCAGGAAAGTGAACATTAAAAGCACACTAAGTCACCATTTCACACTCCTAGAATGGCTAAAATCAAAGAAGACAAGACTAGGGGTTGGTGAAGAGCAACTGGTGTTCACACACATTGCTGGTTGGAGCGTAGATGGGTGGACCATATTGGCAAATGTTTTCACATTTTCTACTGAAGTTATGATTTGCCTACCTTGTGACCCAGAAAGCCCACTTCTATGTAAATGTTTTACATAAATCTCTATCAAAAGTAAAAAGGATTAACACATTGTAACATGTGTGTAATAGACTGCCGTAAAGAATAAACATGAATGTACAAAATTATGTGCAACGTGGATGAATTTCTCAAACCTGAAGTTCAGCAAAAGACTAAACATAATGTATACAGTATAATTTCAGTTATATGTTTTTAGAAAAGGCAAAACTAAGGTTTTTCAAAAAGTTATTATTTTTTGAGACACAGTCTCATTCTGTCACCTAGGCTGGAGAACAGTGGTGTAATCAAAGCTCACTGCAGCCTTGACCTGTGGGCTCAAGCGATCCTTCCACCTCAGTCTCCTGAGTAGCTGGGACCACAGGTGCCACCATGCCCAGATAATGTTTATTTTTATTTTTATTTTTTGTGGACTTGGGGGTCTTGCCATGTTACCTATGCTGGTCTTGAACTCCTGGGCTCAAGCAATCCTCCTGCCTCGGCTTCCCAAAATGCTGGGATTATAGGTATGAACCACCACGCCTGGCCTATGTATCAAGTGTTTACGAATGCATGATTAGATGATATAAGTTCTGTAATGAAAGCAAGCATATGGGCTGCTATAAAACTTCGAATAGTAGCTCCATCTTGGGGCTATCACAAGACTGTTTGGAGAGGACCCTGTATGAGGTGGCTTTGGGGTGGTTAGCAATCTTCTGTTTCTGCTGAGACTGGTGGTTACAGGGGGTTCATTTTATAGTCATTCATTAAGGTGTACATTTGTTACATATAACTTATTCTCATTTGCTGTTTTACAATTTTTAAAAAAGGAAAAATCATAGAATAAAAACATTTCTTAAGAAATAAAAATGTGATTTTCAGAATTAAAAAAATTCAAGAAGAAAAACTCTAGGATATTGTCTGTAAAGACAAAGAAATAGAAAACCGAAACTAAATGAGATAGATGATCAGCCTTGAAGGTGTTATTATACTCATTGGTTAGTAGATTCAATAATGAAAAAGGGAAGATGGATGGGAGCATATTGTCAAAGAAACAAAATAATGTTTTCCAGAACGAGATAACCCCGTTTTTAAGGGCCGCCACAAAATAGCACCACACCAAGTGAACCTTGCACTTTAGAACAAGAGAGGTGAAGAGAGGATCCTAAGGTTTCCTGAAAACAAACAAACAACAAATTCAAACAAACAAACAAAATGTGCTTATATAAAAGATCAGGGATCAGAATCACATTGTGCTTAGCAACAGTCTTACTGGAAACCTTCGAATTTCCTAAAAATTATTATCGACTTCTAATTCTGCAACAGCCAAATTATCAGTCAAGTGTGAGGGTAGAATCAAGAAACCCATGATGTCTCCATTTGTTTCCTTTGCTTTCTTTCTCAGAAAGAAACTTACCTGTGGTCCTCAAATGAGCTGCTAAGAAAGCTAGTCATCTGACACAGTGCTGGGATGACAGACACCAGCCATCACATCCAGCCTTATGAATTTCATAATTCCATAATCAGCTGTTTAAGAATCATCATGGCAAGAGAAGGTTCAACTTAGCACAGCAAAAGAAATTTCAGGAAAAGAGTGAAGAGACGTGCCTGGCCATTTGTTGTGCAGTGAGGGAGCAAAGACCAGAGGAACAGGAGGTGATTGAAAGGCCCCACGGATTGTGCCTAAAAAAAAATAAGAAGGAGGAAGTGGTAGATTTCCTGACTTGTGATTGGTGAATGTGTTGAAGAAATTTAGAGTTCTTTAGGTGAACTTGGGCAGGATTTAACAATAGCATATAGAAAACTAAGCAAATGAGGCAGGGCGTGGTGGCTCATGCCTGTAAGCCTAGCTCTTTGGGAGGCCGAGGTGGGCAGATCATGAGGTCAGGAGTTCGAGACCAGCCTGGCCAACATGGTGAGAAACCCTATCTCTACCAAAAATACAAAAATTCGCTGGATATGCTCGCTTGTATCCAGGAGGCAGAGGTTGCAGTGAGCTGAGTTTGTGCCACTGAACTCCAGCCTGGGTGACAGAGCAAGACTCTGTCAAAAAAAAAAAAAGAAAAAAAGAAAGAAAAGAAAATTAAGGAAATGAGACTGTCTCAAAAAAAGAAAAGAAAAAAAAATTCAGCAAATGAAAAAACAAGGTAGTTATTAGCTCCAGAAAAAGCAAACATATACATAAAAAGAAGTGTAAGCATGGGCCGGCCGCATTGGATCATGCCTGTAATTCCAGCACTTTGGGAGGCTGAGGAAACAGAATTGCTTGAAACCAGGAGGCAGAAGTTGCAGTGACCTGAGATCGCACCACTGCACTCCAGCCTGGGTGACAGAGCAAGACTCCATCTTGGGGAAAAAAAAAAAAAAAGTGTAAGCATGGTGCGTGGCTCAACTCTGAAAGGAAAATAATTAATACAGATTGAACCAGATATAGTATGATGCTATATTAAGAGATGGAGGGAGGGAAGTGAATGTGGGGATAGTAGGGAGGGTCAGAGGACTAGAGATCTAAAATTCGATATTAGGAAGTCAGTCAATAATGACTCAACTTGTAAAGTTAAGAAGCATGTTATTTAAACACAAGAGCTATAGAACTTCTAAAAGAAAACACAAGAGGACATCTTGGCAATTTTGGGATAAGCAAAGATTTCTCAGCTAGGACATAAAAAGTACAAACTGTAACAGAAAAAAATTGATAAGTTGGACTTCAGTAAAATTGCCAAATTCACAGTGTCTTCATTACTGCAGCTTTAGAACAATTCATGACATCAGGTAGTGTCAGTCCTCCGATTTTGTTCTTCTTAAAGATTTCTTTGGCTATTCTAGCTCCTTTGGCTTTCCATAGTCATTCTAGCAGCTTATTAATTTCTACAAAATAAGCCTGTTGAGGTTTTGACAATCAATTCATTTGACTAAAAATATTAATATATCAAAGTTTGTGATCATTAGTCATAAAACCTGGGTCCCATGTGTGAATTCTGCTTGTAACAATGCAACTAATGTATTTTTGAATCAGAGGTGTAGCTTATTGGTCAGGATTGTGCATACTACAGCAAGCTGGCCTGGGTCTAAATCCTGGTTCTGCCACTTACTAGATGTGTGCACAAGGTTTTTGACTCTCTATCCCTCATCTATACAAGTAGGGGTCATAACAGCCTGCAGTTCATGAGGTGGTTGAAATGTAGATGAGTTACTATACAGAAAATTCTTAGGTTGATATCTGGCCTGTATCAAGTACTCTTGCTCTTAAAATTTTATTGATTTTTTTTTTTTTTACCTTATCTCCAAATCTATTTAAGGTGGCTTACAAGGACTCACAAAGTATATCAGTGTAGATTAAATTAAAAGTCAAAACAAAAGCAAAGAAAAAATAATTCTAGAACTTCTACCTACAGATTTTGTATTTTCAGTATTTTCCAAAAACTCTCGTTAAAAAGGTTTTTCTCTCTTATCAGGAATTTTACATGTCTAGTTAGACACACAGATAAAAGAAAAAATAAACCAGAAAGAAAGTCCAAACTAAGTCCACAAGGAGGCCTGCTGGAGGAACAAAACCAGCAGAACAGCAAGCTCAAAGGTGCCCTGGGAGTGATGGAAGCGGACCGGGAGCACCCTGCCGGTCACTTGTTAAGCAGCCTGAAAGCCACTCTGAAGAATTCCATCCAGGCGTAAGAGAGAGACAGTAAAGGCTTTAGAGAAAGGAGATTGCGTCTCTCAAGCGATGCCTCGGAAGAGTGATCGCTCTTTGGCCTTTATTAATTTCATAATCAGGTGTTTAAGAGTTATCATGGCAAGATCTAAGAAACCCATTTTAGTTTAAGGAAACACTCAACTAAACTAAAACGAAGGTTAAGAAAATAGAGTTCTTTTTTATTAGGATCGGCCATTCACAGCAGACTGGCTATCACTCATTTTTGGAAATCTAGGTCTGAAATAAATATGTCCGTTGGGTAACTCATGCTGAGAATCAAAGAGCAATATTTTAGGGCCCCAAAACTCCAGACTTTCTTTAGTTTTTCAAATGATCTCCCGTGGTACAAATACATTTAATGGAAAGACAGAGAGCCAGTGTTCCTAAAAAATTGCTTTTCTTTTTTATACTTTTTTGCAATCAAGGTTGAAGTAACCTGGGAAATGTTAAACTTGTGGGTTCTCTTGGTCTGGAGTTCTCTCATTAGCCCGGGCAGCTAGATCTGTTTGCAACTTTGCTATAATATGTACCCTGTACTGGAACAGTAAACCTCTGGAGACAAGGAAGCATTTATCACCCTAAGGATTGATTTGCACTTTCTCTAGTTTTCTAGGGGTAACAAAGAGGTGATGGCAGTTTAACCCGCAGCGTAGAGCAGTCATGCTCTCATGGCTGGGCATTGCAGTCCCCTGGGAAAGAGTGCAGATGCCTGAGCTGTATTTCAGGCTCCCTGAGCCAGAATCTCTACAGGTGAAGGGAAAGCATCTGTAAGCATGAGCAAAGCCCACAAGGAGGCCTGCTGGAGACTCAAAGCTGGCAGAACCAGCACAAATGTGCTCCAGGAGTAGCAGAAGGGGACAGGGAGGGCACGGTGGGATCACTTCTTAAACATCTCATTCACTTCACACGTGATTTTCGTAAGTAGCCACCCTTGGTAAGCATGAGCACCGAGGGACCTGGCACCTGAAGAAGATTCCCTGGGGGAGTTCATGCAGTGCCGTCCCGCCCCGCCCTGGGTGGCTCTCCCCTGCTGTTCCTGCTGCCCAGCAGCAGACACGGTAGGGGCACAGTAGCAGGTGGTAGGAAGGGGGCTCCGTGGTTCTCTGTCCTAGAGATAATAGAGCATACAGTTAAATTTGTTTTGTGTTAAGGGGGTCCTTTTTGTCGCATTATCTCAGGGTCAGCTGAGAACAACCTAATGATCGTATTTAATTTCCAGGCTCTAAAAGCCTGTTCTGTTTTTAGCCAATACTTTGTTCTCCTCTTCTCCCTAAGTTATAAAAGGAATCAGATTTTCTCTCTCAAATTTCATCTGAATGTTATTCAAAAGCAAATAAACTCTGAGGTACTAGAGAAGGTCGAACATAAGAAATTTCAGGAAATGTGTTTTATAAGGTTAGTTAATGTTAAATGCAAAGTAAGATCTAGGGGGAGAATAAAAAACGTGTCCTGTCCAGTGAAAGCATTGTAAATAGAAGTTTCAACCCAGATCATTATAAATTCATGTTGCATCTTTTGGTAATATGTTAAAAAAAAGTAGTAAAGAAATAAAGAAAAGAGAAACCGTGTTTGTCATCTATATTGATTCAGCCTTCTGTACCAAAAGTGGTGGGACATTGAGGGAAAATGGCTCAAGTAGCAAATGCATTGAGGTTGGAAACCTATTACTAATTCAGGAGCAAATGCATTAGGAGGTGCAGTCCAGTCAGAGTCTATTAAAGAGCAGCACATGGAGACAGCCTCTTCATAATTCATGGGGCACTTTCCCTTGCTTTTGGGGGAGAAGCATTCTTATCAATACAAATCTGTCCTTGTGAGTGAATTGTTAAGATTGTCAATTATGTGTTTGACTATTTAATTCCACAGATACTCTTAGTTAAGTTGTGAAAGTGTGTAGCTGATCAGAAGCTGATTTCATCATCTTTTTACAGTGTTGTTTTTTAACTGTTCCAGTCTTGTAATATGTTGGTTGATTAAAAGCAAAGTTTATTAAGAATTTGTTCTTTGGTGTTTAAATAGTTCTAAGGCCAAACCCACCTTCGACAAAAAACAAAAAGCAAAAACAAACACAAGCATAAACACACAAAAAAACCACTTCTAACTTTGATGTAAGGAAAGTAATATATTTTTATTCAGGGTTTAATCTTCTCTTCTATTGGCTTACAAATTTTAAAAAATCCAGTTAACTTTATGGATGAAAACAAATGGCTTCGTTTATACTCAGTTCCAACATATTTAACTTTTTTTTTTTTTAGATAGGGTCTCACTCTGTCACCTGGGCTGGAGTGGAGTGGTGCAATCTTGGCTCACTGCAACCTTCACCTCCTGGGGTCAAGCGATCTTCCCACCCCAGCCTCCCTGGTAGCTGGGACTACAGAAACATGCCACCACTCCTAGCTATTTTTCTTTTTTATCTTTTGTGGAGATGAGTTTTCATCACATTGTCCAGGCTGGTCTTGAACTCCTAAGCTCAAGCTGTCCTCCCGCTTTGGCATCCCAAAGTGCTAGGATTACAGGTGTGGGCCACTGCATCTGGCCAATTCCTATGTATTTAAAGATGTTAAACAAAAACAAAAACAAAAGAAGAAGTTGGGGTTTGGATTGGGATTTCTTTTCCATAAGTATATTTTAATGGCTCTGTTAAAAAAAAAACATTATTTCCCATTTACTACTAAGAATTACTGATTTTTAAGTGTATATTTGCTAAAATTCCGCCAAGAATTTGCAGCATCTCAGTACATATTTTCATGTAACATTAGTTAAGTTCACAACCAGATAGGACAAAAAAGTAAAATTTTTAAATGGAAAACAATAAAAATTATACTTAATGTCTGAGATTAGAGAAACATAAATATTTGGTTTTGTCCCAATAACCAGTTATTACTCTCAATGTAAAAATAATCCTAGGAAAACAAAAGTAACCTCAACAGAGAGATACTTAGAGAAAAATACTTGTTCATCCTAAAATGTCTATTTGGGAATATTTCACTGAAACATGTCTGATACCCTTACCTTTTTGTTTCCAAGGATGTGTATTTTGAAATTCTGTTTTTGAAATAGACATGAAAATTAATGAATACAATATAAAGCCCTTGGAAAGTTGAGATTTCCAGGATTCATATATAGTCTGAGAATTGAAAAGTAAGCATGTCATGGGGAGTTTGGGCCATGGCTTTTCCTTGGAGGCCACCAGTGGTGTGACTTAGAAATGGCCACAGCAAGGGATCTGTGGATATAGGAAAGAATCCCCCAAGTAGACTAAAACTGGCTCCTCTTACCAACAGTGTGAAAGGAGTCAAAATTCTGGTGTTATACAAAAGGGCAGATGTCAGCATCCAGGAAGAAACAGAGTGGTTTTAGTTAGATATTCCCAACTGTAAACAGTCAATTTGGTGTGCCATCCAAGCACAAAAAGCAATTGTAAAAGTTGAACTGGAGTTCAGGAGAGTGTCTGATCTGAAGATGGAGATCTGCAAAGATCTGGTTGCTGAAACCACAGTAGTAGACTAGAACCCTAGGTGGGTTGCTTTGATGATAGGACTGGAGATTCAAAACAGATTTGGGATATATTCAGATTTAGTGTATAGGAGGCAAGAAAGAAACCAGTGTTGGAAGCTTCTCTATGGCTCTTAACTCAACACACATTTAATTTTCAGTATACAGATTTATTTATAAAGTTGAATTATTTTCTTGATATTGGATAGGAAGAGTCCCTAATGGCTTATATTAATCACTGTTTCTCTACGTTTTATTAAAAAAAAACATTTCACACATACTCCCACCACCTGTGCACTGTATCATAAGTAATTTAACCAGTCTTTCAGCCAGGCAGTATTTTTTCCCTCTGCTTATTACCACATTCCATGTTGAGCCACAGTTTCTTAACAAGGCAAGATTTCTCCCTATTTCTTTATCTTCCCCACAGATCTTGAGAATAGAATTTTTAAAAATTTAAACAGTTGAGAAAGCTTGCAGATCTAATGCAGTTTTGCATGTTTGAGTTATGATGATATTGGCTCCTCCAAAAGACATTTTCTGTTTCTGGTGTAGAATTAGCTCATTACCTCAGCTAATGCTACCACATTCCAATTAGAATCCTTTTGAAAATCTAAAGCACTCAATACACAATAAGCATTTCAAATCACTTCTTTAAGTCTTGGTTATGGAAATGGAAGCATTCAAATCCCTGATATGATGATTACACTTGAGGCCTTATACCTATACAGCCAAGGCAGACTATACAAAAGCAAATCGTGATTTCAAATTGAAGCCTATCTTTTGCTCTATTGTACCTAAGACTTTGAATCTCCTACTTTTAATCACTGGAATGGGTTGCTCCCTCTGAAGGGAGTGTGGTAGCTGGATAAATGGCCAAAGTGAGGTTGGGTTTCTCAGGCTGGGGCTGGGGGAAGGACACTGCTACCTCAGAAAAAGGGGGAAATCAGAGAGTGAAGCTGTGGGATAATCCAGAGCCCATAAAGGAAGTTTGAGGATCAAATGTTTGGAGGAATAAAGATGGAATGAGATTAAAGATAAAAACTGAAGTTTGAGCTTAGGTTTGATTTTGGGAGGCAAGAGAATGTGAATGGAAAGATCAGACAGGGGCCCTGAGCTACTTTCTGGAAACTTGCTGTGTTTGAAGCTCACCTTTTAGAATGTTACATGATTTACTGTACCTGTTTTAAAGGACTAGGAGTGGAGCAGATCAAACTCTACTCAAGCAAAAAAATCTCCCAGTTAGGCTTATTGACATTTGACCTGAGCCCCATCTTGGGCAATCTTAGGTGGGAGGTAAGAGATGGAGGTGAAGAAATCAAGATTTTAACCTTGCCCTCCTTTCAAGTCCAGTATTGAGCACGGACCACGATGCTGACAGGAATCCTGTACTTCATGTGTTTACCCTGTTCTTGTGTTGTTATAAAGAAATAACAGGTTAGGTAATTTATAAAGAAAAGAGCTTTATTTGGCTCACAATTAATTAAAGGCTGTACAAGAAGCATGGTGCTGGCACCTATTGGCTTCTGGTGAGTGCTTAGGAAGCTTTTGCTAATGGCAGAAGGTGAAGTGGGAGCAGCAACTGACGTGGCAGAATGGGAGCAAGAGAGTGGGGGTAGAAGAGGTGCCACAATCTTTTAAACAACCAGACTGCCATGAACTCACTCATTACCACAAGTATGGCACCAAGCCATTCATGAGGGATCCACCCCCGTGATCCAAACACCTCCCTGCAGACCCTGCCTCCAACATTGGAGATTACATTTCAAAATGAGATTTGGAGGGGAAAAACATCCAAACCATATCACTTCATTACAGACTGCTTATCACAGCTGATGAAGCAGGCAGCTTCCAGGTGGGTGTTCTATAACACAGAGGTTGAACCTGGGCTGAATTCTTGTAGACAGCGGTGCATGAAAATATAGAATTCATTGTTTCTATGACCTTAAATGATTTTTAAATAAAAATTTTCTAGTTTTCCAGAAGGAATCATGGGCCAAAATTGGTCTTCCATCTTGATAATGTGACTTCTGCATGATGTTTCTTTATTCTTTTTCTAATCTTTGACTCACCGAAGGGTGTCCTCCCCAACTTTACATTCATGTATAATCCAGAGAAGAGCTAATGAGCCTCTGGACCATCCTACAACTAGTATCAAAACAATGGGTTTAATTAGGTGAGAAACTCAGTCTCCTGTTGAGCCTTGACTCCCTCATATCCCATATTCAATGAAAAACAAAATCGAGCCCATTTAAAACATTTTTTCTTCAGCTTTGTTTTTGTATCTTAGATGCAGAGAGTTGGGCAAACCATTTTCTTCCTTCCTGACACGTGGATATCAGTGGTCCATTCAAGGCTGCTTTTGTTTTAGTTATTTATTTTTATTCCCCCTTATCCCCTACCACACTCCTATTTATCTCTCTAATTATATATGTCCTACTTCTATAACATCTCTTCTTTTCCACTTTAAGCCTTTGGCATTGATCAGACAGATCATTAGAATAGTATATTAGCTGGTTTACCTCATTTCACCCTAAACTTCTCAACTCATTCTTCGCCCTTCTGACATCCTGAAAATATGGTTATAATCATCCAGTGTCCCACCTTTGGTCCTGCAAGATAAAGCTCAAGCTTTTTGACACAAGGTGAAATACTCCCCAGTATCATGCTCTCTGTACTCTCACCAGTCTTATCTTTTTTTCCACAGCCATACCTAACCCCCTACACCCTTCCTCTTTCTTCCTATCCTGCACCTCTAGGTCTGTTTGGTAAACCCATATTTATGCTCCAAGGCTCTGATGATGGTTCCTCTATGAAGACTTCTTAATTGCCTGTCCATCATACAGAACTGACTATATATATTTTTTCTACCATATCCTGTTCTTATTTCTATAAAATAACTCCAGCACTCCATTGCATTTATAGTTTACAGATTTGAGTCCTCTGGAGGGAGTGACCATGTCTATGAGTCCTGGTGTCATTTTGAAAGTGCTTGGCAGGGACAAAGTCTTCATTAGATGTTTTTAAGTTGAATGAACAATGAAATCTCGTGATTAAGCAAAATCGTCCCAACAATTACATCAAACTTGTGCTGCGTATCTATGGCTGATTATTATTCAGGAAGGAGGAAAATGTGTGTGGAGAGGGGGTGGGGTGGGGAGTGTCAGCCTGACTTAGAGCATTGTTCTGATCACGTCACTTTCTCTGGTCAAACATGTCAACGGCTTTATTAAAAATATGGCGGCCAAGCCCAACTTTTAAGCCTGATGTGCAAGTCCCTTCATGGTCTGACTTAGACTTACCTTTGCAGGCTTATCTCCCATGACTCTCTTTTATGTATTTTATGTTCCATCCAAAATGGGTCACCCATGATTATCCAATCCTGCCTATACCTGCCCATCTCTGCCCCTTCTGTTTGCTGTCCTTTTTCCCTGTTAAGTCCAACCCCACCTCTCTTGGCTTTGGCTCCTGATATTCCATCAGTCCTTCAAGGTACCAATTGAATGCAACCTGTTCTAGGAAGATTTCCTTGATTCCTCTAGCAAATATCTCCTTTTAAAAATCTTCCTTGCAGGCCGGGCGTGGTGGCTCACGCCTGTAATCCCAGCACTTTGGGAGGCTGAGGCCAGTGGATCACCTGAGGTCAAGAGTTCAAGATCAGCCTGGTCAACATGGTGAAATCCTGTCCCTACTAAAAATACAAAAATTAGCTGGGTGTGGTGGCACGGGCCTGTAATCCCAGCTACTCGGGAGCCTGAGGTAGGAGATTCGCTTGAACCCAGAAATGTGGAGGTTGCAGTGCACTGAGATCATGCCACTGCACTCCAGCCTGGGAGACAGAGTGAGACTCCATCTCTCTCTCTCTCTCTCTCTTTCTCTCTCTCTCTGTGTGTGTATATATATATATACATACACATATATATATGTTTGTTCATGAGGTTTAAGGAATATATATATACATATATATATATAGAGAGAGAGATTTATATATATAATCTTCCTTTTAGTGTCTCTTTATGGCACAAATACTAGCATGCTTTGTTATTTGGGGGTGTATTTATTTCACCAAATCCACCAGGAAGAGGTTAAAACACAACTCATTTTATCGTACTTCACTTTATTGCACTTCACAAATATTACACTTTTTACAAATTGAATGTTTGTGGTAACTCTGAGTCCAGCAAATCTTTCAGGGTCATTTTTCCAACAGCATGTGCTCACCTCATCTCTGTGTCACATTTTGGTACTTCTTCCCATATTTCAAACTTATTCATTATTATTATATGTTAGGGTGATCTTTGATGTTACTATTGCAATTTTTTGGGGTGCCACAAAGTGCCTTCATGTAAGGCAGTGAACTTAATAAATGTGTGTTCTGACTGTTCTACTGACCAGCCAATCCTCCATTTATCTCCCTCTCCTCAGGCCTCCCTATTCTCTGAGACACAAAATGAAAATTAGGTCAATTAATATCCCTACAATGGCCTGTAAGTGTTCGAATGAAAGAAGGAGTCGCATGTCTCTCACTTTAAATCAAATGCTAGAAATGATGAAGTTTAGTGAGAAAGGCATATTAAAAGCTGAGCTAGGCCAAAAGCCAGGGCTCTTATGCCAAACAGTTAAGTAAGTAGTGAAAGCAAAGGAAAAGTTATTGAAGGAAATTAGAGATGCTATTCCAGTGAGCACATGAGTGATAAGAAAGTGAAAGGGCCTGGTTATTGACATGGAGAAAGTTTGAATGGTCTGTATAGAAGATCGAACCAGAAACAACGTTACCTTAAACCAAAGCCCAATCCAGAGCGAGGCCCTAACTCTCTTTAATTCTATGAAGGCCGAGAGAAGTGACAAAGCTGCAGAAGAAACGTTGGAAGCTAGCATAGGTTTGTTCATGAGGTTTAAGGAAAGAAGCCATCTCCATAACATAAAAGCACAAGGTGGAGCAGCAAGTGCTGATGTAGAAGCTGCAGTGGGTTTTCTAGAAGATCTAGCTAAGATCATTGATGAAGGTGGCTACACTAAACAACAAATTTTCAATGTAGACAAGACAGCCTTCTATTGGAAGAAGATGCCATCTAGGACTTTCCTAGCTATAGAGGAGAAGTCCATGCTTGGCTTCAAAGCTTCAAAAAACAGGTATACTCTTGTTACGAGCTAATACAGCTGGTAACTTTAAGTTTAAGCTAATGCTCCTTTACCATTTAAAAAAATCCTAAGCCCTTAAGAATTATACTGAATCTATTCTGCCTGTGCTCTATAAATAGAACTACAAAGGCTAGATGATAACACATCTATTTACAGAGTGGTTTACTGAATATTTTAAGCCCACTGTTGAGACCTACTGCTCAAAAAGAATCCTTTCAAATTATTACTGCTCATTGACAATGCACCTGGTCACCCAAGAGCTCTGATGGAGATGTACAAGGAGAGAAATGTCATTTTCATGCCTGCTAACATAACATCCATTCAGCTGCCCACAGATCAGGGAGTAATTTTGGCTTTTAAATTATATTATTTAAGAAATACATTGCATAAGGCTATAGCCACCAAAATGATTCTTCTGAAAGATCTGAGCAGAGTACATTGAAAACATTCTGGAAAAGATTCACCATTCTAGATGCCATGAAGAGCATTCATGATTCATGGGAGGAGGTCAAAATATAGACATTAACAGGTTTTGGAAGAAGTTGATTACACCTTCATGGATGACTCTGAAGATTTTAAGACTCCAGTGGAGGAAGTCACTGCTGATGTGGTGAAAATAGGAAGAGAGCTAGAATTAGAAGTAGAGCTTGGAGATGTGACTGAATTGCTGTAATCTCAGGATCAAACTTGAGTGGATGAGGAGTTGCTTCTTACAGATGATCAAAGTGATTTCCTGGAATGAAATCTACTCCTGGTGAAGGTGCTATGCACATTGTTAAAAATGACAACAAAAGATTTAGAATATCACACAAAGTTAGCGGCAGGATTTGAGACAATTGACTCCAATTTTTTAAAAAGTTGTGCTGTGAGTCAAATGCTATCAAAAAGCATTGCATACTACAGAGAAATCTTCCATGAAAAAAGGAGTTTGTTGATGCAGCAAGCTTCATTGTTGTGTTATTTTAAGAAATCTCCACAGCCACCCCAGCCTTCAGAACCACCACCCTGATCAATCAGCAAGACCCTCCACCAACAAAAAGATTACAACTTGCTGAGGGCTCAGATGATCGTTAGCATTTTTTACCAAAAATGTATTTTTTAATTAAGGCATGTAGATTGTTTTTCTAGATATAATGCTATTGCACAGTTAATATACTGCAATATAGTGTAAACATAACTTTTGTATGCACTGAGAAACCACAAAATTTGTATGGCTTATTTTATAGTGATATTCATTTTATTGCAGCAGTCTAGAACAAAATCCACAATATCTGAGGTGTGCCTTTATGTATTGTTGATTTTAATGTAGCATTCTTATTGCATCTCAGTACAAGTAAAAGGGAACTTAAAAAGCTAGCATTTCCTGAGAATCTGCTATGCAGTAGGCATCAGCTGAAGTACATTTATACATTATGTCATTGTCCACTTTGACAGATGACAAAGTGAATGATTTGCTCATAATCACTGACCTAACAAGTGAGGGGCCAGGACATGGACTCAGGTCACCTCTCCCACCTCCATGGTACTGCTGCTCAGGGCACTGTCAACATGAGCTGGCACATGAGTAAAGGTGATTCCCATTTGTGGACTTCTCTCTGCTGCTGCTGTTCAAACAGAAGGGAGACCCGTGAGCCACAGCTCACACCTGATTACTCAGACATGGACTCTTGGGCTTATGTGTTATCCAGGCCCTACATTCTTCCTTTCCTGTTGCTGGAGCTTTGATCATCACACTTGCTCTTTCGTATGACCTTTACCCAGGAAAACCTCAATGGAAGCAGGGGGCGCTCTGCTGTGGACTTTATTCTTTGGGGGAAGCTCTGGAGAAATGTTGTACTTTGAAGCTATTTGCTTGTTAGTTTCATAAAGCAACATCCTGATTTCATAGAAACTTAAAGTTTTCTGTTTTGAAGGGATCTGAGAGATCATTTGTGCATCCATTTTCTTCCTATTTCTTATTACAGATAAAAGTGACTATGTGAAGGGCTGGGCGCAGTGGTTCGCACCTGTAATCCCAGCTCTTTGGAGGCCAAGATGGGCAGATTGCTTGAGATCAGGAGTTTGAGAACAGCCTGGCCAATATGGTGAAACCCTGTCTCTACTAAAAAATACAAAAATTAGCCAGGAGTGGTAATGCATGCCTGTAATCTCAGCTACTATGGAGGCTGAGACAGGAGAATTGCTTAAACCCAGGAGGCAGAGGCTGCAGTGAGCCAAGATAGTGCCATTGTGCCACTGTACTCCAGCCTGGGTGACAGAGTGAGAGACTCCATCTCAAAAAAAAAAAAAAGTGACTATATGAGTTATACTTTGGAGATCTCTGGGGTTAAGGCCTGTTGTTACATATTATAGAACATCTTCTCTTGTTTTTTTTTATTTGTTTGTTTTTGTTTTTGTTTTTGGCATTTATATCATTTTAACAAAAGAAGTGAGAAAGGCTAAGTGTCTAGAATGCTTTCTCTTTTAGCAGTAGAACCTCTGGAGGTAGACATTTAGCAAGAAGCCTGCTAAACTGCAGACTAATTCCCTCCAACTTTGGTTAAATTTCTATCCCCCCATTAAAATCCCCAAATGCAATGTCATTAGCAGCATTCATTGCTCCTTGTAAGAGCTGGGAATGCACCCCAGATGTTGTGTTTTGAGCACAAAGGCCTGTGTGCCAGATTCACAGCATGGCTTAGAACCTTCTGAACCCCGCCCACTCTACAAGATACTCTTTGTGGCCTCTCCTAGGCTTCCAACATTATTATACAACCCCAGGCTTCTTCCTCTTTTGTAACCTCTCAGACAAGTAATAGATGCACTGTAGTCTTTGCCAGAAAATAAAATGAAAAGGAATGAGAAGTCCCTGCCAGAGTGGTTTTCTTTTGATGCTTTCTTTCATCTTCCTTCACCTCCCCTGTGGGGAAAGATAGGCAATGTATTTATCAGCTTTTATTATCTTGATTTATAACCTCAGGTCCCAATTAGAAGGTAAAACATGAAGGCATAGATTTAAATGGTGCCAATTGTGCCCTTTCCATTTCATTCTTTTCTCTCTTTTGTCAGAAAAAAATCCTTTGATTTCATTTCTTCGTTCTTTATAATACTGTATTGATCTGCCAGTATAGAGAATGCATCAGCAACTCTCTTATCTTTGGCTAATACTACATTTTTCTGCACTAACTACAACCCACAAACTGTACATTTGTGTCATTACATGTCTGGTTTGCACACATTAAATTAGATATACAATGTGCATTCTATACTTTATTGAGTCGATTATGACAAGAATTGTGATGAATGGCATTTGGTAGCTTTCATTTATCATCCAGAAAGCTTCATTTTCCAACATCAATCAGGCAATTAAAAGGACCGCTAGTAGGCTGACCTATTGTGTGTCTTCATTCTCTTACTTTGTTTCATGTTCATTATGGTTCACAGTACAGAATGATGACATTCCTGCATTCATTCATTCAGTCATTCAAACAATTTTCATTGCATGCCTTCTAAGTGCTGGACACCAGTCAAGGCACAGGGAAGAACACTAAAATAACAGACAAAATCCTTTCTCTTGTGTGGCTAACAAGAAAGGGCTGGGAAGGATAACAGACCAATAAACCGTGTATTTGTAATATATGCAGGGGCATGAGCACTAGGCTGGGGAAAGGGCTAGTGAGGACAGGAAAGGGAAAGGAGGCCACAGTAGTCAGGAAGATCCTCTTTAAGAAGGTGACCTGGAGCAGAGACTTGCATGAAGTAGAGAAGCAAACTCTGCAGCCACCTGTGAGAGCCTTCCAAGCACAGGGAGCAACATGTGTCAAGCAACATGAGGATGCAGCAGAGCCAGCATATACGAGAAACTGAAAGGACATGAAATCTGGTGCACAGGGAGTGACCGGGAAAGTGGCTGGAGAGTAGGTAGCAGATGGATAGATTTATGTAAGGCCATGTGAGCCAATGACAACTTGATTTCATTCTGAGAGAGTTGGGATGCCATCAGAGGACTTTGAGCAGAGGGAACATAATCTGACTTTTGCTTTAAAAGAGTCACTCCAGCTGTAGTGAGAATAGACAATTGAGGGTAACAGTAGAAACCAGGAAACCAGATATGAGTTATTACAATAATCTGGGAAAAGATAATGGTGTCTTAGACCAGGATGGCAGTGGTGGAGGGTAGAGAGACAAGGTTAGGTTTGTATTGTGAAGGCAAAGCCGGTAGGCTTTGCTGACTAACTAGATAGCGATGAGAGGAGTAGGAACAAGGGTAACTCCAAGAATTGGAGATGCATATCTGGATGAATGAAGTTGGTGTTTGCTGAGAGAGGGAAGCCTGAAGAAAGAGAAATTAGAGACAGGCAGGAAGAAACCAAGAGGTCTCTTTTGGGCATATTAACTTGGGGTTCCTACTCCCCAACAATCACCAATTAATAAATTTTCATCCTTCTCATAGATTAGTCTTGATTGCAGCATAGACTTGTGGCTGAGTGTGGTCTCTGGAGCCTGTCTTCCTTGTCTTGAAGCCCACCCACACTAGCTCTGTAATCTGAAAGAAATGACAACTTTTCTGTACCTCAGTTTCTTTTAATGTTTAGTTTTCTTATACAAACAACTTTTTTTTCCATAAGTTTTTGGAGTACAGGTGGCATTTGTTTACATGAGTAACCAAATAAGTTCTTTAGTGGTGATTTGTGAGATTTTGGTGTACCCATTACCCAAACAGTATACACTACACCATATTTGTAGCCTTTTATCCCTCGCCCCCCTCTCACTCTTCCCCCCAAATCCCCAAAGTCCATTGGATCATTCTTATGCCTTTGCATAATAATTAAATTAGATGTACAATGTGCATTCTATACTTTATAGCTTAGCTTTACTTTATAGCTTAGCTCCCATATATCAGTGAGAACATGGGATGTTTGGTTTTCCATTTTTGAGTTCACTTAGAATAATAGTCTCCAATCTCATCCAGGTCACTGCAAATGCTGTTAATTCATTCCTTTTTATGGCTGAGTAGATAACATAATACCACAGTTTCTTTATCCATTCGTTGATTGATTGGCATTTGGGTTGGTTCCATTATTTTGCAACTGGGAATTTTGCTTCTATAAACATGCATGTGCAAGTATCTTTTCCGAATAATGACTTCTTTTCCTCTGGGTAGATACCCAGTAATGGGATTGCTGGATCAAATGGTAGTTCTGCTTTTAGTTCTTTAAGGAATCTCCATACTGTTGTCCATAGTGGCTGTACTAGTTTACATTCCCACCGGCAGTGTAGAAGTGTTCCCTGTTTACCACATCCATGCCAATATCTACTGTTTTTTTTATTTTTTTGATTATGGCCATTCTTGCAGGAGTAAGGTGGTATCACATTGTGGTTTTGATTTGCATTTCCCTGATCATTAGTGCTGTTGAGCATTTTTTTATGTTTGTTGGCCATTTGTATAGCTTCTTTTGATAATTGTCTATTCATGTCCTTAGCCCACTTTTTGATGGGATTGTTTGTTTTTTTCTAATTTCTCAGTGATAAATACATATTGTTTATTTTATAAAATAGTTCTTTTTCAAGGAAGAAATTCTAGTGATAGCAGAATTAATATGCACTGAAAAATATGGGTATTTCAGTTATGTTAGAAACTTTAAAATCATTTAAAGACAGAATCCAAACAAGGTTTGATTGGAGAGAAAAAAAACAGTAAAATACATTTTTGAAGCAATCTGGAAAATTTCATCATGGACTGGAGATTAGATTGCATTTGTCAAACTAGGGCCTGCTGCCTGTCTTAGTAAATAAAGTTTTGGTAGACTACAGTCATGCTTGTTTGTTTATGAGTAGTCTAAGGCTGCTTTCTTTTCATAACAGCAGAAGTTGAGTAATTTTGACAAAGAACCCAGAGCTCACAAAGCCAAATGCACTTATTATTTGGCCTTTTATAGGAAAAAAATGCTGATACATTAAAGTTACATGAAAAACATTCATAACTTTTGGAGAGTCAAATGGAATAATCTCTACATATTTCTCTCTCATATCTAAAATTTGCTTTAATATATTTCAACAAGAAAGACTAAAGTAAAAAGGGTTAGATGGAGAGAATCTTGATAACTGCTGCAGCTAAGTGAAGACTATCTTAGGATTCATTTTGTTTTCTTCTCTACATTTGTGTGACTTTTTGTACAAGGAAAGAATACAGAACTGTTTAAGTCAGTTAATTAGTATACTTGATAGATTATTTACCAAAGTGGCTGCAATTACTCTTCTCCATATCCTTCAGCTGGGGAATCCTGCAGTGTATGTGTACAGTGAAATATTACTCAGCAATAAAAAGGAAGAACTATTGACCCACTCAATAACATGGATGAATGTTAAATGCATATTGCTGAGTGAAAAAAGCCTAGATTCAAAAGGCTACATATTTGTATTGGTCCATTCTTGCACTGCTATGAAGCTCTACCTGAGACTGGGTAATTTATAAGAAAAGAGGTTTAATTGGCTCATGTTTCTGCAGCTGTTCAGGTAGCATGGCTGGAGAGGTCTCAGGATACTTTCTAAAGGGGGCAGGCACTCTTACACGGCTAGAGAAGCAGAAAGAGACAGAAAGGGGAGGGGCTACATGCTTTTAAACAACCAGATCTCATGAGAACCCACTCACTGTCATGAGAACAGCAAGTGGGAAATCCACCCCCATGATCCAATCACCTCCTACCAGGCTCCTCTTCTAACACTGGGGATTACAATTTGACATGAGATTTGGGTGGGGACACCAATCCAAACCATATCAGTATTGCATGGCATTCTGGAAAAGGCAAAACTATAGGGATGGTGAAGAGATCAGTGGTTGTCAGGGGTTAAGGGTTGTGGGAGGGGCTTACTACAAAAAGAAAATTTGGAGGGGTATGGGAACTTCTTAGTATACTGAGTATGGTGATGGCATTATTTTATGCCCAGTCTTGGGTGATTTTAGTTATTATCAGTTAATCACCAATGATCTGAGCAACTCTGCATTAGAAAGAATATCCAAATTCTGAGAGGCTGACACTGTAACCCCAACTCTCTAATGAGGTGCTGCCCCTGAGAAGTTCCTAGCTCTTTACTATATTCCCTTTGATCTGGACTCCCCACACCATGAAAACCGTCCACGCCAACCTCCTCTTATAACTCCCTCTCATCAGAATGCCTTACTTCCCCTTGCTTTAGCCTCATAAACCTTTGTCTAAAGAATAGAGAGTGGTGTGTGCAGAACCTCAGGTTGTCACTCAGCTATCTCCTGGCCAGTCCCTGAGGGACATGAGCCTAGTTCTTAAGGAGAAGGTGATTGAAATAAGCTGAATGAGTCAAGAGAAGATGTCACCTCAGAGGATGATGCCAGAAAATTAAAGCAAAATCTGTTCTGTCTCACAGCCTAATAACAGCAACAAAAATTATGTCAACACAGGGAGGCAAAGGTTGGAGTGTAAGAGAGACTAACTCCACACTGGAAAAAGTTCTGACAAATGAACAACCAGGAGCATATACATGGTGACCAACATGAGGCCACCAGTGGCCTTTATGGTCCCAGGAGCTGTGACCCATAGAAGCACAGGTGGGTCTACAGAGCACAGAGTGGGTCACAAGAGCACAGAAGAGTGGCCATATCGACTTCACGGAAGACATGCAATTTGCCCTAAGATCTTGTGACAAAAAAAAGAAGAGAGAGAGCTAGGAGACAGTCAAGGAAAAGATTCTGTGACTGTGAAAACTGCTTCTTAATGGTACCCTGCATTGTGGTACCTGCAATGAGTGTCACAGTGTGGTACCCTGCACTGAGTGTCACAATGATCATCTAAGATTGAGACATTCTTATCCTTGCTATGTAATATAATTTGGCTCTGTGTTCCCACGCAAATCTCATCTCAAATTGTAATCCTTCCTGTGTCAAAGGATGGGCCTGGTGGGAGGTGATTGGATCATGAGGGTGGTTCCCTCCTACTGTTCTCATGGTAGTGAGGGAGTTCTCATGAAATCTTATGGTTTTAAAAGTGGCAGGTTCCCCTACAAACACTCTCTCTCCTGCCGCCTTGTGAAAATATGCCTTGCTTCCCTTTCGTCTTCTGCCATGATTGTAAGCTTTCTGAGGCCTCCCCAGCCATGTAGAACTGTGAGTCAATTAAACCTCTTTCCTTTATAAATTACCTAGTCTCAGGTAGTATCTTTATAGCAGTGTAAGAAAGGACTAATACAGAGAATTGGTACTGAGAGTGGGGTACTGCTATAAAGATAACCTGAAAATGTGGAATTGACTTTGGGACTGGGTAACAGGTAGAGTTTGGAACAGTTTGGAGGGCTCAGGAGAAGACAGGAAGATGTAGGAAAATTTGTTACTTCCTAGAGACTTGCTGAATGGTTTTGACCAAAATGCTGATCGTGATGTGGACAATGAAGTCCAGGCTGAGGTGGTCTCAGATGGAAATGAGGAATTTACTGGGAACTGGAGTAAAGGCCACTCTTAGTATGCTTTAGCAAAGAGGCTGGTGGCATTTTGCCCCTGCCCTAGAGATCTGTGGAACTTTGAACTTGAGAGAGATGATTTAGTGTATCTGGCAGAAAAAATTTCTAAGCAGTAAAGCATTCAAGAAGCGACCTGGCTTATTCTGAAAGCATTCAGTTATATGGGCTCACAAAGAGATGATTTGAAATTGGAACTTATGTTTAAAAGGGATGCAGAGGATTAAAGTTTGGAAAATTTGCAGTCTGACCATGTGGTAGGTGCTCTCTCTCTCCTGCTGCCTTGTGAAGACGTGCCTTGCTTCCCCTTCACCTTCTACCATGATTATAAGTTTCCTGAGGCCTCCCCAGTTATGTGGAATAGGGAGTAAATTAAACGTCTTCCCTTTATAAATTACCCAGTCTCAGGGAGTATCTTTATAGCAGTGCTAGAATGGACTAATGCATAATGTAAGAAGGGGAGGAGAGGCTCCTGACAGCCACAGGCAACCTAAGATGCTAGCTCCTCAGGGAACAAATCCTTGCTACATTCCCTGAAAGTAGACATAGAGTTCAACCTGCACCTATTCAGAATCCCTCTCACCTTTGGCTACCAGTGGCCCACAATGCAAAGCTCTCTTATCATCTAATTTTGAGTTTACTGTTCTGTGTCTTCTTACATAATTCTTTTTAGTTCTGCACCATTCTTTCTCCATCATCTTCTGGAATACCTCATTTCATTCTAATGAGTCTTCTTCTATCCTATCCTCTTCAAAGAACCCTCTCTCCATGTCCATGTCTGGGCAACATCTCCTTCTCCTAGTGCTGCATTTTGCTTTCTCTTCTTCCACATGCTTAACCCCCTCCACCTTTGGTCACCTAACCCTATGTCTGTGCTGCAGATCCCCTGGCCACTTTTCCTCATTCACTGAGGACGTTGGCACCTGAACAACAATCTTCCAGTCAAGGCCTAGTATATCACCAGAATACCCCAGTGCTCATGTCTTGAAGCCTACAAATACCCTAGGCTCATAACATTTGTCCTCTGAACTCTTTTCTTCACCACTGTAAGAATTAAAGAAAGAGGAAAGAAATACGAAAGGTGGCTTGCCAGTCAAGACAGATTTATTTTAGAGAAAATAAACCTGAGAGGAGCCTACTGGCTGAGTCAAGTCAGAGGCACACTCTCTTACAGACTAAGAGTTTTTAATGATTCAGGGTGGGAGAGTTTATCAGAGTCTTTGACTGCTTCTGTGTTTTTTTGTTTTTTGCTTTTTTGTTGTGCTTTTCCCCAACCTCCCTCTGTGCCCACGCTGTCTTATCTGTGTTTTACTGTCTGCCCTTTCTGGCTGCTTGTAGTTAGAAGAGAGGTGATTTCCTTGAAATGCATGAGGCTAGAAAGGGAGCTGGAATTTAAAGTGGCGATGTTTGTCCGAGATGATGGTGCTCCTGCTCTATCAACTACCACTTCTCATTACCCAACCTTCTGTGACCACACTTAACATCAGTAATGGCAAACATGCAGCACTACTGCCAAAATGCCTGCATCCTGAGATCCTTGCAAATTGGTTGTGTCCTTTTATTAATTTTTTATAGATTGGGTCTTGCTATGTTGCCCAGGTTGGAGTGCAGTGGCTATTCACAGGTATAATAATAGCATGCTGCAGCCTCAAATTCCTGCCTTCAAGCAGTCCTCCCACCTCAGCCTCCTGCATAGGTGGGACTATAGGTGCATGCTACCATGCCCAATGGTCATGTCATATTTTCCCCAACCTGGATAGGGCATTAGAACCATCCTCACACAGTGCAAACTGGGTGAATATTATTCATGTTTCTACATTAGGTCATTACCCAGAACTTCACAATGCCTACAATCTTAAATTCCCATAAAACTATTCTCTGTCATTACCACCTGCTCTTCAAATTCATGGAGAACTCTATCACTCCATTTACCTCTTTCAGGGCTACTTGGCATCCTAGTAGCCTTGCCTTTCTTCTGCAACTATCCCAACATCCTAAACTCAGGATCAAACCAACAATTCCTTTTCTCTGTTCCTTTCTGGGTTTGCCTGGCACAGCTGGGAGAGATTTATACAATCATACTAAAACAAAAGCATGATCACCAACATCAAATGGCCCTTCAGTACCGTTCGGAAATCTTTTTATCTGCCATATTTTCTGCCTGCCCCACACATTTTAAAACACCCTTTTGGGAAATTTGAAAATGTGCACTCCCCACTTTTCTGGCCTCCTGTACAACTAAACCACAGGCCTATGATCTACGTATTCCCAGGTAACTCACCCTTGCGAGATCTTGACTTGGAAGTCAGCAATGTAAAGAAAGAGGTATCAGTTTGTGAGGCATCAGTTTGACTGGTGAGGGCAGCAGCAGAAGCCTCCAGCTGTTGGAGTAGGCAGTGGCTACAATGTGGACAGAAGTCCTTTCCACCAAGGGCCAAGACAGACACACAGGGGAAGTGAGAGAACATGTCTTATATTGTATTACAGTAAGTGCTTTGACTGCCTGCAATTTATTTTTACAACCTCTGTCCCTATGTACTTGGCTTATAGTAGGTGCTTAATGAATTTTTAGCATGAAAGACTTGCCCAAGATCACTCAATGGGCAGAGGAACCAGATGTCAAGCTCATGTCTTCTGACTTTAAAGCCACTAATCTTTCCCAGATGTAATTAGCAGAGCTATTTCCTCTGTCTGACTCCCATTGGGCCTGGGATAAATAGTGATGGTTGCTTGCAATAAATTACTCAGTCTCTGGCTTTCCTGCTTTTGGCTCAGCAGCAGACATAGTGGGACCATTTGCAGAGGTCACAGGGAATTCTATATTTGCTAAGAGGGATGATTCACTGCGCCCTCTAAAAGGAGCGGCTGAACTTATGTTCCTGTAAGAGACTCGACCTTGAGGAAACTGTGAGCAGGCACTGCGGGAAGCCTGGCTGTTGAAAAATGATGAGGGGCTTGGAGGACTTCCAAATGCCAGAGAATGTTGCAAAGGAAATGTTCAGGGTTAAAGTAAAACAGTTATCTTCCATTCCTAAAACAGAGAATAACAACAGCTTGAAGTGAATGCAACTCTTCAGTCATTTCAAAAGTATTTTTATAGTACTGTTCCTCAAGACTTTCCACAAATGTACTATGAAACAGTTGGCAGAGACAATGCTCTGTGTTGATCTATTCCTTTCTTTTTTATCCTAGTACAGCAAAACTGCATTTCCCAAGCTCCTCTTCTCTCAATGGGTCACATGACTTGTTCTAGCCAATAGAACGAGGGTGGAAGTAATGTGACCACTTTCAGGTGTCCCCTAAAGTCTCCTGTGAGATCTTCCAATCTTGCTCTCCTCACTCTGCATGGCTGGAAATGAATACTCTGATATCTGAAACAACATGATGAAGGAGCCAGGATGCCTAAGTTCACCACTTAGAGAAGAGACAGCTTGAAGAGTCATTCTGGAGAACTGGCTGACCAAACTCATTGGATTGTAACAGAATATAAACCTTTTATTCTGATATGCCAGAGGCACATTATGGATTGTATTACAATGACTAGCATTAGCTGTCCTGATTAATAGACACTGTGACAAGATTCTTTATTGCTAAAAGAAAAAAAAAGCAATGGCTGATACCTGATTAACAGACACTGTGACAAGATTTTTTATTGCTAAAAGAAAAAAAAAAAGCAATGGCTGATACCATTTAAAATAAAACTTACAATTAAGGCAATTCAGTTTGAAATGTGTTTATGAAGTTATTTCATAGCACTAATTACAGTTCTAACAATATGTATTTCTGTAGGTGTATTTTCAATTCTCTACTAAGTAGTAAGCTCTGTGAGACTGGAAGTTGTACATGTTTTGTTCTTCACTGCAGAGGTCATACTCCTCAGAGTACAGGACCCATGGTGGGAAATATTAGCTTCATGAATGAGTGAATGAATGACTACACACAAGGTTTGATAATTAGCATCCAGAATAACAAAGATATATACAATGAATTAATGATTCATAGTGAGGCTTAGTCAAGTATACAAAAAGAACAAGATGAAATGCAACATAATTGTGATATTGTGAAGTGTATACTTGGTCTTCACCCCTGTTTACTGTCATACACACAATTCCTAAGATGCTTGGAATCTCCAAAGTGTTGTCTTTTTGTATGCTAATGTTCACTGATAGCTTCAGGATGGAGGTGGTCACCAGAAGGACAAAGGCATGATTATAGGGTTGGAACTTCTGGGCCCACCTCCCCAACTTCCAGGGAGAAGAGCGGGGCTGAAAGACAGACTGATCAGCAATGGCCTGTGGTTTGATCATAATGAAGCCTCCATAAAAACCCAAGTTGACAGAGTTTGGCAAGCTTTTAGATAGCTGAACACATGGAGGCTCCCAGAGGATGGCATGCCCAGTGAGGGCATGGAAGCTTCACACCCCTTTCTTCATACCTTACCATACACATCTCTTCATCTATATTCTTTGTAATATCTTTTATAATAAACCAGTAAATGTAAGTAACTATTTCTCTGAGTTTTGTGATCTGCTCTAGCAAATTAATTGAACCCAAGATGGGGTCATGGAAACTCTAACTTGAAGCCAGCTGGAGAGAAGTTTCAGAGGCCAGACTTGCTACTAGTGTCCAAAGTGGGGAGCAGTTTTGGGGACTGAGCCCTCAACCTGTGGCATCTGATGCTGTCTCCGGGTAGATAGCCTCAGAATTGAATTAAAGGACATCCAGCTGGTGCCTTCTGCAGAACTGATTGCTTGCTTGTTGATAGAGAGAAAACTTCCCCAACATTTGATCACAGAAGTCTTCTGTATTGATGATTATTGCAGTGTGAGAGCACAGGAAAAATAAGCTTTTTCCAAACAATAGTATTTTTAAAAAGTAATAGAGTAAGAAGCCAACCTGAAGGGTTCCCAACGGAACATAGGAGCAATAAAATAAATAACATTGTATTGGGTTATGATCTGTAAACCAAAAAAAAAAAAAAAATGTCTGAAACAGGTTTCAACCAATTTAGAGGTTTATTTTGCCAAGTTTTGCTGAGGTTTATTTTGCCATGGTTGAAGATGTACCCAGGAAAAAGAAACACAAGCCACTGTAGGATCTGGGGCCTGCAATTTTTCCAAAGAGGATTTTAAGGACTTCAATATTTAAAGGGGAAAAAATGGGCAAGAGGGGAAAGGAAGACAGAAAAGAAGGGGCAGCATATGGTCACATTCTTATGAGGCTTTGATTGGTGTTCCCTGAATCCACATGTTGCATGTGGAAAGGAGAGGCTGTAGGGGCAGTCAATTATGTATTTTCCTCCTGTGCAGTAAATCTGCACTTTACATAAGATAAAGTAAATACGGAGTAGAGGTCAAACATGCATTTGTCTTGGGGTGGGCAGGAGGATGATTTCTAGCCCCTTCTTGTCCTATAGCCATGAAGATAAGCTGTTAATTTACATTGTCAGGGTGAAGAAGTCCTCCTAGGAAAATATTTGGCCTTCTGTCTACAATGATCTGTTTAAGAACAAAAGGAAAGGCAGGTTTTTGTGTCACTCAGTTTCTAAGTTTAATTTTTCCTTATGGCATATTGAGTTTGAGGTCCCAAGATTTTGTTTTCCTTTCACAGATCCAAAGCATGAAATAAATATCCAAGAATTCATGATGATATAAATAAATATTTGGGCTGGGCACAGTGTCTCAAGCCTGTAATCCCAGCACTTTGAGAGGCTGAGGCAGGTGGATCACCTTAGGTCCAGAGTTTGAGACCAGCCTGACCGATATGGTGAAACCCCATCTTCACCAAAAATACAAAAAGTAGCTGGGCATGGTGGCACACGCCTTAGTCCCAGGTGCTAGGGAGGCTGAGACAGGGGAATTGCTTGAACCCAGGAGGCAGAGGTTGCTGTGAGCTGAGATCATGCCACTGCACTCCAGCCTGGGTGACATAAATAAATAAATAAATGTTTGAATAAATAAGTAAATGAAAATGAGAGATAAATCTCACATGTAGAAGAATCCAAATAGTTGATGTAGGTAATTTCCCTTCAAGGACATGGAGTTTACTTCCTTACCCCTTGAGTGAGTGTGTGCTTAATGACTTGCTTTCAAAAAGCAGAGTGTGAAAAGATGGTATGGGGGGAAGTAAGTTTACTGTAGAGAAGTCTGGAAAAACTACCTTGGCCAAGTGATTGAGGCTAATATTATTAATAATAACTCATATTGAAAAATGTGTACTCTTACAGTAATGTGATGGGAAAGGCATTTTACCTCTGAGGTTTCCCTCCCAAAGACATGTAACGCTGGTGTAATAATAAGAAAAGACATTAAAAAAACCCAGCTTGAGGAGTATCTCTTCCTCAAAGGTCATCAGAAACCAGGAAAGTCTGAGAAACCATTTTAGCTAAGAGAAGCCTGTATTAGAATTCTCCAGAGAAATATGTGATTATGAAGGCTGGCAAGGCCGAAGTCTGCAGAGCTCATGACCCAGTTCAAGTCTGAAGGCCAGGAGTTGCCTGGAAAATCAGGAAGAGACAACATCCAGTTTGAAGGCCATCAGGCAGGAGAAATTCTCTTACTTGGGGGAGGGTTAGTCTTTTGGTCCATTCAGGCCTTCAACTGATTGGATGATGCCTACCTATATTATGTAGACCATCGGCTTTACTCAGTTTTCCAATTTAAATGTTTATCTCATCCAAAAACACCCTCATAGAAACATTCAGAATAATGTTTAACCAAATATCTGGGCGCTCCATGGCCCAGTCAAGCTGACACAAAGTTAACCATTATAGAGCCTAAGGAGACATAATAACTAAATGTAAGTGATATCCTAAATTAGATCTTGAAACAGAAAAAGGACATTGAAACCAGGTATGGTGGCACATGCCTGTAGTCCCAGCTACTCAGGAGGCTGAGGTGGGATAACTACCTGAGGCCAGGAGTTCAAAGTTGTAGTGCATTATGATCATGTCTGTTAATAGCCACTACACTCTAGCCTGGGCAACAGAGAGAGACCTCATCTCTCAGAAACAACAGCAACAGAACATTACACAAAACTAAAGAAATCCAAACAAAGTATAAATTTTTATCAATAATAATGTACCAATATTGGTCCAATGGTAACAGATGCACTGTACTAATGTAAGTTGTTAATAGTAAAGGAAACTGGATGAGGGGTCTATGGGAACTCTCTGTACTCTCTTCAACTTCTCTGCAAATCTGAAACCATTATAAAATTTTAAAAGTGTACTTGTTTTAAAAAGTGATATAGTTTTGTACACAGGAAACACCACATCAGTTGATGAGTGGCATCAAGAATGGCTTATGGAAGAGGTGGCTTTTGAAATATTCATTTTAAATGCAGGTGGGCATCATATTATAAAAGGTTTTGGCCGAGTGGGGTGGCTCACTCCTGTAATCCCAGCACTTTGGGAGGCTGAGGCAGATGGATCACCTGAGGTCAGGAGTTCAAGACCAGCCTGGCCAATATGGTGAAACCCCATCTCTATTAAAAATACAAAAATTAGCCAGGTGTGGTGGCATGCACCTGTAATCTCAGCTACTTGGGAGACTGAGGCAGGAGAATTGCTTGATCCCGGGAGGCGGAGGTTACAGTGAGCTGAGGTCGAACCACTGCACTCCAGCCAGGCAACAGAGTGAGACTCTGTCTCAAAATAAATAAATAAATCCTTTGAATGCCAGATTGTCAAGTATTTATGCCTGATGGTCTTAGAGCTCTAGATATTAAACATTAGATCAGTAAAAGAGTGAGGAAAGGGAACATAAATCGAGAAATGATTTCTGGGTAAAGGCAGATCCAGTGTGGAGCCAACTGTGGGAATGGAAAGGAGGCAGTGGTGTTGGACACTATATTTTCATACCACTATGAAGAAATACTTAAGACTGGGTAATTTATGAAGAAAAAGAGGTTTGATGGACTCACAGTTCCACATGGCAGGGGAGGCCTCACAATGATGGCAGAAAGCGAAGGAGGAGCAAAGGAACGTCTTACCTGGTGGCAGACAAGAAAACATGTGCAAGGGAACCGCCTTTCATAAAACCATCAGATTTCATGAGACTTGTTCACTATCATGAGAGCAGCATGGGAAAGACCTGCCTCCATGGTTCAATTACCTCCTGCTGGTCCCTCCTACAACACATGGAGATTATGGGAGCTACAATTCAAGATGAGATTTGGGTGGGGACAGAGCCAAACCATATCAGACACCAAGGAGTGGCTTGACAGGATTTAGGAACTGATTGGATATGACATGGTAGAGAAGAATTCAGAGGATTTTATATTATTTTATGGGACTTTAACTTGCATGACTTGAAGGATGGTGATGATCTAAAGGAAGATGTGAATGTTAATTATACAAATTGAGTCATTCTTGTCAAACCCAAGCAAATCAGAGTCGAGGGACCAGGGAAAAAAGCACTCACGGCACATGACACCTGCTCCAATAATTAAATTTTCCACAAGCCCAGCTGCTGAAACCATGTGCTGTGACTCTGACTGGTTTTACTACCACAATCTCTCACCAAT